>NC_000017.11:21469665-21795850 GCF_000001405.40 Homo sapiens | reverse complement strand
CTCAATGTTCAGGAATCGGTCATCTTTATTTACTACAGAACATAAAAGAGGGCCGGGCGCGGTGGCTCACGCCTGTAGTCCCAGCACTTTGGTATGCCAAGGCGGGCGGATCACGAGGTCAGGAGATGGAGACCATCCTGGTTAACACGATGAAACCCCATCTCTCCTAAAAACCCAAAAAATTAGCCGGGCGCAGTGGCGGAGAGCCTGTAGTCCCAGCTACTCGGGAGGCTGAGGCAGGAGAATGGCGTGAACCCCGGAGGCGAAGCTTGCAGTGAGCCGAGATCGCGCTACTTCACTCCAGCCTGGGTGAAAGAGTGAGTGAGACTCCTTCTCAAAAAAAAAAAAAAAAAATTGCAAAGTCATACTCAACTTTCTGCTCTTGTCAGACAATTAAGGGGTCTTTGAATACTTCAGCCCTAATAATTTGCTTCCTAACATACATATTGCAGTGTTTATCTAATTTTAAATATCTTTTTGTTTCAACACCTAATTTTTTATTTAGATCTATCTGTATGTTTACAATATATTTTGCTCTGTGTTCATTCTTTGATTTCGAAGCTTCAGCCTTTCTGAAGCATGTTTTCAGAGTTTCTCTTTAGTTTCTTTAGTGGAATTCTGCTGGTGGCGTTTTGTTTTTTGTCTCTAAATATGTTATTTAGCCATAGGTTGATGAATACTTTTCTTGGTTGAGAATTTCAGAATGGCATTATTATTCTTAACAAATAATATTGTTTATTTTACCTTTCATTCTTTCCGATTTCAATATGATTAAAGGTAATTTGATTTTTCTAGTGCTAATTGAAATATTTTTCCCTTCCTGATTCTTTACTATTTCTCTAGGAGATACATAGGTGTAGGTTTATCTCCACTGTAGCTTGCTTAGCATGCATGGAATTTTTGAATATGCGGTTTAGTGTCTTACAAAAGTCTAGAGAACTTTCAGCCAAAATACCATCACATATTGTCGCTTCCCAGTTCCCTTCTATGAGAACACTCACTAAACACATGCTACACTTTCTCACTGTATCTCCCATGTCTCTTCATGATTCTGTCTACATTTTGCATTTTTTTAAATTTTCTGTAATGCATTCTGAAATATTTATTAACTCCCACCATGGCCACGTCTAATCTGATGAGTTCATTTTTGAGTTTTTAATTTAAAATACTATATTTTTATACAAACTACTTTTCAAATTTGCTACATCAATTTTTTAGTCTCCTAAAAATATATTCATTTTTTTAAATTTTTTTTAAAGCAAATGTGCTTTATAATCTAACAGTGATATTTCTACTAATGAACCTTTGTGGATCTGTTTGTACTGTTTTTCTGCTTTCCTTTCAAATGGTGGAATATCATTTCCTGCATACTTAGATGCCTTTGAATGACAAATATTTATTTTTCTCTGAAAATTATTTTTGTGCACTTTTGAGGATTAGTAAGAAGAAAATTTGCCAAAGAGAATTTGAATTTTTTTGTGAGTCTACTAAAGGCACCACCATTCTGGGACCACATTATGTTAATTCTTGGCCTAGAGATGTTTGGACGTATGTTTGGACTGCACATTTAAACAATTTTTAAATTAATTGCTGTAAATCATTAATGATTGAGTTTCTTTAAATCTGTCCAATCTCAAGTCATTTTTATTTGCCGTTTCCAGGGAATGTGAAATGAGATTAATTTACCTCTGATTCTTCTTTATACTGAAGATAGAAATTTTGGTCCTAGCTTTAGGGAGGAGCTCCTGTGTGATGCCTTATCTTGGGAAAAACTATGTATTTCTTTACGTCCTATGTGATGTATGACAGTAGGAATCTGCACTCATTCATTTTGGTACATGTCCGTAGGGCAAAATCAGTTTCGGTGTTGAGGTATATTTCATCTGCTCCCTGCATTCCCATGGTTTTGACCTTATATTTTACTTTTTTTTTGTGTGAGCATACCAATGCTTCAATTTTTCCAGTAATATAATCAACTATATTATGAGAAAGAGAAAAATTTTGATAAAACACAAATTTTATGTTTTCCTACTCTAATTGCCTTTTACGTAAAAATACAGGTAAAATTTATTTGTGCTTTTTTGCTATTTCTGTTTTGCTATTCTCTGTTTGTCTATGTCTTCTCCACATAGACACAATTAGGGAATTTTGTACACTCTTGTGCCAACTGCTTTGATAGTAACAAAATGTATTTCTCAAACTCCTAGGTATAAAACTCAAGTATCCACAATTTAAATTCTTTTTCCCTCACTTCTACTTTGTTTCCAGTCTCAATAGAAATCGATGCCAATCCAGAAATACAAGCATTATTCTAATACTTCTCACACATTACAGATGTAGATTAAATTTTCTATTTCTCCTTAAATACTATCATTTTTCACTACTTGTATCTTAACTGCTAAGTTCAACATTTTCTATAATATTAATATATTGTGAAAATTTCCTTACTTTCTTATTTGTCCCAGATTCAATGTTTTGCAGTCTCTACCTCACCCTGTGAAGCATAAACATTGTACATGCTGTACAAATAATACATAGTTCATGTGCTTAGAGACTGCACAATTTTTATTTGGTTGACAATAGTTAATGTTTTCTTCTTCATTTTCTATTTCCTGATTTTTCTGTATTTAGTATATACTACATTATCATAAAAATAAGAACGTTTTACAAACTAAACCAAAAGCAACCCTAGGAATAAAATGCACAAATAAAATATATAAACATGCAATTAGATGTACCATGTACCCTTCTAATTTATTTAGACATTCAATTTTAGTACAATTTTAATTAAAGTCTGTGTATTATCTGTCATTGTCTTAGTATTTTTTATATAACAAATTTTGTAAATCAAAAAGCCTCAATGTCATTATAAACTATCTTGGCAGAGGTTGATGTCCAAGGAATAATTTCTCTCCCAAATTATGCCAATCAGAATTTCACTCTACCATAATTCTTTTAGTCAGTTTCAGAGGAATAATAAATTTCAAAATTGTTCAAGGTACTTGTAGTTCAAGTACATTTTGACAGGTGTAAAACTGTAGACACACTGATACAAACATATTCTAATTGACTTAAAAGTATATGGGACCTATTTTAAAATCTAGATTTTAAAATGTTGTGTCAACATACACATGTTTTCCTTGTGGAATAATTGCTTTTTATTCTCTGGATGGAATAATTTAATCTTTAAACCTTCAATTCACTGTTAAAAACAAAATATTACATAAGGATATGCTTATAAAAATAATTCCCAACTAGCTTTTCAATTCAGAAATATATGTGAAAAATCATCAAGCATCTAATGGATTTCAAGGAGAAATGGATTAGTAATTTATTCCATATGTCTCAATTTTTCCTAGACACAAGGCTTCCTTTAAAATAATTGTAGGCGTTTAAGAAACCATGTAAACTAAAAAGAAGAAATTGTGACACTGCCGCTTAGGTTTTTTAAATCTTTGGACATGAATCAATATATTTTTAAATTTTATCTTAATTAGACGTTGTGAGTTCACCATCTTCCTGTCAGTATAGCATCCAAGCTGATTATCATAGATTACAAGTTCAACTATCAACTGTGTTCTGAGAGTCTAAAACAATAAATGAATGTATTTGTTTGGGTATTCTTAAAGCAGGAGTGAGGACACAGCAAAAGTGAGACAAGGAAGAGAGAACAAAATAAAACAGGAAAGATAGAAAAGCCAGTACCACACGTGTTAAGAGGCAAGTTCCTGTGTTAGATATCTGGGCTTAATTCTATGGGAAGCTATGTGGAACATGCCTCAGAATTACATCACTGAATCCAGGGAGATTCTTCTTAGTTACCCTCACCTTTTCTTCCCACTTCATCCCCAGTATCAAGCTCCCGTGCTGCTAGAGAAAGTCCTCAGCTAGAAACTGGTGCAAATTCTGGAGATGAGATCTTGTAGAGTGTTAAGAATGGTTTTCTTCCCAGCAGCTACAGGTAAGGAATAGGGGCTGGACTATTTATACATCTGCTACAAACCAGTAAAGCCCTTATGCTCCTTTTGGTGATCAACAATGTATTTAAAAATATTAGATGATGAAGAAGGGCTGCAGAAAGGAGGAAACAGAAACAAACAGCACACCTCTTGGTTAATTTTTATTCATTTCATCAGTTTCAAGGAAAATGTGTTGGTAGTTCCTGGCATAGAGAATGTCACAAAGACATGTTTTCAATACTGGTGCTATCCCTAGGGCACAGAAGACCCAGAGAAAGCCCAAGTGGCTGCTGGAACAAAGTCAGACACCGTGCCACCTGTCCACACTCCTTGGCTCTGCCATCATGCTGAAGATCGGTTTAAAGGACTGGCTTCCCTCCCCCCAAAATTAAAAGAGCACAAACTGAGAAACTGAATGTAGGAGACAGAAGTGGATTATGCTGTTCTCGGGGGTCACCTCAGGTTTGGAAGCATTCTTTCAAATTAACCCATCTCAGGCCATCTGCAGAGGAGAAAGGTGGTACCTAACTTTTTTTCTTGTCAGCATTTGGTAGGGGTGTTTATTGACCAAATATGTTCCCACAACCTAGTTTTTTGTAACTAACTAAATATAGTAGATTTTTAAATTTTATCATCAAAATCTATAGATAATTTTTGATTAAAATAGACTCCACATCTATGTCCTGCTTTTCTTCTTATTATTAATTACATTGCTGTATCAAAGAACAAGACTTCAGAATCATGAATATCTTGTCTCTTTGCATTGAATTTATACAAGGTGCTCTTTCTTTAATGGTGTCTCAAAGGACATATTTTTACTCATTAAAAAGGAAGATTGGAATCTAGTTGTATGCATTGCTCCAACATATTAATAATTAAAATTAGGAGGTAAATGTGGTCAAAGCTAGAGAAAGACTTGAGATGCCATTTATATTGATTACTGTATAGCACTCTACAAACAGAAATTGTTAAATAATAGTTTATATAAATATTTTGTAGCATTTCAAATATTTGAGTGCCTGAAGTTTCTCCTCTTATATAGTTCAGATTATCAATTTGAAGACTTACTCCGCTAGTTAAAATGTTTTTAGTCTTGTTTGAGTATTACATAAAAGCAATTTTCAGTTAAATGTGTTCTGCTTACATAAAACATTACAAATTAGTGAGGATTTAATTACATTTTCATGTTCCTGTAATGTCTTTAGAAGATTTTCATATTATTACCTATCAATATATGTATGCTTTGTCAAAGAAAAGTCAAACATATATATCATTGAAATTGAAAATTTTAAAAGTACTTATTAATTCTACTGAGAAACCACATCCATAGGAACAATTACAATATAATATTGTGAACATGTAAATATATATCCTATGTCTATTTTATATATAAGCATATATGATTAAAAATATAGTTAAGAATTTTTAAACCTAGTAATATAAAGTAAAAATTAGTTAAACTTCTGATGATTATTTGTTAATTAAGATAAAATTATTTTGATTTGGGTGATTTTAAATAAAAATATTAAATTACATGACAAAAATTCTTTATAAAATGTTTATGATTTTTACATTGGTTTTATCAATTTATTCCACTATTTTAAGATGACCTGCCTTGTTTAAAACATTGTATTCATCTTAATTAAATTAAATTCCATTTGTAAAAAAATTAACAAATGATTTGCTCTATTATACAGTGCGGTTATAAACTGAGTCAGTATCTCAAGATTTATCCCCATTATCGTCATCTGTGGCCCTATTTGTTTTATAAATGTATTGTCTTTTTCCATGCCTGTCACATCTCTATTGCTCTTTCATTTTTCTCTTTGTCCCTTATAGGGAGAATTGCCTATCTCTAGATTAAGCAAAAGTTGCATCTTAACAAAGCACAATAACCTGCTCAATCTTTCTCACACTGAGAAATGTTTGTTAAGTAATTAAAGTGTAGATGATGATACAAAGAGCTTGATTAAATTAGGTGCCAAAGTACCCTTGTGATTCATAATATGAAAGGTATTTAATTTCTTTGAAATCAATAATTGCAGAGTGACATTAATTAATGCCAATATTTCAGAAGTTGTTCTAGTTAGTGAAATGTATACAACATGCAAAGGTTTCAGAACTCTGAAGGGCAACACTATTCTATAATTAAGAATTATGAATTAATTCACATTAATTTTTGGGGAGAAATAATTATTAAGAATTAATGACAGAAAATGTTATTTTTATTTAGAAAATTATTTTGTGCATGAGCATTACTGCAAGTTTTGCAAGAAACATAAATTTAAAGAAACAATTATGTGCAGAAGATGAATTTAATAACATCTTGATATTTTCCACAATTAGAGTTTTATTTGGTAAATCTTTAAATGCACATCATCTAAAGATAATAAATGAATCTTGGAAATCTTGTAGGTAAGGATAAATATTAGGATGCATCCAATTACATTTACACACACAATAGAATTACATTTACACACACATGCATGCACACACACTCACTGATACACATGTGTATATATAATACATGAATTTACTAATTGATTTTAACTAATATTTATAAGAGCCAGTAGGATTGATATATATTGTTGAACCTGAAAAATATTTATTATATACATGTTAAAAATACACAAAGGAATAAGTAGTAATTGCACTGGGCATTTGAAACTGTACTAAAATATAAGATGTGAACATTTTGTGATCATTACAAATTCTTACACTGAATAAATATTTTTATTTTTATAATATGAATATGTTTGATACATGTGTACATTTTTTACAATGTATTATTTTATTTTTGTCACAGAGTCATGTCATGCATAATAACATTTCAGTCAAAGACAGATTACATACACAAAAGTGGTCCCATGAGATTATAATACATATTTTTACATACTTTTCTATGTTTAAGTATATTTAGATACATAAACTCTTACCATTGTGTTCTTATTGCCTGCAGTATTCAGTACAGTAATCTAGCACACAGGTTTGTAGCCTAGGAGAGAGAGGCTATACCATATAACCTAGACGTGGTAAGCTGTACAATCTAGGTGTTTGTAATATTCTCTGTGATGTTTACAAAACGATGAAATTGCCTATGGATGCATCTGTTAGAACGTATCCCTATCATTTAGTGATGTGTGACTGTACTAAAATGCTCAATCTAAGTTTCAGTGCCCTCCTTAAAATTGTTGTACTGTGAAATACAAATCTCTCACCTATGGCCTGAACATGTTTGCAAACCTAGCAGATCATGGGAAGGAGAATGTGCTGGCATCGCTGGGATGATTTTCTCACACTACATGAATAATATCTCCAGACTTCGCGAATATGAGCCACTTGCATAGAGTTAAAGTAGGCATCTCTTTGCTGGGAAATTTATTAAATGGGAGTGTGAAGTGTTTTTAAAAGATACTTGTTTGTTTGTAGCCGGTAGGCCTACAGTGGCTCATGGCAATGGTTGAGGTTGCTAAGATTTGGTGGAAGGAGGCAAAATGAAATGGCCACTTATATGGTATATGGATCACTTGTTTCTGTTGAGTTACAGATTCAGCTGGCTATTTCTCCCAATGTTAGTTATTTGGAGTAAAAAAAACATGATGGTAATTTTGGGGTAACAAATACAATATTTGATGAAAGCAAATTTATTGAGCGTTAGACAAACTACAAGATACTTTAGGCTGCAAAGTCAACATGAGACTTCTGGCCCAAATTGTGCAGAGTTTGGGTCCAGCTGCAAAGTTCAAAGGAAGAGGCCATATAAGATGATTCTCACTTTTGACACCAACTGCCAGTTCAGGGGTTTCCCCAGAACACCCTGAGTTTCAAGAATTTACTAGAAACACTCACAGAACTCATTGAATGCCATTGTACTCATGGTTTATAATAGAGAAAGGGTAGAAATTAGGACCAATCAAAGGAAGAGACATATCACATAAAGTGGAATCTAGGAGGAATTTGAATGTTAAGTTTCCATTGTCTTCAGGACATATTACCTGCCATTGTTGTACAGCAATAAACATGGAGTACTACCAACCTGGGGAGCTCACCTGATGCTAAAAAGACACGATTTAGAAAATGAAAAGACAAAGGAAAGGATGAGATAAGATGACCTTCCACATTAAGACACTGGAAAGAATAGCAAACTAAACCTAAAGCAAGCAGAAGGAAGAAAATAAAAATTAGAGAAATTAATAATTTATAATATTAATCATATTTGTTAGTATTGACTAATTGATATTAATTCTTGACTAACTTTTTTAAAAAAGAGAAATATTCACTTCCCAATTTATTCTGTGGGGCCAGTGTTACCTTGATACAAAAGTTAGTCCAAATAGCATAGAAAAATAAAACTACAATAAGTATAAATGCAAAATTCCTTAAAAAATACTAACAAATCATTTCTAGCAACATATAAAAGAATTACACAATATGACAAAGTGAAATTTATACTAGTAATCCCAGGTTGGTTCAACAGCCCAAAATCCATTAAGGTAATACATCTTATCCACAGAATAAGAAAGAAGAATTGCATGATCATCTCAATAGATTCAGAAAAGACATTTAACAAAATCCAAATGCTTTAATGATTACAAATAAAAATAAAAACTCAATGAACCAGGAATAGAGAACTTTCTACACCAGATACATGGCACTTGTGAAAAGCCAACAGCAAACATTCAACTTAGTGGTGAAAGAAAGGATACTTTCCCGCTATGGTTAGAGATAAGAATAAGATACATACTTTGACCTCTTCTAGTCAACACTGTACTAAAGATTTTATGCAGGACAAATCGGCAAGTAAAGAAATAAGAGTCACCCATATTGAACAGGAAGAAATAAAACTTTTTTTGCCAATAACATTCTTGTATATAGAAAATTTTAAGGAATCCACTGAACGATAGAACTAGTAAATTATTTCAGCAATATTACAGCATAGAAGATAAATGTACAAAAATCAATTGCACACATCTACAATGAAAACCCCAAAATGAAATTAAGAAAACACTTCAATGTACAATAGCATCAAAAAAAGAAATAATAATTAATTTGGAAAATGTGATACAAGATTTTACTCTGAAAATTAAAAATTATTGTTTAAAGAAGATCTAAATAGTTAGCAAACATCTTACAACCATGAATTGGAAGATTTAACATTGTAGTACTTTACAATTTGAACTACAGATTTGATGAAATCCCTTCAAGTATCCCAACAGACTTCTGTCTAGAAACTGACAAGCTGATTCTAAAATACACATGGAATTGTAAGGGACTCAAAATAGCCAAAATAGTCTTGAAAAAAGAAAACATATTAGGATAATTCACACCTCCGTGCTCCAAACCTTACAGCAAAGCATCAGTAATCAAGATAACACAATACTGATGAAGGAAAAATATATGGATTGATGGAAGAGAATTGAGAGTCCATATATAAAACTATGTATCTATAGTCAATGGATTCTTACAGTGGTGCCATGTGCAATTCAATGAGGAAGAGACAGTCTTTGAACACACTGGGTCAACAACATATACGTGGATCACCACTTGCAAAATAATAAATTCGAACCCTTACCCCAAAGCATACAAAAACATTAACTCAAATGAATTAAAGACATACATGCAAGAGCTAGAATAAAGCATATGGGAAAATCTTCAGGATATTGGATCTAGCAAAGAAATAGCTGTAACACCAAAAACATGAGCAACAAAATAAAAATTAGATAGTTAAAATTTCTTAAAAATTAAAGACATTGGTGTTTCAAAGGACAACCAAGCAAGTCAAAGGCATCTCAAAAATTGTGGGAAGATATTTGAAAAACACATATCTATATGTCTGTATATATATGTATCTTGAATATAGAAAAATTGTTTTAACTCAGTAACAAATGTCCCAACTCAAAACTGATAAATGATAGGAATAGATGTGTTTCCCAAGAAGATACACGAACGATCAATAATCCCATAAAAAAGTACACAATAGCATCACTCATCAAGTAACTACAAATCAAAACCACAGTTAGATACTCTATGGCTAGAACTGGCCACTTTGGAAAATAGTTTGATGGCTTCTAAATATATTAAACATAGAATTGTCATATGACCCAGAAATTTATTCCCAGGTATACCCCCAGAGTATTGGAAAGAGGTGTTCAAACACAAATTGTACACAAGTATTTTTAGCAGCACTATTTACAATAGCCAAAGGCTGAGCACAACTCAAATGTCAATAAAAATATTATTGGATAAACAAAATGTTATATCCATGAAATTGAATATTATACAGTTATAAAAAGAAATAAAGTACCAATACGTACATGAACCTTGATAGCATTATGCCAACTGAAAGGAGCCAGGCACAAAAGGCCACCTATTGTATGATTCTATTTAGATGAAAATAGAATAGGAAAATCTATAGAGACAGAAAACAGATTTGTGGTTGCTTAGGATTGAGTAGGGGATGGGTGCATAGGAGGTTAACAGCTAGAGAAGGTGGGGTTTCTTTTTGAAGTGATGAAAATGCTCTAAAATTCATTGTGATGATGGCTCCACTTATCTGTGCATATACTAAAAGCCACTGACTTGTAGACATTAATGTGTGCACTCTACACTATGTAAATTATATCTCAATAAATGCTTTCAAAAATACACAGAAGAGTAAGGGGTTTTGGAATGTTGCAGCTCGGAGGCAGTTTGAAATACTGAATAGGTCTCATCGAGAATGTGAGGTTTCAGTAAAGACTTGAGGAAGTTGAATGATCAATGGATATATGGAGGGCTATCTTTCCAAGCCAAGAAATTAACTAGAGTTTTGGTCATAAGACAGCAGCATGTCGGCATGTCCAGAGGACAGTGAGGTGGCCAGGACCACTGGTAAGATCAAGGGCGAAGATATAAAATAATTTTGGCGGTTAACATGCGGCACATCATGATGGGCTTGCAGACCATTGTAAGAATTGTGGCTTTTAGTGTAAATGAAATGGGCAGACAAATCATTATCCCATTATTAATATTTTAATAAATTGGATCCATGAACCAAATCCAATGAGATTAAATCAATTAGTAATAATATGCAAATTTGTATTAAAATTACAAGAATTACTTGCACATTTGAGAACAGGAGAGTCATGATTGTTTATCAGCAATAATAAACTATTAATTTTAATTGTGATCAGCTAATTGAGATTAATTGCAATACATCATGCTTTATAATGTGACTGTCAAAAGGAAAATATGATTGTAATCTTATACTACATCTATCAATGTCTTTGATACATAAGACTATAGAGTAAGCCCCTAGTTTTCAAAGCCAACTTATGAGGCAGTGACATCTTACGCAAGTTTGCTGCTTTCTGCCACAGTGGTCCTTGGTCAGCTGGCACAAATTGTTTTACAAATGCCACTAGGTCTAAAAATAGTTTGGATCACAATGAACACAGAAACACCTTCATCCCTTCAGGAATACCTATCAATTACTTCCAATACAGAATGAAAAATTGACAAAGGAAATATGTCAATTGTAAAAATGCCAGTTAGCTTGCATCTGCTTGAAAGAAAAATGCCATTTTTATTACATTAGATCATTGTTTTACATGAGATTTTGTATAGCACAATGTTGATCCAAGGGCAAAGAGAGATGAATTAATGAAGTCTTAAGATTTCAAGAATTTGAAAGAAAAGGAAGGTCATCTTTGAAGGTTAGTGACATAGCATTCATCTTCTGTTGTCACCTTTTCCGTCATTCCCTGTATGCCTGATGGACAGCTTTCACTCAAGTTCAGAGAACAGCATGCACAGATTAGCTGCCAATTAATCTTTATGAAGAGAGCTTAATTTCTAGCCAGACTGAGCTTACATTTTAGCAGGAAGCATTTTTGAGAAATGTTTATGTTAGAGTTTGTCCTTCT
This sequence comes from Homo sapiens, assembly GCF_000001405.40. Classification (NCBI taxonomy): domain Eukaryota; kingdom Metazoa; phylum Chordata; class Mammalia; order Primates; family Hominidae; genus Homo; species Homo sapiens. Next base: position 21,783,987 of record NC_000017.11, on the reverse strand, counting down.
TGACAAGGTGAGACATAAATGTCTACTTTATAGACATGAATTAAGATGGGAAGATATTTGGGGGAAACATCTACTCAAACGCTAAATAATAAAGGTCCACAAAGGGCAAATTATGCTAGATTTCTTTCCCACTTGTTTTCTATGTCTCATGCAATTCACCTTGATTCCCTTCAGTTTCTGTGTAATGTAGAAAGTGGCATTTTCATTACTTTAAGCTTCTAGCACAATGAAAGAATTTCTCTTTTTCATGAACTGGATCATAAATGAAAGGGAGGAACAGTGTCCTATATCATATTTATTGTTCAACAAAACACTGCTCCATGGCTTAAATTCAGTTTAAAAAAGAGAATTTATTGAACATCTAACACATACATAAAAGGCAGTAAAGACAAATGAGAAGGGGGCAGGATATTGAAGTATACAGACTTTAATGCTGAGTTTTGTATCTTAGGAAGTTACTCCACCTTACAGAGGCTCAATTTCCCCTGATTTAGGAAGGCGATGCTAATGGGTATTGCCTAGGTGTAAGATGTGTGACTTTGGCATCAGTGGCTACTGGGTGGACTCTGTGGCCAAGACAATGGATGCCGGCTGCAAGCCCTACATGGCCGTGAGTGGTCCCCAAGCCCCCCAGGCTCAGGAGAGGATGGGGCGGGGAGAGATCTGCCCAGGCTGGCCACCCTGGCCATGCCCTCTGTCCGTAGGGGCAGAGCCTCCCCACACTGCATTTCCTACTGTAGTGGGGCCACCTGTGTCTTGCTGCCCAGGGGCAGCCCTTCTGTACCCCATTGTTAACTGACCCCCACAGTGCCCCAGTTGGGTGATAAGCTCATGGACCACCTCTGCGGAGGACACTGGTGGGCTGTGCAGGTCCCGCCCCGCCCTCATTGTCAGGAGGGCCTTAGGGGCCTGCTCCCAGGTAGCATCAGACCGATGCAAGGGTTGGGACTTCTAAGCATGACCCAGGCCCTCCTAGCCTCAGTTTCCTCCCCCGTCACATGGGCAGGTGGGCTAAGCTGAGCGCTCAGTTTGGGGATTGGGAGGCAAGGCCTAGCCATGGGAGCTTACCTGGGGCAGGTGTTCACGCCTCAATCTTCCCTCCTGCAGCCTGAGAGGATCAACCCAGAGCTGAACCAGAAGGGCTACAATGTCAAGTCTGACGTCTGGAGCCTGGGCATCACCATGGTACTGTGTGGGGCCGGGGCCTGCCCTTGGTGGTCAGGTGGGGTGGGTGGAGCCGTGCCTGGGGCCCTGAGCTTTTGGGGGACTCATCAAATAGTTTAGGTTCTGGAAAGAAGTATTGGCTTCAAAATCTGAGAAGAAAATGTGCCATCAGAAATTACCATCTATTTAAGGGAACCTCCTAGGGTCAGGGTCACTCATCGTGAAGTCCTGGGTGCTTTGTGATATGGTGGCCACAGGGCTTTCTCTGGAGTTCTTGGTGCTTGTTGAGAAATCACAGCCAATCCCAAATTACGTAAGTTCCTGGTATGTAAATCATGCAAAAGCAAGATGGTAAAGATCTTTTCAAAAATATTTCATAGCAGAAGGTTTGTTGTCGGTGGCGTCCTGGTACATTGTGGTGGGGTGGTAGAAAGGGTGGGCGGGCTCTCAATCCTGGGCCTGCGGAAGCCAAAGGCATCCCTGGCTTGGGTAGGGTGAGGGCAGATGTGGCAGAAGTCCAGGTGTACGGATGGGCCCAGAGCAGTTGCTTCCGGAGTTGCCTGGCAGAACCCCATGCCTTCCATGTTGGGGCTCAGGTCAAGGTGTGGGTGAGCCCGCTCTGGCTCCCCTGTGGACAGTGGATTGGAGGGATGGGAAGACCACCAGGATGTGTCCCCCAGCCAGGGCTAGGAAGCTGTGCAGGAGACGCGTGGAAGGACGATGCCATCAGCAGGTCGGGCTCAGGCTGGTGGCCTTGGCCAGTTGAGTGGCTTGGGACCAATGGAGTGTCCTGGGCATCAGCTCCTTCCCTGCCCAGGGAAGCCTGGCCCAGAACATTCCTGCGTGTCCCTAGTCCCTTTGACTGTTTGGTGTTGGGGATGAGGCCATCAGATGAAATCAGTAAGATGTGGTGAGAAGCGCTGGCGGGGTGTTTTCCAACACCGCAACCCATTCTCGGATTCTCCAGACACCCACCCAGTGCCCTGCAGTTCTGTTCGGTTCTGATGCTACCTGGAGTTCGCACAGACCCCACAGGTTAAGGGCTCTGTCCCACCAGACTGCCCCCAACATCACACACCAGTTGGAAGTAGCGGGTCTCCCATGCTACTGGACTGACCAGCTACAAATTGGGGGTCCCCACGACCCTCTCCTAAGGTTTGATAATTTCCTAGAATGGCTCACAAAACTCAGGGAAACACTTTATTTGTGTTTACTGGTTTATCAGAAAGGATATAACTCAGGGCCAACCAGATGGAAGAGACTCACGGGGGAGGGGTGTGAGTGTGGGGTGCAGAGCTGCCATGCCCTCTCGGGGCCTGGCACCCTCCTGGTACCTCCCTGTGCTTGCCAACCTACAGGCTTCTCAAGCTCATGGAATTTTGTTTTTGACACAGAGTCTCACTTTGTCACCCAGGCTGGAGTGCAGTGGCACAATCTCAGCTCACCATAACCTCTGCCTCCTGGGTTCAAGCGATTCTTGTGCCTCAGCCTCCCGAGTAGCTGGGATTACAGGCACCACCATGCCCAGCTGATTTTTGTATTTTTAGTGGAGATGGGGTTTTGCCATGTTGGCCAGGCCAGTCTTGAACTCCTGACCTCAAGTGATCTGACTGCCTCAGCCTCCCAAAGTGCTGTGATTACAGGCATGAGCCACCATGCCCAGCCTCACATGGAGAGGTTTTTTGTGAGAGAGGGTCTCACTCTGTTGCTCAGGCTGGAGTGCAGTGGTATCATCGCAGCTCCTGCAGCCTTGAACTCCCAGGCTCAAGCCATCCCCCTACCTCAGTCTCCTGAGTAGCTGGAACTACAGGTGTGTGCCCCCATGCCCAGGTACTTTTTTAATGTTTTGTAGAGAAGGGGTCTCACTATGTTGCCCAGGCTGGTCTTGAAATCCTGGGCTCAAGCAGTCTGCCTACCTCGGCCTCCCAAAGTGCTGGGATTATAGGCACAAGCTACTGCACGCACTGAAAGTTTTTATAGAGCAGAGTCTCCAGGCCCCCATCCTCTCAGAATCAGTTGGCGGGTGATGATGAGAGTTCCCACCCTCTATAATCAAGCTGGGTTTTCTGAGGAGCAGCCCCATCCTGAGGCTGTCTAGGGGCCTTACCCTGAGTCACCTCATTAGCATAAACTCAGGCTCCTTGTGGATAACAAAGCCACTCCTGTCACTCAGGAAATTCCAAGGGTTTTAGGAGCTCCATGCCAGGAACAAAGACCAAATAAATTCCTTTTTATGCCACGGGGGTGGAGAAGGGTGGAGCAGGTGGGGGTGGCTCTGGGGACAGGTGGAAGGCCACTGTTGCAGATGCAGAGGCCTCTGCAAGGAGGGCACCCTGCTGACCTGAGGGCAGGGTAGACCAGGGGGTGCAAGTGCAAAGGCCCTGAGGTGGGGCTGTGCCTGCTGTGTGCCTGGGTGGCCGGGTCAGAGGAGAGGGAGGGAGGGTTGGGAGCGAGCGAAGAGAAGTGTCTGGTGGGTAGAGAGTTGACGCAGGTGTTGTGGGTTTTACTGGTGTTGCTGCTACCATCGTTATCATCATCATGTGGTTATAACTTTATTTATTTTTAATTTTATTTTTTTGAGATGGAGTCTCACTCTGTTGCCCAGGCTGGAGTGCAGTGGGATGATCTCGGCTCACTGCAACCTCTGCCTCCTAGGTTCAAGTGATTCTCTTGTCTCAGCCTCCTGAGTAACTGGGATTACAGGCTCGTGCCACCATGCCCGGCTATCTTTTTTTTTTTTTTTGAGACGGAGTTGCACTCTGTTGACTAGCCTGGAGTGCAATGGCATGATCTCAGCTCACTGCAACCTCTGCCTCTCGTGTTCAGGCAATTCTCCTGTCTCAGCCTCCCCAGTAGCTGGGATTATAGGCGTGAGCCACCATACCTGGCAAATTTTTGTATTTTTAGAAGAGACGGGGTTTCACCATGTTGGCCAGGCTGGTCTCAAACTCCTGACCTCAGGTGATCTGCCTGCCTCTGCCTCCCAAAGTGCTAGGATTACAGGGGTGAGCCACTGTGCCTGGCCTTTTTTTTTTTTTTTTTTGAGGGAGTCTCACTCTGTTGACCAGGCTAGAATGCAATGGCACAATCTCAGTTCACTGCAACCTCCGGCTCCCAGGTTCAAGCAATTCTCTTGCCTCAGCCTCTCAAGTAGCTAGGATTACAGGCATCTGCCACGATGCCCGGCTAATTTTTGTATTTTTAGTAGAGACAGGGTTTTGCCATGTTGGCCAGGCTGGTCTCAAACTCCTGACCTCAGCTGATCCACCTGCCTCAGACTCCCAAAGTGTTGGGATTACAGGCGTGAACCACCACGCCCAGCCTTGAGCCACTGCGCCTGGCCTGTGGCTGTAACTTTATAAACAGTGTATCTGTAGACAGTGACTGGGAAAGACTCAAAGTCGAAATAATTTTGTCAGAGAGGTGGGACTGGGCCATACCTTCAATTTTCTTTAACTGGTGACATGTAATTTTTCAATTAAATTTTTTTTTGAGGTGGAGAGGAATATTCAGCCTGAAGGCAGGTGCTGTATCTGCAATAACAGTTTTCCAAGTCTTAAGTTTGATGCAAAGGACAAGTTCTTGCTGTATTTAGACTGCACAGAACTGGTTGGATATTAGAGACCCCGCTCATGACTACCTCACACATACACACACCCTTATGTCCCTTCCCCATCTCCCTGTCTCCCTTCCATCTGTCCATCCATCATGATTGTTGGGGCCACCATGGCTGTTGGCCTTCTGATATGGCTGGTGGAACTTGGACAAGTGTGTGCTAAGTGTATATTTCAGTTATCAAATATTGCATAGCAAACCACCCCAGAACCTAGTGACCCAAACCAACAGCGGTTTCTTATTTCTCATGTTTCCACCACTGTAGCTGGGCTCAGCTGGATGGCTCTTCTGCTGTACCTGGGATTGGCTGGGGTCATGGCTGGGCTGGGCTGGAAGGCCCAAGATGGCCTCACAAACATGGGCCTCCTCTGCCTGGCCTCTCCATGCAACTTACTCACATTGGCCTGCTCCCTGGGCTTCAGAGCATGGCAGTGTCAGCAGAGTTGGAGTTCTTTCATGACGGCTGGCATCTAAAATGAAGTTCTCTGAAGTGCTAGGCCTGGAACTGGCACAGCATCACTTCTGCCTCATTGTGTTGGTCAGCAAGTCACAGGCCAGCCCAGGTTCAAGGGCAGGGAATGCTCCCGGCTTAATGGAGGATCGGCAGGCACACACAGGGGGAGGCGGAGGTGGTCACTTTAGGCACAGGTTAGGTTTTTCTCTCACAAGTTACAAAAGTAGTGGAAACCTAACATAAAAACACAGAGGCAAAGTAAGGGGAAAATGACTGTAGTTATTCTACCTAGAGACACCTCTTACCCCATTTCAGTGCCAACATTGTGCATTATATTATATATATAATATTTTTATTATATTCTATATAATACATTTTATTATAATTTAGAGAAATACAAACAATATGTAATGCTTCTCTTTTTTGTTGTTGAAACAGAGCCTTGCTCTGTCACCCATGCTGGAGTGCGGTGGTGTGATCTCGGCTTACTGCAACCTCCGCCTCCCAGGTTCAAGTGATTCTCCTGCCTCAGGCTCCCGAGTAGCTGGGACTACAGGCATGCGCCACCATGCCCGGCTAATTTTTGTATTTTTAGTAGAGATGGGGTTTCACCATATTGGCCAGGCAGGTCTCAAACTTGTGATACACCCACCTTGGACTTCCAAAGTGCTGGGATTACAGGTGTGAGCTACTGCGCCTGGCCTTGTAATGCTTCTTTTAAAAAACTTTTTAAAAAATTTTGTAGCATTACACGTTGTTCATATTTATCTCTCTCTCTGTTTTGGTTTTTTTTTTAGATGTACTTTTGCTCTTGGTGCCCAGGCTGGAGTGCAGTGGTGCAATCTCGGCTCACCACAACCTCTGCCTCTTAGGTTCAAGTGATTCTCCTGCCTCACTCAATCTCCCAAGTAGCTGGGATTACAGGTGTGCACCACCACATCCAGCTAATTTTGTATTTTTAGCAGAGATGGGGTTTCTCCATTTTGGTCAGACTGGTCTCGAACCCCCGACCTCAAGTGATCTGCCTGCCTCAGCCTCCCAAAGTGCTTGGATTATAGGTGTGAGCCACCGCACCTGGCTAATTTCTCCAAATTATAATAGACTCCTGTGTGTATCCCTTCCAAAGACTCCATAACCATCTGCCACCATTCAGTCACCCTGTCTGCTGATGTGGGATGTTTCCCTTGTTCCTGATGTTTTCCTTCCATTTCAAATTCTCAGCCATCCTGGGGGAGTGACTGGTGAAACAGAGTCGGGAGAGTCCCCCTGGGTGGGGCTCTGGTCTCGGCCTCCCCCTATCCTGCAAGAGCCCCAGAGCTCTCTTGGCGTTGGCTTTTTCCCACTCACTGCACAAGCCTCAGGATGCCAGTGGTAATCACCCAGAACAGACAGGGGTCATGCTGGGGATGGCCCTTGGCCAGGAGCAAGTGCTGACTGGGTGCTGGCCTGTTAGTGTTGTCGCTGGGGAGTCACAGGGGTGCGACTACGGTCCTGGCTGGGTCTCCGCCCCCATGGTGGGGCCGGCCCCTGGCGCTGGACATTCAGGCTGTTTCTTAATATTTCCTGGCAGATGACACCATATGGCACATCTTCGTGCCCGGAGGCTATTTTTGTTGTTTTTCATTTTTTGAGCTCTTTAGAAAAAATAAAGGAGTACGAGGTTGAAGGTTTGGACACTTCTGCTTTTCTAATTATAACTCTCATGGCAGCTGGTCCTTCTCTTGTAGCTCGTATGGGGTACTTGCTCTACATATTGCAGTCAGTGAAAATTCTAAGAGAAAAGCCTCCCAAATCAGTACAGTTTTGTCCTGTGAACACGCGTGCACACATGCACACACACGCAGTGGGCCCTGCCTGTGTGGGTGTGTTTGTCTGAGCTGGAAAGGGCCTCTAGCCTGATGGGAGGCACAGTCTCGGCACAGTCCTTAGGGTCTTGTCTGGGCTCCAGTTGCCAGCGCCAAGTGTTTGTGCTGAGGTCTCTTCCGTTCATCATGGTGATGACGGCCGGCAGTGAGGGCCCTTGTGCTGGAGCCTCAGAATTCTCTGTTCTTCCAGGCCGGGGCCAGGGCTGACATGACTTGTTTTTTCCATCCAGTCATCATGATTGGAGCCCAGAGTTGGTTGTAAGCTAGCTAGTCCGTCCCTTCCATGATGACTTCCTGCCAACCACAGGGCTGGGAGCTTGGAGCGAGGACAGAGACCCACCGGCCCGATGTCACCCACAGGAAATCTGGATGCAGCAGGGCACATGTGGCCACACAGGCCACTTGTCTAGGAGGGAAACTGCTGGGGCCCTGCAGAAGATGAGGCTGCAGGCTCACGGGTGAAGAGGCGAAGCAGCCTCATGATCTCACACTCTGTCCGCGGCCTTGGAGACAGCTCTGTGTGTGTGTGTGTGTGTGTGTGTGTGTGTGTGTGTGTGTAGCATTTCCCATGTGCCTCCTCTGTGAAAACAGCAGCCCAAATTAATGACAGCAAATGCTGAAGTCTGAGATGGTCAGATGTTAGGAAGGGGATTGGCTGTGACTACCTGGGACCTGCCCACCTGGCTCATGAGGCGGCGGCCCACAGTTGCCAGCTCCTCAGATTTTTCCAGAGCAGCCGGAACCTGCATTGTTTTATAAAATCTTCAGAATTCAGGTTTTCTGAAAACCCTATGATGGTCCCACCAATCCCGGTGTGGGCTGAATCTGCTTCCTGAGCTAGGTCCTGCTGGCTGGGTCAGAGGAGCTAAGAGCTGGCATCCCCGGCTTTCTCACCTTTGTTCTGCTGGGATGTGGTAGGGAGATCAGCTGTGCAGCTTTGACGCCTGGCTCTGGTACCAGGATGGGTGGGAGCCCCCAACCCTCGCTCCTGGGTGCAGAGCGTGGTTGTATCTGGGGCCAGGGCCTCTGACCCCCCTGTCCCTGCTGCAGATTGAGATGGCCATCCTGCGGTTCCCTTATGAGTCCTGGGGGACCCCGTTCCAGCAGCTGAAGCAGGTGGTGGAGGAGCCGTCACCCCAGCTCCCAGCTGACCATTTCTCCCCCGAGTTTGTGGACTTCACTGCTCAGTGGTGAGTCTTGGGTGCTGCTGAGCGCCTGCCACTGCCCCTCCCTAGCCAGGTCCCTGCACCTTCCTGGGCCCTGTTCCTTTATTCCTTTAGCAAATAAACCCCCAGAGGACTTGGCATCCAAATATGTAAGGCAGAAACAGCTGGAGCATGAGGAGCATTTGACAAAACGATGGTCTTGGTGGGAGATTTTAATACAGTTCTTCCAGAAGTGGACAAATCAGATAGACTGAAAAAGAGAAAAAAGTATATGGAAAATTTGAACACAAAAAACAAGTTTGCTTTTACTGATATCTAGAACTTTGTACCAAATTAAAGAATGCCCCACAGGAGCCTTATAAAAATCATGTTTGAGAGGCCGGGCGCGGTGGCTCATGCCTGTAATCCCAGCACTTTGGGAGGCCGAGGCAGGCGGATCCCAAGGTCAGGAGTTTGAGACCAGCCTGACCAACATGGTGAAACCCCGACTCTACTAAAAATAGGAAAATTAGCCGGGCATGGTGGTGCATGCCTGTAATCCCAGCTACTCAGGAGGCTGAAGCAGGAGAGTCACTTGATCCCGGGAGCCAGAGGTTGCAGTGAGCCTGAGCTGAGATCATGCCATTGCACTCTAGCATGGGCGACAGAGTGAGACTGTCTCAAAAAAAAAAAATCATGTTTGAGGTTACAGAAGAAATAAGGAAGAGGGCAACTTCTCTGACCATAATTAAATAGAGCAAGAATTGGGTAAGGAAGAAGCGGCCGGGTGCGGTGGCTCACACCCATGGTCCCCGCACTTTTATTGTTGACCATAATCAGCAACAGAGGAGCCCAGCAGAGTCCCTGGGCAGTCTGACCCCTTTAATTGTGGACTAACCTCTCCCAGAACCCATGATAAGGAGTTTCTCTCCTGATTGAGGATACCAAGTGTGTGACTGTTAGGAAGAGCATTGCACCCCATTTTGGTGTTGATATGGAAATTCCTAGGTCACTATGCAGACAAGAAAACCAGGACCCCAAGAGCCAGAGAAACTCACTGCAAGTCTCTAGTTTGCTCCTATGAATGCCCCTCCACCCTGGAAGAAGCTCTGGACAGTCCTGTCCCTTCTTCCATGGGTGCACGTGTCCCCTGCTGCCAGGCCTGGGGCAATCCTGGGGTGGTTTGGCTGGCCCTTGGGGGCTGGGCTTCCTTCCTCCCTGCCAGCCTGGCCACAGCTGTACTATTCTCTCCTAGCCTGAGGAAGAACCCCGCAGAGCGTATGAGCTACCTGGAGCTCATGGTGAGTATGGGCGGGAGGTGCCTGCCCTGCTCTTCAGGGCTAGCTGGGGCTGGGTGGGGCTCTGGGGAGAGGGCTGCATCCTGCACACAGATGGGTAGCTCGTCTGGCTGGCCCCGTGTTCTCTCCTTTAGGTGCTCGGTCATTTGTTTGCTCCTGCATACATGGCTCCTTCCCTCCTTCCTGCATGCCAGGCCCTGGGAAGGGTACACAGGCAGTGTGTGACAGAATGGGGCAGAGGGGCCAAGGGTGGCATCAGGGAAGGCTTCATGGAGGAGGTACCATTTGAACTGAGCCTGGAAGGATGAATAAGGGTTATCTCCTGATGGAGAGGCTGTCCCAAGCAGAAGGTCCAGCATGGGCAGAGGCCTGACGTGTGGGGGGAAAGCGAGGTTAGTGTGGCTGGAGAGTGACCACAAGAGAGCTGAGGAGGAGCCACAAATGCCATCTGTGACAGTCATGGAGGGCCTCCTGGGGGTGGAGGTCCTAGAAGGATGAGTAGGATTTTGCCAGTCAGGAGAACACTTGGGCTGGAGCTGGTTGGGGAGGAATGGCCACCTCCCCCTCCCGCTACCCCTCCATGGTGACTGTGCCTTCTGTCACCCCCAGGAGCACCCCTTCTTCACCTTGCACAAAACCAAGAAGACGGACATTGCTGCCTTCATGAAGGAGATCCTGGGAGAAGACTCATAGGGGCCGGGCCTTGGACCCCACTCTGGCCCTCCAGAGCCCCACATCCCCATCTGGGGGGGCAGTGCTCACCCACACCATAAGCTACTGCCATCCTGGCCCAGGGCATCTGGGAGGAACTGAGGGGGCTGCTCCCACCTGGCTCTGTGGTGAGCCATTTGTCCCAAGTGCCAAAGAAGCAGACCATCGGGGCTCCCAGCCAGGCCCTTCTCGGCCCCACCAGCACCTCTCCCTGCTGCTCCAAGGACCCGTCTCCAGCTGCTGAGATCCTGGACTGAGGGGGCCTGAATGCCCCCTGTGGATGCTGCTGCCCCTGCACAGCGGGCCGCCCATACCTGGGTGGATGGGCCACCGCCTTGCCCAGCCTGGATGCCATCCAAGTTGTATATTTTTTTAATCTCTCGACTGAATGGACTTTGCACACTTTGGCCCAGGGTGGCCACACCTCTATCCCGGCTTTGGTGCGGGGTACACAAGAGGGGATGAGTTGTGTGAATACCTCAAGACTCCCATGAGGGAGATGCCATGAGCCACCCAAGGCCTTCCCTTGGCACTGGCAAACAGGGCCTCTGCGGGGCACACTGGCTCACCCAGTCCTGCCCGCCACCGTTATCGGTGTCATTCACCTTTTCGGTTTTTTTTTAATTTATCCTCTGTTGATTTTTTCTTTTGCTTTATGGGTTTGGCTTGTTTTTCTTGCATGGTTTGGAGCTGATCGCTTCTCCCCCATCCCCTAGGGTACCAGCAGGCAGAGCCTTGCCCTCTGCTCAGGCTGGGGTCCAGTGGGAGGGGCCCAAGTTCTCTGCTCAGAGAAGTGCAGGGGGAGCCTTCCAGCTCACTCTCCCCTGAGGACTGGCTTGACAGGGGCTATGGGTTTCCTTTGGTGTTGTTTTTAAAAAAAGAAAATATATTTTTTTGAAAAAACAACTGCCCATCCCGGGTCCTTTCCCTGATGGGTTGTGGCAGTTACCTGGTTGCTGTTTTAATTAAAAAAAAAAAAAAGGACTAAAGGTTGTGGGAGATTGTGTATGACACCTGTGAGCTCCCCTCCTACTTGGGGAAGGTTGTGGCCCCTTGAGGGACCCTTGTCTCTGGGCCAGGGGCAGGGTGTCATGCTCAGGGGAGGGAGGACTGCTGACCCACCAGGCCCTTCTACATCTGAGGACACAGAGGCCCCCAGAGGGCTGTGATGAGGTAACATCCTGTGATCATCCAGGCATCAGGCCCTGTACTGACACTGGACAGAGCAGCGAACACACAGATCCAGTCTGCTGGTGGCGGCCACCCATCCCACTGTCCTGGAGTAGTGATGACAGCCAGGTGCACAGAGTAGCAAGCACCCTGCACACTTTGCCTGGGCTGGACACGGTGACCTCATGGAGGTTACGTGACCTCCACTTTACAGATAGGAAAACAGACCCAGAGAGCTGACATCACTTACCCAAAGCCACACAGCTTATAAGACAGAAAAACAGACTTGGGGACAGGTGGTGGGCTCCGGAGAAGGCTCCGAGGGGAGTAGGGGCAGCCTGATGAAGGCGCCCTGCAGTCTGGCCCTGTGATGCTGGCAGCATGGCTGGGGCAGCAGGGAATTTGCTCACGTAAGCCGGGTGTGCTCAGCTTCAGGTACCGTTGGGTTTGAAGTTCAGCTGATGGCCTGAAGGACTTGCATCCACCTTGGCTGTTCATCCGTCTCAGGTTCACCCCCTCATGGGGACCAGTCAGGACCCAGGGACTCCAAGAGCTCGGCACACCGTGCCCAGGGTACTCCTGAAGTCCCAGGACTGGCTCTTACCAGCTGGGAAGGAGTCGAATTCATCCCCAGGCCAGGAGGGTGGGTGTGACAGCTCAGGTCAGGTCAGGCATGAGGGGACTCCGCCCACTACAGCTCAAGGTCTGAGAGCAGGGTCTCTGTGGTCCTCTGAGGAAGCTTAGGGTGTGTTCCCAGGAGGAGGGTCCCCATGGGGTCTGTCTCTGCACTCCTCCTGTCCTCCAGCCCCAGTCTGGGACAGGTCTCTGCCCACTAACCCTTCCCTGGCACAGGGGCGAACAGTTCCTGGGAGCTGTTGTCTCCCTCTCTCCATCTTTCAATCATGAAGACTTGTTTTCACCCCAGGGCCTTTGCACTGGCTGTCTCCTCTGCGTAGAACACCCCCTCCCCCGTCTTCCTGTGGCTGGCTCCCCCCAACCCCATCCCGGTCTCCCATGTCACCTCCTCAGCGAGGTCTTCCAGGACCACTCTGGCTCAAATAGCCTCCGCCCACTAGGCCCAGCCAATCTAGCTTATTATCCTGGGTTATCCTGGCCGAGACCTGACTTGTCACTGTTGTGTCGTCAGCGCTGAGAATGCTGCCGACACCGAGGGAGCGCTCGGCTTCTGCTGAATGAACACATGAAAGAATGAATGAGGGAGGGAGGGAAGGGGGGAGGGAGGGAATGAATCCCTTGCCGGGGCGCGGCCCCAGGCTCTGTCTCCTGTAGCCGCCAGGGGGCGGTAGAGCTCGGCTTCAACCGCGTGTCCTGGAGCCCCGCCCGGCCCCGAGCGCCCGTCCGCGTCCTCGTGCGTCCTCGGCGCAGCTGGAGGCCGCGGGCTTGCCACGCGTCAGCCCAGTTCTCGGCCTCTGCGGCTGTCCTGCCCGTGTGCACCCCCTGGCCCGGCCCTCGGGGCTTCCGGGGACTCTGCAGCCTGCAGACAGCAGCAGACCCAACGCCTAGAGATTTACCGTGCGCGCCCCTGAAGTTACCCAGCGCCCCGCAGCCCACCGCGCCCCTCGCGGCTCGCAGGCCTGGCTGGACGCCGCAAGCCTGGCTGGATGCCGCAGCCCTTCACAGAGAGCAGGCTTCTCCGCGCACGACTGCAGCCCCAGTCGTTTGCAGTTCCCTTGCCATTTATGGGACCCTTTGGCTTTTACAGAGCGTGTCCAGCCATCAGAGTGCGGAAGCCAGTGCGCAGGTCACTAACATTTACAAAGCCCAGGCACTTGACAGTTTATACTACCCGTGGAGGTCTCAAGCGGCAGGGCCCCTCTCCCCTGTTCCCTGTCCCTGAGGTGGGGGAATGGGGATGGGGAGCGGCCAGGTCCCCCCTCCCCCGAGGCCGGACGCCCGCATTTCCTGTCAGGCAGCAGGGTCCGGGCAGGCGCCTCTTCCAAGCCCGGGATTAATGAGTCTCTGGACTGGGAGATGGCAGAGGCATGTAGACTTTGTTCAATTACAGCCGTGAGAGCCTCCTCATCAGGCAGCATTAAAACTGCAGCAGACAGGCCGGGCGTGTTGGCTCACGCCTGTAATCCCAGCACTTTGGGAGGCCGAGGTAGGTGGATCACCTGAGGTCGGGAGTTCGAGACCAGCCTGGCCAAGATGGCGAAACTGCGTCTCTACTTAAAAAAATGCAAAAATTAGACGGGCATGGTGGCGCACGTCTGTAATCCAAGCTATCTGGGAGGCTGAGGCAAGAGAATCGCTTGAACCTGGGAGGCAGAGGTTGCAGTGAGCTGAGATCGAGGTGCTACACTCCAGCCTGGGGGGCAGAGTGACACTCCGTCTCAAAAAAAAAAAAAAAGAAAGAAAGAAAGAGAAAGAAAAAGAAAAGAAAAATGCAGCAGACAGGCCTGCTCAGGAGCAGGGAGGCTGCGGAGGGAGGATTTGGCGAATTCCCTTCTAGAGGCCAGGGCGGGAAGCCTCTCCTCCAGATCCCTGCTGCAGCTCCCGTCTTCGGTGGGGGCCTCCTCATGGTCCACAGTGCCCCACCCCGGGCGCCCTCCCCTGTACCCTGTGCCTGGCTCCCTGTGCTTCACCCCGAGCCTGGCGGTGCAGGGCCTCTGCAGGAGCTGTCTAGTTCTCCTCTCGGAACGCTCTTCCCCGGATGTGCTCCCGCTTAGGGGTCTGCTCAGATGCCTCCCTGACCACACTTGTCCTGCCGCACTTTCTTTACATTTATTCATTTTCATTCTTGCCCACTGGCCGCCTCCCCCGCAAGACCAGGAGGAGCCGGCCTTGCTCACAGGAGACAGGGCAGGTGCAGGAAGGCTGCCGCAAGGCCCAGCGCAGGCAGCAGGCAGCAGGGCTGTGCGGGAGGTGGTCTGGGGACAGTGCTGCCATTCCGTTTATTCCGGGGGTCTGCTCTGGGAAGGCTTTCCAGGAGCGAGCCGATACTGAGCCGATAGGCGCGTTGTGCTGGCTGAGGACTCTGCACCTCAGAGAAGGGAAGCCAGGAGCTCCAAGTCAAACAGCAGGCAGCACCCGTGCCGGGGGTTAGCGTCCCGGCTGCGCTCCCGTTCCCATGCCCTCCCTCGGGGCCGAGCTCTGCTTCTGAGGGCAGAGCCCTAGGAGGCCCGTGCTGCCCACCTGGCAGCTCAGGCCCCAGCAGCCCCGAAACTGTGGTCAAGTCCCTCTTCCCCCAGGGAATGGACAGGGGCCAGAAGGATTGAATGTGTCCCCCAAGCTGCTGTGTTGGGAGGTGGGGCCTCACAGCAGGATTAAGTCCTGGGGGCCCGCCCTCCTGAATGGATGAATGCTGCCAGCCATCTCCCAGTGGGTTAGTTACTGAGCGGTTTGGTTGTAATAAAAGGGTGTTTTGCCCTCCACTGCTCCCTCCAGCACTCTCTTGCCTTTCGGCCTTCCTTCTGCCATGGGAGGACACAGCAGGGAGGCCTTGTCAGATGCCGGCCTGGATCTTGATTTCCCAGCCTCCAGAACCCTGAGAAATTTCTGTTGTTTAGAAAGTACCCAGTCTGGGCTGGGCACATGGCTCACACTTGTAATCCCAGCATTTTGGGAGGCTAGGGCGGGCGGATCGCTTGAGGCCAGGAGCTGGAGACCAGCTGGGGCAACATAGCAACACCTCACCTGTACAAAAAAGCCAGGTGTGGTGGTGCATGTCTGTAGTCCCAGCTCCTCCAGGAGCTGAAGTGGGAGGATTGCTTGAGCCCAGGAGTTCGAGGCTGCAATGAGCGGTGATTGCCACTGCACTCCAGCCTGGGTGACAGATTGAGACCCTGTCTCGATTTAAAAAAAGAATAAAGAAGAAGAAATCATCCAGTTAGTGGTATTTTGTTATAGCAACAATGAAACAGATGAATACAGGCCCCCAACACCAGCATTATCTCATCCTGGTTTCCCTGTGGGCAGGGGCTGTGGTGGGCAGGCAGTACCAGTCACCTCATCTTCCAACAGGGGCTTCGCATCTGACCACACCTCTCCCTGATGCACCAATCCCCTTGACCACATCCCCACCAAGGACTGCTGGCCTCTGCTTGCATACCTGCCCTGATGGGGAGCTCACTCCCATACAGACGCGATTCCTGGAGGGATCTGGGCTCCATCTTCTTGTCCCTGTTCTAGTTCCCCAGGCCTGTGACGTGAGGGGCCCATGTGTAAACCCTGGCTCACTCTCAATGCTCATTTCTTCGCCTCTTGTGAAAGCTGTTGCAAATCCTTTTGGAAACCAGGTGGGAGGGTCTATATATACATTGGCTGTACTATGTTTATCAGAGCTTGTGTATCTTCACGCCCACGGCAGCTGGCTTCTCCTGGAGGTTACAGAGGCTCAGCGAGGCTCTGACCCGTCCTGAGGCCACCAGAGAGTGAGGCAGAGCCAGGGAAGCCCAGAAACCCAGGTGTCCTGCCCCTAGTCCCTACCCCCAGCTGAGGCTCTGCCCAGCCCCAGTGAGCCACCTGCCAAGCCAGGTTTAGCTGCAGCCACCCCCTCTGTCCTCGCAGAAGCCATGGGCTGCTCTATTCCTGTTCTGGGCCAGCCTTATTGGGGACTTGAGCTGGGGAGGCCTGGGGAGGCAGCAGCAGCTGCAAGCTCTGGTTGCGGATGGGGGAGTTGCTCTGTGAACTAGCCTAGGAAATTCTTTCCTTGTCTGCCTCCCAAACCCTCCATAGCTCCCTATTCCCACAACATCCAAGGAAAAGGAGGCACAGCATGAACTTGACAGCAGGCTTGACCCCTCTGGGTTGTTCTCCACAGGGCTTGGCCCATGGCACACTTTATCTGAGCACCTTCTATGTGCCACGTTGTGTTCTAGAACCAGAGCTGTACCAGGGCTCAGACAGACCTGGACCTGCTCAGCCAGGGTGTCAGGCAGGGAGGAGGCACTCACCTTCGTGGAAAGCCGTGCTCCCCCCATTCTTCCAGCATCACCCCATGATCACTCCCTAAGGAGAAGCAGTGAACTCTAAGTTAATTAGAAAAGTCATTTAAACTAGTTAAGCTTAATTACCATTAAATGATTACATTTAATTAATTAAATTTTTTACATTTGAATTTAAAAGCCCCTGGGGCAGGCAGGGATTTCATGCCACCCAAGAGACCAAGGGGTTGAAGGACAGATGGCACAGGCCCTGCAGGCCATGGCAGAGAGGCTGAACTTCATATTCAGGGGAAAAGTCACTGGAGGGCTGTGAGCCGGGGAGAGATATCATCTGATTGCATTAAGAACAACAGCAGCAGCAACATCACACCTGTTTGCCCTCAGAGCCCTACTCCGTGCCTCTTCAGCCCCCACTGTCCCCAGTCCTTGGGTCAGACAACCTTGAATTTGACACTTTCACCCCAGGTTGTATGACCTTGAAGATGTCACTGCACCTCTCAGAGACTCAGTTTCCTCATCTGCAAATTGGGGCAGGATCTGGCAGGATTGCAGGTGGTTTCAACAGAACCCTGCAGCATGGAACAGGCTGGCACACAGTAGGTACTCCATGAATAATGCTGTCCCCCTGGTCCCTGCCTCCACTGCCTCCTCTTGGGCCAAACCCAAATTTATTTTGCTTCCTATAGTCGCCTTCAACTACAATCTGTCCCCGTGGGGTCCCTCAGGATGCACATCCATGGCAGAGCTGGGCTTGCCCTTAAACCTTGGGCTAGGAGGCTGGAGGCATCTGTCCTGGGACTCTGAGATTTCACAGGCTGTGCTTGTAAGTGGGCACAGACCTGCCATCTTGGAGTCCTGGAGCCCTGATTGGAGCTAGGGCAGAGCCTGGCCAGATACCCAGACCCCCTCTTGGGGCCCACTTGGTCCCTTCTGTCTGTGGATGACTTTCAGCGAGTCACCACGTCCCTCACGGTTTGGTTGCTGTGAAGTGGAGCGGAGGGGTCAAGGTTGCTTGTGTGAGTGCAAAGCCAGCCAGCTGAGGCTGGTGTTCCTCAGGAGCATCCATCCAGCCAAGAGAGGAGACCTGGAAGTGTATATCCTGCACCATCTCCAAGGGATGGAGCTCCAGTTGCACCCAGCGGTAGCTCTGTTGATGACATGGCCTTGGTTGGCTCTTCCCTGTCTCACTTCTCCACTTCCCTATGGGTATTTCCTAGGATTTACTTGAGTCCAAAGCTTCTCAGTGTCTGAGAGTGTACTGGGAGAACCCAAGGAGACAGCGCCTCTGAGAATCATGGTGGGGAGAACAGGACCTGATGACGAAGTGCTCGGCAAATGACGCCTGATGTTACAGGGATCCTTGCTGACCCACTGGACCACGCCCTCCACACCAGCGCTGGTGGTTTCCCGCAGAGTCTGAGGCCTACTTCCCCCAGCTTCTCTCGCACCTTTAGACTTCTCTGTGGCACTGCTTTCTCCTCTCCTCACCATCTCAGCTTCTCCCTCCTGTTAGCTGTGTGGCCCTGGGCAAGTCACTACACCTCTCTGCTTCTCCACGTTCTCAGTCCCATGGCTGGGACCTGACACCCTCTCTGGGCAAATGCCAGCATGCTTTGCTAAGCAGTCCTATCCCAGGTCTTGTGGTGTCTGCCAGAAATCTCCGAGAGGCAGAGGATGAAGGCCTGGGCGTTAGTGTGCCTGGTTGGAGGTCCTGGGGACGAAGGCTGCTGGGGTGGGGGTATTGCACTCCCGGTTGAAGGTCCTGGGGAAGTGTTTGTGGGGCTGTCACTCATTCATCTTGTTAGGCCAAGGTGTGAGGAGGTGGGCTGAGGTGGGTGGGGGAGGTTGACAGTTGTGGAAATCACAGAGGGCCTGGAAAGCTGCTGCGAAGAGTCTGGCACTCCTGGGCATAGAGTAATGTTGGTGCCTTGACCAGAGCCTACAGACCTCCTTACTGGGACAAGCCAGCTCCCCGCCTGCTCTGTGCTGTGCTGCTAACCCTTGCATCTCAAACCTGCTTCAGGGAAGTATGCAGCAGGAAAGCCTAGCCCTTTGCCTTAAGACAGGACAAACTCAGGGGCATAATTTGTGCTGCAGAGCTCCCTTGGGCTCAGGCCACGGCAGGGATGGAAATTGAAGAAACCCTTGCTTGTCTTCTCCTTCTTTTTCCCTGGCTCCCTCACTGGTTTCAGCTGGGAGAAACTCCCTAGGGAAACATTTGCACCTGAATCCTGCTCTCAGGCTTGGCTTCTGGGAGAACCTGACAAGAGACAACCTGCTGGCCCTGGGCACCATAGGCGGGTTTTAATAGAATGAGTTTATTGGTTAGAATGCAGGCTCGGTTACTTATTAAAAAACAAAACCGGCCGGGCGCAGTGTTTCACGCCTGTAATCCCAGCACTTTGGGAGGCTGAGGTGGGCGGATCACTTGAGGTCAGGAGTTCGAGACCAGCCTGGCCAACATGACGAAACCCCGTCTCTACTAAAAAATACAAAAATTAGCCAAGCGTGGTGGCCGGCGCCTGTAATCCCAGCTACTCGGGAGGCTGAGGCAGGGAGAATAGCTTGAACCCGGAGGCGGAGGTTGCAGTGAGTCCAGATCGCGCCACTGCCTCCAGTCTGGGCGACCCAGCGAGACTCCGTCTCGAAAAACAAACAAACAAACAAACACCAAAACCCAAGTTAATGATGGTTTAAACAAGGTAGACGATTATTCGCTCCTGTAGCAGTCAGTGGTTCACGGTGGCGACGGCGGGCTGGGTTCCCTCCCTTTTCTGCCCTGCCGGGTGTGGGTTCATCCACTATCTCGCGCCGCTCGCACCCCATTGGCAGTATTGGGTCACATGGCCAGCCGTGGCCGCAAAGGAGGTTGGGAAATGTAGTCTTCATAAGGGAGCCAGTCTCTCCCGGGACAGTGGGGTCCACGGCTGTGGGAGGGGAATAGAGGTGGGGGCTGTCATTCCGTCTGCAGGGAGGGAGCACAAACTTTAAAGCGGGGACAAGATTCTTTTAGAAAGAATGGTCTTCGTGTAAGAAAATATGCAGAGGATTCTGTGTCTGTGGAAAGGGAGCTCTTGCCGGGGATGCGGGAAGATGTTTCTGGAGGTGCCCGGCCCAGGGCGTCCTGGGGCAAGGAGTGGCCAGGCAGGTCCTATGAGGACCCTCCTAGGGAAATCCGACCTTCTTCCATCTTCAGGGAAAGTGGACACAGGCAGCAGCCTGGGAGGGGCGTCGGAGGTGGGAAAAGGAGCGGGTGTAAACGGAGCCCTCCAGGCGGGCAGGGACAAGTAGAAAACGACAAAGCTAGGTCGCGAGTGTAACGACACGGAACATGGCAGCAGTGGGGTGAGGGACCCTAGGCCTCCTGGGAACTTCCGGGGCAGTTTGAGAAAGCCAGCTTCCCCCAGGAGGGGTTAGGGGCGTTTCCATTTTAAATATTAGCGGGGTGTCCCTGGAGGCTGATAACTGGCTTCCGTCCATTTCCCACACGTGTTTGCAAAACGAATGTGTCACATGTGCAGATGCGCATCCCTGGCGCCCCAGCATAGTCTGCGGCCTTCTGCCCCGTGGTTACCGTTTTCCGTGGCTTTCCCGAGACACTCCCCGCCCTGGACGCGGCCTCTGACTCCAGCGTCCACTCCAGTAAATAGCCCCGATGTGGACACCTTGCGCAGGCAGCTTTGTTGGCATTTCAGATTTGAGATGATTTCCTCGGGCATGATTCCCAGAAGAGAAGTCGGGTAGGGGAAGTGCATTTGCCTGTAAGGGCCTGGTTGGTACAGCCAAATATCTGCCTGGTCCAGTGGTGCCAATGTACCCGACCACCTGCAGATCACAGGCAAAACCTTCCTCGGGGAAGGGTGGGATAGTTTGGTTTCATCTCTTTCCCAGATTTTTAAAGTACTGTTGAAGATACTAAGCAATTTAAAAAGTATTTTTACCTATAATCCCGTCTGCTAGCATGTTGATTTATATCCTTCTAGCCTTTTTTCTAAATATAAATTTTTTATTGTGTGAACATTTACATACACGAGCCTTTTATTATGAAAAGTTAAGACATACACAGAAACAGAGAGTCACATAAGGAACCTTCAGGAAGCCAGCACCAGCTGCAGCAGTGATGCCCACACACAGTCCTGTCTCATCTCTACCCTCAGCTACTTCCCCTCCCAAATTATCTAAACATTCATCCCATTCATCCCAGACACAATATAATTTAATTCACAAATATTTCAGAGCATAGCTCTGGATGATTAGGATCTTAAAAAATGATAATAACAGTCTTTAGTATTTGCACAAGTAACAACCATCCCTTAATATCAGCAACCATCCAGTCTCTGTTCAAATTTCCAAATGTCTCATAAATAATAGAATTAACAAAAGAATGGTTTGATTTGATATCTGAATAAGACCCCGCGTCTCGACTGGCTGATGGATTGCCTTGGTGTCTTTCATTTAGTGGTTGCCCCTCCCTGTTTTCTTCCTCATAATTTATTTATTGAAGAAACTGGGTTGTTAGATTGTAGAGTTTCCCATAGTCTGTATTTCCAGTAAATCGGTAGCTGGTCTAGTGACTTGACCAGATCAGGTTGGTACTTTTTTTTTTTTTTTTTTTTTTTGGCAAGAACACTTGGTGCAGAGTTCTGTGCTCTTCTGTTGGGAGGCAGTGTTCTGTCCTCTCTTTGTGGTATTAGCAGCTGCTGATGCTCAGTGCCTGGACTCATTAATTTATTAGTGGTTGCAAATAAATTTAAAGCAAATTAGTGGTTGCATAACGGTGATATTCTGTCATTCCTTCATGTATTCGCTGAAATGTTTCTATAGAGAGAAACTTCCCCTCAACAAAACTTCTGCTATTTGGCTACCTGGTGGTACAGTTTATAAAGTGATATATGCTTGATCTGGTTCCTCTAACAGTTTTCTAAATTAAATTGTTCTTCCAACGGTGATCAAGTAGGGATAAAAAAATAAGTACAAACTTGTGAGTTCAAAGACATTTTCTGTGTTTTAATTGATTGCATTAATTGCCCTTATTGAAGTTCAAATTGTCCCATCTTTCAAGCTGGCTCTTGAGAACTTTGGACATGACCCCATTGGTCTTTGAGAATGTACTTGCTCTCTGGTTTGGCAAGATGCTGCAGGTTTATTGTGTGCATTTACTGCTCTAGACCTGGAGTCAGCCATTTCTCCCAGGAGCCCTAGTTCCTTTTAGTGAGAAATGGCTCCACAACCTTTGTCAAAATAGCATGTAAAACAAAATATAAAAAAGGAAAATAGAATTTAAAAAAAACACAACTTGGGTACCAGGGGTGCACAGTACTGCTGTGGTCAGTACTTCCTCGTCCTCCTCTTCCTCTTCTTCTTTTTTGAGACAGTCTCCCTCTGTTGTCCAGGTTGGAGCGCAGTGGCACAATCTCTGCTTACTGCAACCTCTGCCTCTCGGGTTCCAACGATTCTCTGGCCTCAACCTCCCGAGTAGCTGGGATTACAGGTGTGCAGTACCACACCTGGCTAAGTTTTGTTTTGTTAGTAGAGATGGAGTTTTACCATGTTGGCCTGGCTGGTCTTGAATTCCTGACCTCAAGTGATCTGCCCACCTCGGTCTCTCAAAGTGTTGGGATTACAGGATTGAGCCACCACGCCCAGGCTGTGGTCAGTATTTCTACATCATTAAATCATAATGATACTTCCTATTCAAATTTAGGACCGCAGGGCTTTCACTTAACTTCTGTCATTTATTTGTATTCATTTTCTCTAGGAAAGAATCTGGTTCTGAATGACACACATTAATACAGTAAGAAAACCATTTGCATGAAGCCACCGTACACACACAATGATATCAGAATAATACCAGCACCATCATCAGCATAATGCAATGATTGAAACAGTTTAAAATGATTTTTTCTTTTTGTCTTTAGGGCATATTGCACTAGAAATGAATAGTCAAATTATGGTATTTTAAAGTTCCTTGGAATACTTCCTCTCAATGTGGTTGTAAAACGTGTATACACAGGCCGGGCACGGTGGCTCACACCTGTAATCCCAGCCCTTTGGGAGGCTGAGGCAGACGGATCATGAGGTCAGGAGTTCGAGACCAACTTGGCCAATATGGTGACACCCCGTCTCTACCAAAAATACAAAAATTAGCCGGGCGTGGTAGCTCATGCCTGTAGTCCCAGCTATTCAGGAGACTGAGGCAGAAGAATTGCTTGAACCTAGGAGGTGGAGGTTGCAGTGAGCTGAGATGGTGCCACTGTACTCCAGCCTGGGTGACAGAGCAAGACTCTGTCTCAAAAAAAAAAATGTATACAGAGGTTCATTTGTTCCCTTTTGCTTTCAATGTTCAGGGGATTTGTAAAACTTTTATAATTATATGACATACTCACATTTTTCTAAAATCAGATCTACAGAATGAATTATATTCAGAGAAGCCTAACTTCTATTCCTTTCTGCCCCACCCTGTCCCCACTCTTCCCCATATGTAACCATTATACGCAATATACAGTTTATCCTTCATGGCATTTGTAAAACATGGCCACAAATCCTTGGATAGTCATCCCATTAAGAGATGTGGTCTATGTCCCTCTGCTTGCATCTGGAGGATTTGTGACTGCTTTAGCTAACAGTGTGGCAGAAATGATGCTCAGAGACTTCTGAGGTGGGTTGTAAAATGCCTTAGAGCCTCCACCCAGCTCACCTGGGGCATTCATGCTTGGAGCCCCCTGAGCCATCACGTGAAGAAGTCCAGTCACTCCAAGACCCCTTTTTGGAGAGGCCGCGTGTAGGCACCTGGGTCCATCCGCTGAGCCCAGCCTTCCAGATGTCCCACCAAACACTGCTGTGTGAGTGAAGCCATCATGGAGCCTCCAGATCAGCCCATCTTCTATCTGGATGTCAGTGAGTGATCTCCATCAACGCTGCGTGGGAAAGAAAAACCACCCAGCCAGTCCTGCCTGAATAATAATCCTGACCCAAATAATCATTTATGCAATAAAATGATTGTTCAGACCCACCAAAAAGGTAGTTTGTTATGCTGCTTCAGGTAATTAGAACACCCTTCCTTTTCCATTTTTAATATAAGCTGGTTCATATATGTGTGTGTCCTGTCTCTGTATTAGATAAATGGTAGCATATTAGAGTCACTTCCCTACCTCACACTTTTCACTAGACAATATGTTCTGGCCATCACTCCAGAGAGATTTTATTTTATCTTATTTTATTTATTTTTTATCTGAGACAAGGTCTTACTCTGTCACCCAGGCTGGAGTATAGTAGTGTGATCATAGCTTACTGCAGCCTCAACCCCCTGGGCTCAAACAATCCCTCCTGAGCCTCCTGAGTAGCTGGGACCACAGGTGTGCACCATTGCACTGGGCTAATTTTTTTTTTTTTATATAGAGCTTTCCTATGTTGCCCAGGCTGGTCTCAAACTCCTGGGCTCAAGCAATCCTCCTGCCTTGGCCCCCCAAAGCGCTGGGATTACAGGTGTGAGCCTCCATCTCAGCCTCCAGAGAAATTTTAAAGGACAGGTTTGAATTTTGTTTTGTTAGCCAATATAGAAATCTTTTTTCTGCTAATAGGTGAATTAAGACCATATAATCAGTACGTTTAACCTCAGTTCTGTCATATTGTTTTATGTTACATTTATACTTACGTAAATCTTTTAAACAAATTGTTTTTCAGTGTGGCTTTTATTTTTCTCTATCTCTTATTGTTTTTTTTTTGGTACTAAGGAAGGGTCATATTTTTGCTGAAATGATTACCTTTATACTAATATCTGCACATAATGCTTTCAGTTCCCTCTTTTTTGTCTGTTGGCTTCCTACTATGAACAATATTGAAATGTGCTAGTATCCTCTTCCCTTTCCTTTCCCACAGCACCTGATTTGAATTAATATCCTTTTACTCCTAGTTATTAACTATAAGGCAGTCAACAAGCTTATTCTACTTTTCATATGCTCTTCCCATTTTCCCTCAAATATCTCATAATTGTACTGTAACAGCTATACTTTATTCCTTACAACCATTGTTTACTCCTAATCGTACAAGTAAGTATATGCTGTATATGTTGAATACTCACCATCAGATCTTATGTTTATGTTTCTCTAGTCACTTTGGTTGCCTGATGCTTGTTTTCTAATAGGGTCCTCAGTAGGTGCTCCCAGGAATAATACTCTTGGAGTTCTTGCATGTTGATAATTGTTTATGACCCTTATACTTGAACATCAGTTTGGCTGGAGACATATCTTTCTTGGATTGTACTTTACCCCTTTAATAATGTGGGCATACTAGTCCCTTGTCTTCTGGCATGAAGTATTGATGTAGGTAAGTCTGATGACAGTCTGATTTTCCTGATAAGTGACTTAATCTTTTTCTTTCTCTTTTTTCCTTTTGTCATGCCGTCTTGTCTAAGAGTGACTTGATCTTTTCCCAGATTCTCAATGGCATCCATAGAATATGTCATAGAATATGATTCTCTGTTGGATGTGCCGGGTCACTTTTTTTTAGGTACACAATGTTGTTTCAAGTTTTTATCTATCTCAGGAAAGTGTTTTTAAATTGTAGTGTTTACTCTTTCTTTGATTATCTAGCTTTGGTTTTCTTTTTCAGCAGCTACTATTATACATATGTTAGATCATTTGCCTGTCATCTACATACTCACTTTCTCTCAATCCTAGTTCTCTGTCTTCCATTTTTTGTTTTAGAAATGTTCATCATTTTATCTTCTTTGTGTTCATTTGGTCTTGTGTTCCTTCTAGTTTAGTCGTCATTCTGAAATAGGGTTTTTCTTTTATTTCTAATTATTTCTTCAGTTCTAGCACATCTTTCCTGAAGTCTTCCAAATTTTGTTATTCTTTTATAACTTTTGTTACTTTCTTAACTTCTGTTGGCTCATTTTTAAATGAGTTTCTACACTTTGGGGCATGTATTTTGGGGCATGTGTTTCTGGAATGCCTTCATTATCTGTGGGGGCATCATTCAACATTCTCATTTTTCTTACAATAATTTTGTATGGGGTTTAACCACAATCATTTTGTGTTGCTCATTTTTTAATGAAATGAGTTTTCTAAACTCTGAAGAAGAGGGTGGGTCAGAGCCACTTTTCTAACTTCACGGCTCTATAGTTTCCTCTTCTGTTGCTTTTGTGAAGTGTTAAAAAATAGGATCTTGTACTTTATTTTATACCCCTTTTCCTTCCTACCTAAACCTTTTCTCCCTTCCTCCCTCCCTCCCTCTCTTGCTCTTTCTTTCTTTCATTTCTAGTTTTTGGTTCTTGTTGTCTCTGTTCTGCCCATTTTAGATTCTACTCTCAGCCTGTTCTTTTTCTTTTTTTTTTTTTTTGACAGTGTCTCACTCTGTCGCCCAGGCTTGAATGCAGTGGCATGATCACAGCTCACTGCAGCCTTGACCTCCTGGGCTCAAGTGATCCTCCTGCATCAGCCTCCCAAATAGCTGGGATTACAGGTGTGTGCCACCATGCCCAGTTAATTTTTGTGTTTTCTGTAGAGACAAGGTTTTGCCATGCTGGTCTCGAACTCCTGAGCTCAAGCAATCTGGCCACCTTGGCCTCCCAAAGTTCTGGGATTACAGGCGTGAGCCACCATACCCTGCCTACTCTTAGCCAGTTCTCAGTGTGGACCCTGCCCTGGAAGGGAGTTTTAATTTATTAGCACTATTCCGGCCCCTCTGACCTTTCTATGAACCCCTTGTAATCACCATGAGTGGGGCGTGTAGCAAGACCTCCCAGTCTCAGCAATGACTGTCACTTCCAGTTGGAAGCAATTAAGACCTGGTGTGCCTCCTCCCTCTTTTTCTGTTACTGCTGTGGTGATCTCCAAAGACACAGTGGCATCTAAGGTAGAGGGAGCCTTGATCCTCCATCATCCCTATAAGGCACACAGAACAGACTGGAGGCAACTAGATCAGAATCCTACTAGATGTTTAAAGGGAATGTGATTCCAGGAAAATCCCATGCCTGGCTTACAAAAGCCTTTGATGACTTGAAACTTAAAAAGGGATTAAATGACATTAGGACCTTTGCCCTTCTAGGAGACAGGCAGTGGACTGAGAAAGAGGGAACTCTCACCCCAGATAGGGATAAGAAGAAAAAGGAAACAGGCAGAAAGAGAACACCCCAAAAGGCAGAATAAGGGGCCCGGGGCTCTCAAAGTCACTATGAATCTTGACATGTCTGCACAGGCTCTAGGTGCGAAGGATGCCCGTGGTATCCACCGGAGTATACTGGGGGGTGTGGAGAAGGGTAAGTAACTTATCATTTTAGTCGAGAAGGCCCTGGACAAGAGGACCCTCACAGACATAGACCTGCACATCACCCTGAGCTGGAGGCAGTGCTGGGTGGGACAGATTTCTTCCCCTTAGGGAAGAGGGGTGTGTTCTCTGTATAGGAAAAATGGAGCAACAGTTATCTGGGACTGTAAGGAAATATTACGGCAGAGACAACCAGCATTTGCCACATATCCATGGTCTCCTTCCTTTCCCAGCCTCCCTGCCTGTTGAGTTGAGGCCACACGACTCATCCTGGCAGATGGCAGACGCAGCAGGGACCTGCACCAACCGCAGTGGAGACAGTTAAGAGTTGGGACCTTCTCACATCCTCCTCTCTTGTTGGCAGTAACTGTGGAAGTCACGTGTTGAGAGGCTAGAACCGCAGGATGGATGCTGCTTGGATGCCAGCACCACTGTGTGGAGCAGAGCTGCCTTAGACATTACCCAATTTATCTTAGACTGGGACATGATGAGGAAATGAACCTTAGTTTGCTTAAGCCGTCAAGATTGAGGGGTTTTGTTGCCACAGCTTGTCTTAATCTGTCCTGACTAACACAGGTGTATACTTCTGTTTTACACAAAATTGAGACCCTACCAATCATGTTATTTTATTTTATTTTATTTTATTTTATTTATTTTTGAGATGAAGTCTCACTCTTGTCCCCTAGGCTGCAGTGCAATGGCGCCATCTCAGCTCACTGCAACCTCCACCTCCCGGGTTCAAGCGATTCTTCTGCCTCAGCCTCCCCATTAGCTGGGATTACAGGCACCTGCCACCATGTCTGGCTAATTTTTGTATTTTTAGTAGAGACGGGGTTTCACCATGTTGGCCAGCCTGGTCTTGAACTCCTGACCTCAAGTGATCCACCTACCTCGGCCTCCCAAAGTGCTGGGATTACAGGCGTGAGCCACTGTGCCCAGCCCAACCATGTTATTTTATAACATGCTTTAAAAAACTGTTAAAGAATCAGCTTAATTGAGGCATAATTTATAGACTTTAAAATTCACCAACTAGAAGTGTCAGTTTGATAAATGGAGACAGCTGTGTAACCCCTGCCTAGGACCCTTCCTTCACAACCCAGAGACCTCACCTGCACATTTGCGGTTGACTTCCATTCCCACCCCACCCCTCCCACCCCCTCACTAAACATGGATTTGTTTTCTGTCACTAGAGTTTTACCTTTTACAGAATGCCGTATAAATGGAACATAATGCTTTTGAGATTGAGCCAAAAGTCCATTCCTTTTTATTGCTGAGTCGTATTTCATGGTATGGATGTGCCATGGTTTGTTTATTGCCCATTCAGCAGTTGAGGGACGCTTGGGTTGTTTCCAGTTTTGGGCTATTGTGAATTAAGACGCTATGAACATTTGTGTACAGGTTTTGTGTGATCACATGTTTTCATTTCTCTTGGGTAAATAGCTGAGAATAGAATTTCTGGGTTCTGTGATAAATGTAGATTCGACTTTAGGAAAGGCTGCCAAAATGTTTTCCAGAGTGGCTGTACCATGTTTTATTCTAATCAGCAATCTATAGGAGTACCACCTTCTTCTTCAGGAAGCTACGACAACATCATTATTTCGCAACTTAAGGAAAGACATTTTTTTCCTTTTTTTCTTTTTTCTTTGAGACGGAGTCTCGCTCTGTCACCCAGGCTGGAGTGCAGTGGCGCAATCTCGGCTCACTGCAACCTCCGCCTCCTGGGTTCAGCCATTCTCCTGCCTCAGCCTCCCCAGTAGCTGGGACTACAGGCGCCCGCCACCACGCCCAGCTAATTTTTTGTATTTTTAGTAGAGACGGGGTTTCACCATGTTAGCCGGGATGGTCTCAATCTCCTGACCTTGTGATCCGCCTGCCTCGGCCTCCCAAAATGCTGGGATTATAGGCATGAGCCACCGCTCCAGGCCGGAAAGATTTTTTTTGCAACATGATTTCAATAGTTTTGATAGTTTAAACCATGCCGTACTGTTTCACATTTAGGTCACTTCCATTTTGTTCCCTGGTTTGAGGTGTGACTGTGAAGGGCATCTTGTAAAGGAATTTTAGTGCACATCTCGGGCTGTTTCCTGAAGCAAAATTCCTAAAAATGTGGTTACTAGGTTAAAGGGTGAGCTTTTTTTTCACCTTTTGATATACAATGCCCTCTTAAACTGTTGAACCAACTTCCATTAGAACCAGAGTGAGGGGCTTGTCACCCCTTTCCTGTCTGATTTGGAAAGGGCCTCGTCACGTAGTAAGGATATTCATCTTTCCAGGGCCTTATTTTCACAGTTTTTGTTTTGCCCATCCTACTCTGCTTCAGGTGTTTTTAATCCACAGGCTTTTTAAACTATTTTGTCATCAAACGTGTCAGTCTATTATTTTGCAGCTTCTCTTTGGTGATATGCCTGGACAGGGCTTCCTCATCTGAAGAGCTGAAAACAGTCACTTAAACTGCTTTATGTTATTTATTTATTTATTTATTTATTTATTTATTTATTTATTTATTATTTTGAGATGGGGTCTCGCTCTGTCGCCCAGGCTGGAGTGCAGTGGCACGATGTCGGCTCACTGCAAGCTCTGCCTCCCGGGTTCACGCCATTCTCCTGCCTCAGCCTGTGAAGTTGCTGGGACTACAGGCACCCGCCACCGCACCCAGCTAATTTTTTGTATTTTTAGTAGAGGCGGGGTTTCACCGTGTTAGTCAGGATGGTCTCGATCTCCTGACCTCGTGATCCACCCGCCTCGGCCTCCCAAAGTGCTGGGATTACAGGCATAAGCCACCGCGCCTGGCCTAAACTGCTTTATTTTTTTTAAGACTTTGAACTTTACATTTGGCACTGTATGTATTTATTTGTAACTGTTAAGTGTATGAGACACGCCAAAGAGAACATGGCACACATGCAAGTTTAACAGATAATAATAAAAATGCTCACCCCAAGATACCCAGGCAGAAGAGGAAGCCACAGAAGAGATTTAGTGTTTTCTCTGTTACATTTATGTAGAGGTTAAAACCAAGTAAAATTGAACTGTATATTGTTTAAGAATACACCTTCAGAACTGTAAAAAGCAAGGGAGTTTTTTTGAGAGGAGAGGGAGATGAAGCTGGGTGGGGACACTCGGGGCCTCCACGGGACTGGAATGCTGTGTCTTCAGGCGGGTGGTGGGCCTATTGGAGTCATTCTGGTCTAAACTGTATCCCGTCATTTTACAAACTCTTTGAATATGTATCTTTCTCTGTGGGTATAGAAAAACCCAAACCAAAGTGCTTTTTCTATCCTATCACTCAACAATCAACACAGAACACTGACCAAATGTAGGGGGATTGTTCCCCACCAGCAAGCAAGCACTTCTGCAGCAGACACCAGCTGGGTTCTGACACCATCGATCTGAAGACAACATCGGACCACAGGCTGAGGAGGAGACACAGCAGAGACCCCTCCCTCTTAAGGGGACACCAGCACTGCCACCCTACCCCACACAAGGAGATAAAGGAAAATCTTGAGTCCTTTCAGGGGAACTTCCAGGTACCCAGCTAGGCCTGAGAAGTAAATGAGCAGCTTGATAAGCAAGAAGGTAATAGTAACATAAAACAATAGCCAAGGAAGTTAGAGTCAGATGTTTGGTTCCCTATAGAAACTGAAGATAAGATCTTCACGTATGTCCCTGAGTTGTTTTTCAGCACCACACTCTAACCAACTGAGCTAACCGGCCACCGACCCTGAGCTTTTCAAAAACCTGGACCCCCACCACATGGAGTCTGCTGGCACATAGACTCCAGAGAACGGGGAGCTGAGCACTGAACTCTGACCTCTTGCTGTTCTTTGATCTACATTTCTTCCTGAGGGGCCTGAAAGAAGCCACATCCACAGGCCAGACCTTAACATTCCTTTCTGCTGACCCCAAGGTTTTAGACAAAGTCTAGATTCCTTAATCAATGGCAAATCAGAGAGTCTTTGAATCTACCTATGACCCAGAAGTGCACCCACTTCAAGACATCCCACGTTTTTAGGCCAAACCAATGTGTAGCCCCTGTATATTGATTTATGATTGTACTTGTAACTTCTGCTTTCCTGAAATGTACCCCTGTCTTTAAGAGGCCTTGTTTGTAAGCCACTGGGGAGGTTGGGTCTCAAGTATGAGCTGTCCCCATTCTCCTTGCTTGGTGCCCTGCAAATAAATGCCCTCTCTTCTCCTGCTGCAAAACCTCAGTGTGGATGTTTGGCTTTACTGCACTTGGCAAGCAGACCCCAGTCCAGTGTGGTAGCAAGGGCTCAGTCCCCAAGACTGCTCCCCAACTTCCAATGTCAATCAAAAGCCCCAGGTTGTTTCACCTCTGCTTCTGGCCAACTAGCTTGAAATTGGGGTTCCCATGGCCACATCCTTGGGTTTAACTTGCTGGAGTGGCTCATGGAACTTAGGGAGACACTTACTTATATTTACTGGTTTATCACAAGAGATACGTCAAAGGAGACAGCTGAAGGGATGCATAGGGTAAGTTATGGGGAAGGGGTGTGGAACTTCCATGCCCTCCCTGGGAAGCACCACCCTCTAGGAACCTTCATGTGTTCAGCCCCCTGAATCTGTCCCTTTATGTTGTTACGGAGGCTTCATTATGGAGATACGATTGATTGTAATATGATATGATTGCGATGTCACTGGTGATCAACTTAACCGTCAGTTCTCTCTCCTCTTCCCAGGACTGATCCTGCCTTGGTCTTTCCTCTGACCAGCCCTATCCTGAAGCTACTTAGGTGCTGCCAGCCCTCAGTGAATCATTCACATGCAAGAAGACATCACTTTGGAGATTCCAAGGATTTCAGGAGTTCTATGCCTGAAGGGATGCCAGGAAAAGGGAAGAAGACCAAATGTATATTTAACAATATCACAGTTCCACATAGCATTTAAGCAAATTTTTAATTGTGGTAAGATACACATAATATAAAATCTACCATCTTAACCATTTTTAAGTGCACAGTTCAGCGGCATTAAGTGCGTTCACATTGTTGTGCATGCAGTCATCACCACCATCCATCTCCAGAATTCTTTCCATCTTGCAAAACTGAAACTCTGTCCTCATTAAACAACTTCTCATCTCTCCCCCATCCCCGGGCAACCACCATTCTACTCTCTGTCTCTCTGAATTTGACAAGTTGAGGACCTCATATAGGTGGAGTCATGTTTGTCCTTTCATGCCTTAGCGTAATGTCCTCAAGGTTCACCATATGGCAGCACATATCAGAGTGTTCTTCCTTTTTAAGGCTGAATCTTATTCCACCGTGGGTATCAACCACATCTTATTCATTCATCTGTCAATGGGCTTTGCATAGAATTAAAATTTTCCTCCTTGCATCTCCATTTGACTCCTCAATTGTCCAGAAAGGTACATGGGTGTGTGGTGTGAGGTCTCGGCAGGTGGTCTACTTTGATTTCCCCACTTCTGAGAGCCATGAGAAACTTGCTCCATTTCACAAGCTTTTGTATAAACCCTATTGTACAGGGCATGGTGAGGAGGCTGAAATAAAGCTATTCTTTTATTCACCAAATATTAATTGAGCCCCTGTTACTTGGTGTGCATGTTTCTAAGGGCCTGGGGCACTCTCCGTGAAGACAGGTGTAAACCCTGCCCTCACTGGTGCTGCGGGTTGGAAGACAGAGACCAATTCTAAGGCAGAGGAGGGAGTGATCGCTTCCAGATTTGTGGGAGATGTTCAAGGAAGGCTTCCTGGGGGAGGCAGCCTTTGATCTGGGCCCTAACACATGGATAGACTGAACAGAAATGAGAAGGGGAGAATTTCACTAAGAGGGAAAAGTTCACCTATAGGCCTAAGAGCCAAATGTGGGTATTGGTTTGTAGTTTTATCAGAGAGTATTCAGCAGCAGGTGACAGAATTCCTCAACTACAGTGGCTGAGTAATAAAGACATTGGATTCATAGAAAGAAAACTGCAGAGGCAGTTAGTTCCATAGCTTGGTGGAGCTCCAGGTTCCTTCCATCCTGTGTGTGTTGGTTTTTGTTCTTAGGCTTTTTGCCTCATAGTTGCAAGATGGCTGCCTCAGCTCCAGTCATTGCATCATCTCACAGCCTTCAAAGGCTGGAGGCAAGGGGGCCAGCCAATGTGTTAAGAGTCTGCTCCTCTCACGTCTATCTCTTTATACCAGGAGGTCCATCTCTCCCAGCCTTCCCTTATGTTTCATTGTTGTTCAGAAGTACATCAGGAGGCAGCCACAGACCCCCGAATTGCCATGGGGAGTGGGATTCCCTGACTGGTTTGGCCCAGTCAGGATTCATCCTCCAGAGCTGAGCTGTGCAACAGAACTCTCTGTGTTGATGGGAATGTTCCAGATCTGTGCTGTCCAAATGACAGCCACCAGCCACAGGTGGCCATTGAGCACCCAGAATGTGGCTCATTTGATGGAGGAGTGGAATTCTTACTAAAGGTCATTTCCATTTGTTTAAGTGTGAATGTGTGGTAAGAGGCTGCTGCAGAGGACAGCCCAGTGCTGGAGGTTGCGCCATTGGCCCCTGGCTGGATGAGGTCTGGCTTCTGTTAATGGGGAGAAAGGAGATGTCAGTTGAGGAGGTGACACAGGCATCAGCCCAGGGCAGCACCTGCAAGTAGATAAGGAACCAGTGTGTGTGTGTGTGTGTGTATGTGTGTGTGTGTGTGTGTGTGTGTGTGTGTGTGTGTGTGTGTGTGGAGGGGGAGAGGCATTAGAGGAGGCCTGGGTGACCGCAGCACCTCCGCTTTCTTCACCAGGAGGGGGAATGGGAGAGAACTCACCCCATGCACCCACCAGCACGCGGGCTCTTCAGTCCCACCCTGAGGGCTGCAGAAAGCTCGGCACCCTCTCCAGGGTCTCCTGGCCCCCTCTGGCTCTGATTTTGTCTCCGCATTCGGGCCCCTCTTTAGGTCTTCCCAGCTGAGGAGGAGGAACTGACACGACAGCAAATTCCAAAGTCCGTTCTTCCTCTCCTGAATCACACTCGGCCTGGCCAGCTCCCTGCTGGCCACAGGGTCAGGGCTGGAGGAGCCTCTTGCAGGCCTGGTGTCTGGGAAATGCTCCCATGAGCCTGCAGGGAGGGGTGGGTCAGCCCCTTTCATAGGCGAAGAAGGTGAGCTGGTCCCTCTGGCTGGGAGGTGGCCCCGGCCAGCCTGGCACGCACAGCCTCCGGAGTCTGAGCTGGAGGCAGCCACAGGCCCTAGGCTGTAACTCAGGGCCAAGTCAATGGAAACATGGTTTGGGTGTATTTTTAACCTTGCTGGCTGTGAGCTAAGAGGCTGGCTCTGGCATCTGTGTGGTCAGTGAAGATGAATGGCTGGGCTGCTGGGCAGCGGTGTTCAGCATCCCGGTTGAGCAGGCCTCCTGCCCACCATCCCCCTTGTCACTGATGGTTCGTATGGGAGGGGCAGAGGGGCAATGGGCAGGAAGCCAGTACCCCTCCTGCCAATGCCCCTCCTGTCTCTCCCTCCAGCATCTGGGCTGTGAAGAGAGGGTTCAGTTCGAACCCTGGCTCTGCCTCTTACCAGCTGTGTAACCTTGGGCCAGTTACTTTACTTCTCTGTGCCTCAGTTTTCTCACCTACAAAATGGGCATCCTAGCACTGTCCCCTGGGGCCGGTGTAAGCCCAGCATCTGCTCATGGCAAATACTCAAAAACAATGACCAACATTGGCACAACCAGCTCCGGTCCACCAACTTTCTATACCAACCCACAATGAGCTCCACAATTATTGCCTAAGCAGCTACCATCGCCTTCACCTTGTGGTTGGGAAACCAAGGCACAGAGAGGAAAGTAACCAGTGTGAGGCTCACACATGGGGCTGGCAGGGAGCACAGATCTGAGCCCAGGAGCCCTCTTCCAGCAAGGCTGGCCTCTGGTGCCATGTCTGGGTCATTGGCTTCCATGTTCCTGGGATTCTGGGTCCCACTGGCTGTGGGGGCCCCAGGCCCCTCGTCGCTTATCTACTGATCTCTGCCTCCACTCCTGCTTGTGAGCCTCAGGAGGGTAAGTGAGTGAGTTCGCTTGTTCGACTGTTTATTCATTTACTCACGCACTCATCCCACCCGTGTCCACAGAGCCCCTTGGTGGGCGGACTCTGCTCTGTAGATGCCACCGTGCCCACAGCCCGCCCTCACCAAACTCAGTCTGGTGGAGCCAACAGACATCAAAGAAACAAGCAGCCACAATGACAGTCAAGGGGCACTCGTGGAGAGAAATGGGGAGCTTTCAGTCTTGGGCTGAGTGGTTTGGGAAGCCTTGCAGAGGAGGTGGGTTTTTTCTGGAACTAGGGGACAGACAGTGGGGACAACAAAGCAATTAACTTGGAGGGGCCTTGAGGCTGCATATGAGTTGGACCTGGTCTAGCAAGGAAAGAGGGAATGGTGCACCAGGCAGAAAGAATAGCAGTTGTAGAGGCATGAGTGGAAAATGCCGAGCCTGGTGTGGCTGGGGCTGCAGGGTGCACAGGGGAAGCCAAGCTAGCTCCGACCTCCCCTCTGCTCCCTCCCCTCTGAAACCATCCAGGGCACAGCTGGCTTCCTGGGCAAAGGAGAAGCCTCCCTCCCTGTGGCTCCATCTCGGGGAAGAGGCTGACGCTGGCTGGCCCTTTTACACTTTCTGGTGGGGGCCAGGCTGCCAGCTGGATCAACGAACAGCCAGGGCAAAAATGTCAGGAGCAATTAGAAGGCACCCATGGTCTGAGCTTTATCTGCAACAATACCTCTTTATTAATGATGCTTTTAATGATGCAACCAAGAGTGCTGGCAGAAACGGTCACAGCTACCCATCCTCTGGGGTTGCGCTTTTTTTTTTTTTGAGACAGAGTCTCCCTCTGTTGCCCAGGCTGGAGTGCAGTGGCGCAGTCTCGGCTCACTGTAACCCCCGCCTCCCATGTTCAAGTGATTCTCCTGCCTCAGCCTCCTGAGTAGCTGGGATTACAGGCATACGCCACCACACCAAGCTAATATTTTTGTATTTTTAGTAGAGACGGGTTTTCACCATGTTGGCCAGGCTGGTCTCAAAGTCCTGACTTCAGGTGATCCACCCACCTCGGCCTCCCAAAGTGCTGGGGTTACAGGCGTGAGCCGCTGTGCCCGGCCTGGGCGTGTACTTTTTTGTGTGTGTCGGGGGGGAGGGGGGCAATGTCTTGCTCTGTCACCAGGCTGGAGTGCAGTAGCATGATCTCGGCTCACTGCCACCTCCGCCTCCCGGATTCAAGCCATTCTCCTTCCTCAGCCTCCCGAGTAGCTGGGATTATAGGCACCCACCACCATGCCCATCTAATTTTTGTATTTTCAGTAGAGATGGGGTTTCACCATGTTGGCCAGGATGGTCTTGAACTCCTCACCTCGTGATCCGCCCGCCTTGGCCTCCCAAAGTGCTGGGATTACAGGCGTGAGCCACTGCGCCCAGCTGGGTGTGTACTTTTAATTCACTGCTGTAGCCCCTGATGGAGATGAGGCCTTGAGTTCTGCCCCCTTGAAAGCTCAATCTCCTCCCTGTGAAATGGGGTTATGGTGTGTATCAGTTAGGTATTGTGCCATAACAAACATCTCCTAAACTCAGGGGTAGAAAACAACAACAATTTTAATTAGCTCACGGTTCTTTGTTGGGCTCAGCTGCTCTCAGCCACTTGGTCACTGTCTGTGGCCTCAGCTGGGACATGTGGGCCTGGTGCTTTAGGGGGCCTCTCACTCCCCAGTGGGCTAGCCCTGGCTGGGTCACTGGTGGCAGAGGAGTCCCCAGCACAAGAGTGGAAGGGGCAAGGCCCCTTGACACCTAGTCTCAGAACTGGCACAGCATTGCTCTGCCTTCTACTGGCATGGCAATCACATGACTTGAGGGAGGGGAGACAGAGTCCTTTCTTCATGGAAGTTGCTGCAAATAACTTGCAGCCGTATTTGCAATTTAGATGTAGTGAAATCAATCTTGAGTTATATCAATAACGTTTTCTGAGCACCGCCCCCTCCCCTGGCCCCGATTTGCAGGCCTTATGCTGGGTAGTGCTGGGACCACAGGGAGAAATCTCACTTGGTGTCTCCTTCCCAGGAGCTCTAATGGAGGAGGCAGACACAGTCAGACAGGAGCACATACAAGGTACTAGAAGCCAATGGAAAGTTTGGCTTAACAGACAAAAGGGTCGGCCGGGCGCAGTGTCTCATACCTGTAATCCCAGCACTTTGGGAGGCCAAAATGGGCAGATCACCTGAGGTCAGGAGTTCGAAACCAGCCTGGCCAAGATGGTGAAACACTGTCTCTACTAAAAATACAAAAATTAGATGGGTGTGGTGGCGGCTGCCTGTAATCCCAGCTACTTAAGAGGCTGAGGCAGGAGAATCGCTGAACCCGGAAGGCAGAGATTGCAGTGAGCCAAGATCGCACCACTGCACTCCAGCCTGAGCAACAAGAGTGAGACTCCATCTCCGTAAAAAAAAAAGAGGTCATGGGGGTCACGGGGTGGTATGTATGTGGGGAATAAACTCTAAAGGGGTTGTCATGTGTCTTGTGGCTGCAGGGGACTGGAGCTACCCTTGATTCTGCACTGATTCTTTCCCAGTGGTGTTCATGATGGTCTTGTCAGCTTTGTGTTGTTTGCTAAGGCTCAGAGTTGGTGAGGTTATGCAGCCTAACAAGCTCTCAGATTGGGATCCAAGTATACCTGGCCTTTGGCATCTGTCTTGAGCCAACTGGCTTTGACCCTGATGGATTCAGTAAGTGAGACACTCCCAGGTGAGCCAATGAGGCTCAGGCCCCAACACGGAGGTGTGTGTGTGCAGGTGAGCTTGGGGAGGCAGGTGGCTGAGGCTTGGGCACAGAGGCTGGACCAAACACAAATGCCTAAAGGGTTTCCAGGGGATACATTCTGGGATCCAGAGTCAGGAACTACTTTGTGGGAACCACTTGTTCCCTAGCCCCTGCTCTGCCCTGGCTTTGCCGCCCAGGGCTCACGACCTTTCTTTCCCTTCTGATGTGTTTGTCGCATGTCAGTCTTGCTGGGAAGAAAACAAAGGAGATGCAGCCTTCAGCTTTTCCTTGTCACCTGGAGAGGAAGCCTCCAATGTCTTCCAGGGTGGGGCCTGCCCCAGAGGAAGCCACAGACACTGTGGGTGTCTTCTGGATGGCAGGAGTGACAATGGCAGCAGCAGCAGTCACAGGGACAGCAACGTTTGCCAGGCACTGTCCTGGCCTTGCCTCTTTGAATCCTCATCATGTCCCCAAATAGGTGTTATTAAGCCTGTTTCGCAGATGAGGAAATCAAGGCATAGAAAGGTGAAGTGGATTGCCCAGATTCACACAATGAGTAAAGATGTAGCCCTGGGAATGTCTGATGCCAGCAGCCCTGCTGTCTTCAGCAAGTTGGCAGCCTCAGGAGCCAGTGGGTACCAGGCTCAGGAGCCCAGTGGGTACCAGGCTAACTGCTTTGTCTATGTCATGGCCCTGAATCTCCACAACCACCACACCTAGGGCTGCTATCATCTACTGTCTTGGAGATGGGGAAACGGGGGCACAGAGAGGCAAAGCAACCTGCCCAAGGTCACACAGCAGGTAGGCAGCAGAGCCAGGAATGGGTCACAGCAGTTGGGACTCTGAAGAGTCCTCGTTCTTAGCTGCTGGGCAGGGAACCCTCTGGGCTCCAGGCCCTGCCGGGAGAGCAGGGCTGCAAGAGGCCAGTGTGGGCATCTTTGGGATGGTCCCTGTGGGAAAGTTCACTCTCTGAATCTTTGCTTCCTTGTGGTCCCTTCTGATGTGGCCAGAGGGAAGAGCAGAGACGCCATGGAGGTAGGCCTGGCAGGTGGAAGGCTGTGGGGAGGAACAGAGGGTGGCTGACCGGGATGCAGCTCTCTCCACTCCGGGAGGCCGTGAGCTCCTGCAGCTGCCTTGGGCTCTGGGCACAGGCCACCTCCTGGGCCTCTCTGGGAACCTGGATGTTTGGACACCCCCATCCTCTGGTCAGGGGTCTTAGGGAGTACTCACTTTACAGCAGCAACAGCAATAGCAATAATAACAGCGTGGCTGCCACTTCCTGAGCACTTACTAAGTGCCAGGCACTGCCCTAGGAGCTTACTCCTGGGAGGCAGGGGCCGTTCCCATTTCCATTTTACAGGGGAGAAAACAGAAGCACAGAGAGGGTGAAAGACTCACTTTCTAGGCCAGCAAGTAGAAGGGCCAGGGATTAGACTCTATGCACCTGGACCCTTCACTGCTAGGGAAACCAAGGCCAGAGAGAGGAAAGGGCCCACCCTGATGCCCCAGCACTGGAATAGAAGAGCCAGGATCAGAAATGCCAGGTGCCACCGAGGACAGAGGAATGAAGGTGGGGTCCCACGTCCCGTGCATGTTCCCTTAGCTCCCTGGGCCTCTGTTTCTCTGTCTGTAAAGTAGAGATGCTAACGGCACCTGCCCCAGATAATGGGTTTGAAGATTAATTGTTAATGCACACAAAGCACTTAGGAGACAGCCTGCATGCAGTAGGTGCCTGGTGCAGCCGCTGTCACCACTCTGCTGGGGCCCTGGGGCTGTAGTGCCGGCACTGGGTCTCTGGCGAGGCAGTGGGCAGCTGGGACATCCCCACAGTTTACAAGAGATAGCCTTGAGGTAGGACCCGCTCACCCAAGTGCGGCAGAGAGGACAGCCAGGCTTACATGACTGACTGCTCGGCGTCTACCCACACACCCACCTGGTGTCCCCTCACTGAGCTCCCTGGCCTGGTTGCTCATTGCGTGGGCCTCAGCCAAGGCTGGCCAGCCTGGCAGGATGAGGCATGTGGCTCGAACCCTTGGGGATGCCCCCTTGGTGGCAGGGAGGGCCTGCCCAGAAGGGACTCTCTGTTTATGGGTGTCACTGGCCAAGAAGCTGGCAGTGCTGACAAATCTCCTGTGGTCCTCATGCTGTGGAGGGCTCGTTCTCAATGCTTTATGCCTAACTGACAGGGCAGGCAACAGCAGCAGCCCATTCTGCAGATGGGAAAACTGAGCTGAGAGGCAAAGTTCCACAGCTGGTGAGCCGCAGGGACCCAGAGGCTGCACCTTGACCACCACCTAGTAAGTGGGGTACTTTCATTATTATGAGTTAATTACTGGGGAAACAGGCACAGAGAGGTGAAGTGTCTTGCCCAGGGCCGCTCAGATGGGAAGGGGGTGGAGCTGGGGTTGGAAGCCAGGTTCCCCAGCCAGAGGCTGCAGAGGTCCCCTTGCCACCCTCAGCTTAGCCATGCCCCCAGACCCCCCTGTGGCCCTGCCTGTCGGCTCACCTGGTCCTTCAGCATTCACCCCAGGCCCAGGCTGCTGTGTGCAGTCTCTGATGGGACAATGATCTTCCCAGGCCTCAGGGTGCCCATCTAAGAAATGGCCTTGAAGCCCCAGTCTTGGGGAATGGGGGTCTGCAGGTGGCCCACGTGCTGCCTGGGCTCCCTGATGCCCTCCTGTCTCAGCTGCATCCTTCTGGGCCTGATCTTGGAAGCATAACGGGGCTGCCAGGGCCCTGCGGGAGGCCCCTTGCAGCCTCACCTGCCGCCTCTGGAAATGCACGCAGCCCTGTGGGAGTGGGAGGCCCTGCCCACCCTCTGCGTCCTCGCCTCGCCCTGCTGTCCTCCCGAGCTGAGTTAGGGATTCGGGGTGCATTCTGCCCTCCCTCTCCCTCCTCGGGCCCTTTTCCTCCCTTTGAACTGTCTGTCTCGCTGCCAAGGAGGAAGCTATTCATAGCCAAGGTGATGCAAAATTCATCAAGTGTGGCTGCTGGGGCCGAGGCTGCCCCTGTGCGTGGCCAGCGCACCCCGACCACTCAGCACTCTTCCTCAGCAGGTGCGAGTGAGTGTGTGACTCTTTGTGAGAATGTGAGTGTGTGTAAGTGTGTAACTGTGATTGTGTAACTATGAGTATGTGTGACTCTGTGAGAGTGTGAGTGTGTGTGTGTAACTGTGATTGTGTAACTATGAGTATGTGTGACTCTGTGTGTGATTCTGTGTCTCTGTGTGAGTGTGTGACTCTCAGTGTGTGTGAGTGAGTTTGTGAGTGTGCGAGCGAGTGTGGGGGCACCTCCTCGGTCCTCTCCCGAGCTGCCTCTCTCCTGGCCTCTCCTCTGGGTCTCCACTCCGGACACCGAGCTCAGCACAGCTTCTTAGGAGGGAGCAGAGCTGGTGGCATTAGCCCATGTACTCTTCACGTTCTGGCCAATTCTGGGCAGGGCTTCTTTCTCCCCTTACCTGGATAACAGTTTGTTGTTCTAATTCTCAACAGTGAGAATTAGACACAACAGTGGTCATACCTCTGGAGCCCACACCATGAGCCAGGCGTTGTTCTCACAGACTCATTCCATCTTCACAATACCCTATGGGGTAGTGGCGATTACTACCTGAATTTTACAGGTGGGTAAACTGAGGCACAGAAAGGCTGGCTAGGGCAGCTGGGGCCTGAGGGTGGGGGCTGGGAGGTGGAGGAGCTGGGATTTGAACCCCTGTCTGTCAGCTTAATCACCACTGCTTACCCAATGCACCATTCTGCCTCCCTCTCCATTGGACCTGTGGGTAGATCCATAGATTGATTGATTGATTGTCTTCCCCAGGACTCCAGGTGCAGAAAGATTCTGGTGCTGGAAGCTTCCTAGAGGACTGGTCTCTATCCCCTTCCCAGAGGTAGGTGAGGACCAGGGAGGAGACATGAACTAGCCAGGGAGGGAGGGCCGACCCCACCTGACTCCCCACTCTGGCTCTGCTCTTGGCCACTGCTGGGGCTGTGGCCACAGGCGTGGCCTGGGTTGGCCGGGCACCTCCCCTGGCAGGGCAGCCAGCCTGAGCTGCATGGGCCGTCCTGCAGAAGCATGGTCTGGGGATGGTAATGAACGCAGCAAATGTTTCACTTGCTCTGCTTCTGGACCCCCGTGCTCAGCGCTCCTCCCTCACAGCAGCCCCGGGGGCGTGGGTGTCCTTCTCCTCCCCAGCAGGTCCGGATCCAGAGCCCCGCCTCTCAGCCTTGTCTCTGCGTGGGCTACTGTTTCTCCTGTGTCCCTGGTTGGGGATTCCCCCGTTTTTATTGAGGTAAAATTCACATAAGGTAAAATGGCCCTTCTTTTTTTTTTTTTTTTTTTTTTTTTGAGACAGAGTCTTGCTCTGTTGAGCAAGCTGGAGTGCAGTGGCGCAGTCTCAGCTCTGCAACCTCTGCCTCCTGGGATCAAGCGATTCTCCTGCCTCAGCCTCCCGAGTAGCTGGGATTACAGGCAAGCTCCACCACCCCCGGCTAATCTTTGTATTTTTAGTAGAGACAGGGTTTCACCATGTTGCCCAGGCTAGTCTTGAACTCCTGACCTCAGGTGATCCACCTGCCTTGGCCTCCCAAAGTGCTGGGATTACAGGCGTGAGCCACCGCGCCCAGCCAGAAATTGCACTTCTTAAAGTGTACAAATTAAGTGGCATTCTGCTCACGATGTTTTGCCGTCATCACAACTCTCTAGTTCCAAAACGTTTCCATGGCTCCAAAAGAAGATCCCGTGAAAATGCGGCACACTCACTCCCCGTGTGCCCTCCCCCGAGCCCCTGGAAGCCTCTGAGCTGCTTTCTGTCTGTATGGGTTTGCCAGTTCTGGGCATTTCATATGAATGGAACCCTAAGCATTTGTCCTTCTGTGCCCTCAAAGTCTGTGCATGTTGTACCAGTGCCGGAATGCCACCCTCTTCATGTCATGGATGAAAGACATTCCATTGTGTGGACACACTTGGTGTGTTCATTCATCTGTGGGTGGACTCAGGGCTGTTTCCACCTCTTGGCTACTGTGAACAGCATTGTTATCAGCATTCATGTACAAGCTTTGTCTGAACACCTGTTTTGATGCTTTTGGGTAGAGGCCCAGAAGCGGAATGGCTGAGTTGCTGTCCCTGGTGTTTAATGGTTTGTTTTCTTGCTGTCCAAGGCCTTAACAACAGTCCTCATGGTCTCATCCTGTCTGTGTCTTCCCTCTGGGCTCCCTACCTGCCCATCGGTCCAATCCAAGGCTGCTTTTTACTCCTCCCTCCCTAAAAACCAGGAGCTCCAGCCAGGGACCCAGGACCCCAAGGGACAGGCTCCAGATGAGGAAATCAAGGTTCTCAGGGGAAAAGGGTTTCACCCCACAAGTTGGAGTGGAGCTGGGATTTAACCTTAGGCCCCCTCCCCCCACCCTGGACCCCTAGGTCCTGGTTCTTTGTGCTGTAGCTGCATGTCCCACATGGGGATATCACTCCCAGAGAGAGCTGGCCACATTCCCAGCATCTCATCTGTTGGGCGTTGGCTTTCCTGGAAGATCCAGGGCAGGACGTGAGGCTCTTGTATGAAAACAAGCCTCAAGTGGACTCTGCAGCAGAATGCCAGCCTTGCATACACTTCCAGACTCAGTGAACGGCATCCAAGAAATGTCATGGCTTGAATGGGCAGGGACCCCCTGGGACTCCCTTGGCCCAGCCCCCGGCCTCAGCTGCTCCATGACTTAGAAGCGGGGAAGCTTTGAGATGGCCTCCTCAGGGTGCGCTGGGGAGGTCTCTTTGCCATGTTCAGAATTCGCCCTGGCCTGGGCTCCCCTGGAGCTCCCTTGAGCTTCTCTGAACCCCTAGGTGACAGGGGAAGAAACCCTCAGATGGGTGATCACGGCCCTTCCCGCCCCCTGGTCCCAGGCATTGATGGGGCTGTGGCATTTGCTTTTCCTTCCTCCAGGGGTCCTGGCTCCACTTAGCTTCCCACTCCTCCTGCCCCCTCCAGAGCAGCTGCGTCCCTGCGATCAATATGGAGCTGATCAATCTATCTGTCCCTCTGCTTGGCTGAGGAAGCCAGCAATGATGGCCACCTTGGGACCCCATGAGTGCTCCTGAGACTGTGGCATGTATCACCTCCTCACTGCACAGGTGGGGAAATTGAGGCCTCCAGAGGGTCAGGGCTTCCCAAAGCTCCCAGCAAGTCTGTGGGGTGGGAAGGGCTGGAACCTGCTCAGCTGGCTTCTCTTTCAGACATCACGTCTGTGATGCATATGGTCCTGGGTGCCCTGTGTCCCCGTGGCCATGCCTCAGGGGTCCTGAAGTGCTAAACCATGAATTCATCAAATGTTGACTGAGTGTCTGCTCTGGGTTGGGCAGGCCCTGTGCATCCAGGGATGCCTAAGACAAGGACCCTGCCCTCACGACGGAGCTGATGTTCTCATCGGGAGCGGGACAACACTGAGATGTCAGGTGGTAGTGAGCACTGTAAAGAAAAATAAACCAGCGAAATGGGAAGGAAAAGGTCAGGGAAGACCTCCTGGAGGAGACATTTGAGCAGATGCCTGAAGACAGTGCGGGATGAGTCACAAGATGCCAGCAGGAAGAGCTTTCCAGGCAGGGAGCAGCAGTGCAAATGCCCTGTGGTCGGCATGTGCTTGGCACTTGAGAAAGTTGCTTCAGAGCTGGCAGAGCTCACAGGCCTGGCCCCTACTGTAGGCACTCAGCCTGGCCTCCATGGATTCATTCCACATACTTTAAACATTCCAACTAGGGGCCAGCATTTTCAAATCTAAGATTTGTTTCCATAAAAAGTCCTGATTTCCAGCCTTTCTTAAGAAATTGAAACCTAGAGTCAGGAGTGTCCACCCCTTTGGCCTGCCTTATCCACCCTCTTGCTTGAGTCCTGCAAGGGCTTGTGGCCCTGGCAAGAGGATGTGGTTGGGGCACAGATGGCACATGCGTTATCACAGGTTTCTGCTTCTTTATATTCTGTCTGGAGAAAAACACTGGTGATTGAAGCACGGTTGCCACCCAACGAGGCAGAACTGAAAGGTCACTGAACGGTCTTGACCACATTCTCCTGGTTGTCACCAGTTGCTGGCAGTTTGCAGCAATCTCTCCACCTTTGGAAAGTCGGGGGTGGGTGGGCGTCCACCGCCCCTTGCTGTAGCTGTGCCACCCCTAACTGAAATCTCGGGCAGGTCACTTCGTCACTTGGTCAAGGTCCTCCATGTTTCTGTGCCTCAGTTTCCTTGTCTGGAGAATGGGGGAAATGAACACTGGGCTGTCTAGCTTAGGACAGAAACAAGAGCAGTCAGGGGCTTTGATGCTTTAGGGCTAAACATCTTACTCATTTTCAAGTTATGGTGAGAGAGAGAATGTTTGGGGACGTGCCAGCCCTCAGATTTCAGCCAAACCCAAGCTGGCATTCAGAGCCTCTGAGGTCTCGGCAT
The DNA here is from genome assembly GCF_000001405.40 of Homo sapiens. Lineage (NCBI taxonomy): Eukaryota > Metazoa > Chordata > Mammalia > Primates > Hominidae > Homo > Homo sapiens. The sequence goes on along the minus strand of NC_000017.11, from coordinate 21,739,220 downwards.
GGACACACCCAGTGTCCATCCCTTCCTTCTCCTTCCCATCTGGGGCCCCAGCCACCTGGCTTTATCTCCCACTCTGCACCCACTCACTGTGCGACTCATGCTTTTGAGCACCTGTTGTAGACCAGGCCCCTGCTAGGATGAGTGGCAGGCTGTGGTTTGAGCAGGCCCCTGGGGACGGGCCTGCTGCAGGCCTAGCTGTGCTCCCATCCTAGCCTGTCAGGTGGGCCCCATCCCACCCCCATGGGCCCCTGCTCTGACCCTCAGGTCATTTCCCAGTATCCTTTGCCCTCAGGCTTCTGCGCTTGGTGGTGGTGGGGGAGCGGGGCACGTCTCTCCTTATGTCTCTCCTCGGATGGCCTCCTAGCAGCGGCCACCTGCCCCCACCAGCCCCATGGCTCCAGACACCCCTGCCGAGGCTCCAGCTCCCTTCGCATGAACACAGCCCCTGGGACTGGTGACCCTGTTGCTTTCTTCCCTGCCTCCAGCCTGGGATGGCGGCTTCCTGCTGATTTCAATCCTGGATTCCTCCTCATCCCGTTTAGCTCTCAGAGCCTTTATCACAGTGTGACCAGCTCCCTAGACGCAATTCTCTCTGTTGGAGAGAACTGGAGGGCTTCTTTTTCCTGGCTGGATCCTGCCTGATTCCGTGGCCATGTCCTGACTGCACAGATCAGAGTGGTCTGGCTGTGGGCCTCTTTCCTTGCCTGAATCATGAGCTTCCTGAGGACGAGGACTGATGGGCTTCTTCCACAGTAATAGACTCAACTTCGAGGAGGCCTCAGTGATGTCACACCTCATGATGTCAGCTGATACCACTTCTGCAGCAGGCACAGCCAGGGCCAGTCAGGCAGCTCCAGGGCATGAAGTGTCTGTCCCTACCCCCAGCCCTGAGCATCACCTAGTGGCAGGGGAGGCCAAGAGGGAGACCCCTGGCCTGCAGTCTCCAGGGCAGAGAATCAGCCCAGTCAGCAGAGCCTGCTATGATCTCTCTCTTGCCCTCTCAGTACTGGCTGAGGAGGGGCCTGGACCCCAGACCCAGGACTCCTCTTCATTCTTGTTCCCACAGGCTTGGGGCCCTCACAGTCGCTCTGGGCTGACTTACTCCCAAGTCCAGCCCGTTCCTAGGACCAGGTGTTTGGGGCTCAGAGGGTTTGTTTTATGGCCTTGACTCTCATCAGGGCCTGTGGCAGAGCCCAGCTTCCCCTGCTGAAGCCTTTTACACAGCTGGACACAGACCCAGCTACACAAGGGTGCACAGGGACACAGACACAACTACACACAGATATGTACATGTGCGCACAGACACACATGGGTATGCACAACACAGACACACAGGGACACATACAGTCACACATGAGTACACACAGACGCGGACACGTGCACACATGGACACACATGATCACATACAGACACACAGGGACATACAATCACACATCAGTACACACAGACACACATGGACACACAGGCACACACATACAGACACATCTGCATAGGCACACACACATATACATGGACACACAAATATAGATAATAGAGACATACATATCTATACCTGCATAGATACAGAGACACAGACATGCAAATACAGATACGCCCAGACACACACACGCAGCCTGGGGCTGTGATGGGGTAATGCCGGGTGCCTGGTGTCCTGGCCCAGCCTGGTGGGGCGGCAGGCCTGAGGGTGAGTCCCTTCACCCCATTAGCAATGCATTTTCAGAAATACAGAGGCAGCAAGAAGAGGCCAAAGCCTTGGCCAGCATCCGGGTGGTTTCAGGTGACATCTGTCATGCGGAGAAACACGCCTCACGGTTCTCCTCCACCTCCCCAATGGCTGCCCTCCAGCTCACAGGCCCTCCCAGACGCCTTTTCCTTTTCGCACCATCAGTGTCTCCGCCTTTCCACACCATCAGTATCTCCGGGTTGAGGCTGTTGAGGCTGCAGGCCCCCGGGCACGTGCCAGATGCGGACGCTGTGGGCATTTCCGCTCAGCTGCAAGAACAGCGCCACTGAGGCATCCAGAGGCTGCAACCTCCACCAGCAACAGTCACGTCCGTGGTGTTTGTGCTTCACTACAAGTCCCTGGCCAGCAGGCTGGCAGGTTTCATTTTCATTTTCGTGGGCACTGTGCACGGCCCCATGTTCACAGGAATCCAGGCACGGAGTGGACGTCCCCTCCCTGCCGCATCCCCAGCCTCTCGGTTCTCTCCAGAGGTCAGCGCTGGATTGTTTGTGTGTCCTGCTGGAGATTCCCGTACACACAGCATTGCTATGACATCTTTTTTGTGGTTCTTTTTTGTTTTGTTGGTTTTTTGGTTTTGGTTTTTTTGAGACAGAGTCTCACTTTGATACCCAGGCTGGAGTGCAGTGGTGCCATCACAGCTCACTGCAGCCTCAAACTCCAGGGCTCAAGGGATCCTCCCGACTCAGCCTCCTAAGTTGCTAGGACTACAAGCATGAGCCACCATGCCCAGCTAATTAAATTTTTTTTTTTTTGGTATAGACAGGGTCTTCCTATATTACCCATGCTGATCTCGAACTCCTGGGCTCAATCGATCCTCCTGCCTTGGCCTCCTGTAGTGCTGGTATTACAGGCATGAGCCTCTGTGACTGAGCCCTTTTTTGTGGTTCTTATTTTGAACAGAAAAAGTAGCCTGTGTGGACACTGCTCTGCACCCTTGGTTTTGCAAACCTGATGCATTGGGGAAGTGTCTCGTGGTGACAATGGAGGTGCCGCTTCTTTTTTCCTGGCTGTCTCCCCTTCAACAGTGTGGATGTCCCCACACATTATGCACCCCACCCCATGGTGGTGTCCTGGTTGTGCAGAGAGGCTGCAGTCAGCACCCTTGCTCAGGGACCTGGTTATCTGTGAGCCAAAGTCATCAGTAGGTCTGGGGACACTCCCCATGCCAATTCTATGTCTCATCACATTCTCCTCTGGCCTCTCGGCCCCCAGCACACAGGCTTCAGCCTCTGTTTCTGCTGAAGCCCTTTCTTCATACACCCTAGAACATACAACACAGGACAGAGAGAGAGACTTTAGTAGGAATACTGACATTTAAAAACTTATCAGAGATATGAAAAATCAACTACATGAAGTATGGTGGTATATTAAGGCTTTGTGAATAAAAACACAATAAAGGATGGGTGTGTAAAGCTATTTTCCAATCATCCTTCCAAACCAAGGCTTTTGAGGGAACAAGGCCTCCCAGCAGGTGGCAGGATGGGCCCAGCAGTGTCTTCAGCCCATTGCTGTCCTGAGTTAGGAAAGGCTGAATTCTATTTTACATGCAAAAGAAAACACTTATTTAATTAAAGATTCAAGCTACAATACAGTTCTTCATAAAACACTAAAATATTTTGATTATCGATATTTTTCCGTTGCTTTTTCTCGTGAAACACGATTTGCCTTTGTGAAACCTGAAGTTTCCTCTTCTATCAATGAGAAGGTATATCAAATGGATAGTCCATCCAGTGTATCCAACATCAACTACAAAATGTCTCCCTTTTTCCTAATTTTGCCTTTTTTTTCCCTTTGTCATTCTTGAGTCTCTGTTAGTGCACTGCAGAAGTGAAGACGTGTACTTAAAGAAATGCCAACATCTGCTGAAGATCAGATTAGATTCCATATTTTGTATTTTAGTTGATGTAATGATGATTTTAGTTATGATGACTTTAGTTGATGTAATGACTCTAATGAACAGGAAATATTTTGTTTCCTATTTTAAAAGATACCATTTAATCATGCTGAATATTTTTCAATTTATTAAGGATGTGTATTCAAGGGGTTGCCATTTCACCTGCTTCAGTCTTCCCTCTAAACCAATCCTAAGACATACCTAGGCTGAATTCATATCACATGAAAATTCATCACATGATGTCCTACTAGGACAGTATAAAAACTGACATTATGGAGAAAGACTTCATTGCAACCAGAACACAAAGACACTAAGGCACACAGTGCTCATACCGGCGTGCTGACAAGATCTCTGGTGGGAGGCCATTGTCTGGACACCTGCTGGGCTTTCTCCTGGACACCATTCATTCACTTGAGCATGTTTGGTACCCAGGGTTCCTTCAGGTACATCAGTATTCAGTGGCGTGCCCAGAAGTCAGATGACTCTCATGTCAGGGGTGCAAAGTCAGACTCAACTTGCTTTGGGAAGTCCACTGGGGTGCAGGCTGTGTCAGGAAGCTTCCTGGCAGGGAAAAATCAACAGCATCAGCTAGGATGGAAGTACATCAACTGATGATGACCCTGCACATGTGGCTTTATCAACGACAGATCTGCCAGTCTCCAAAACAGTGCAGATTCAATGCAATCCAGGAGGAAATTCACTCACGTGGCCAGGCAAAATGCAATTAACAATTCACGGTGCTTTTTGGTTGTGGAGACCTTTCTCTGGGCTACTGTTTCTGAAAGGAAAGCTGTGTCTTCAGAAACAAATAAACTGATCAAGAGATACTTTCAAATGTTTCATGTAGAATTGTTTCTAATCTTCTAGCTATAGGATTCTTCGTTACCCAGAGAATGCGCCACTCTCCTGCCTGTGTGTGGGGCTCATCCGCTCCCAAGCCATCCAGGGCCTCTGGGTGCTATAATTCAGAGGGTCTCCGAAAGAGCACGAGGGAGACTGTTGACATGAATGGTTTTCTCTGTTGGCTATACCTGTCTTACACGGAGTTCTATGTGTCATTCAAATACCTTCATATATTAAACTTCAGGACATTCCAAGTCTCATGCAAATCTCACAGAGGAAATTTTCCAAGGGTTTTAGGCCCTCCTCTCCCATTTGGGAGGTTTTGTTGATTTCTACCTGAAGAATGAGGTGCTGGAACATGCCAGGTTCTGGTTCCCGTGGCCACAACGGAGCTGGACGACAGGGGTGACCACAGAGGCACAGTCCTGAAAGCATTGCACAGTAAGAATGCAGAGTATCTACTCAGGGTAGAGGATGGCTACAGAAACATGCTCAGCTTGTCATGGTGGGTACAGTGGGCATGGGAAGCAGGCACAGTAAGCTCAGCTGGTGTCTTCAGGGGCACCCCCAACCTCCACCATGATACCAAAAGAAGATGTAACTGACCACTGGGAGGAGGGCCCCACATGGTCCTGCTGTGTCCTCTTTGATCTGCTTGGCACTTTTGCTGTTGCAGAGCTCCTCTGAAGTAGGGTCCCATGCAGCAGCAGCACTGAGGACTGCGTCCACAGTAATAGGCTGTCAGATGTGTGTGAGTTATCTCGTGCAAGGTCAACGGCAGGCCCAGTGCTGTTACATGAGCAACTACTTTTTACAATTATTTTAAAACAATATATGGCAACATTGGGAAGCTGCTTTCCTTTAAAATGGTTCAATGTTTTTAGTTTGGACAAGATATGACTAAATTAATTTTCACATCATTGTGCTCAGGCACAAGCTCATGCATGAGGCATGACCAAAAATAGTTCTGGAAAGATCAGGCCAGTCTACAAGCCAAGGGCACACATATATGATGGAGGGCACCTGTAGACAGTGGGGACACAGGAGGAGCATGCCGAGAAACCCTGTGAACTGACCTTCCCGCCGCCAAGGTTGCAGCCTCCACCACTGCAGCTCTGACTCACAGTTTACATTGCTGAAGTCAAACAAAATATAGAGATGAATCTCTAAACTTAACACTGATTATTTAGGAGGCAAGAATGGCAAAGTGGGGCATACTCACAGATCGGGTGGTCTTCAGTGTGTTCCAAGAACAAAGAGAAAGTTGAGAGTTTTTATTTTAAAATTCATATGGAACCAAAAAGAGCCAGAATAGCCCAGGGGCAATCCTAAGCAGAAAGAACAAAGCTGAAGGCATCACGCTACCTGACTTCAAACTGTATTACAGGGCTACAGTAATCAAAACAGCATGGTACCGGGACAAAAACAGGCACATAGACCAATGGAACAGAATAGAGAACCCAGAAATAAGGCCGCATACCTACAAGTATCTGATCTTTGACAAACCTGACAAAAACAAGCACTGGGGAAAGGATTCTCTGTTCAATAAATGGTGCTGGGATAGCTGGCTAGCCATATGCAGAAGATTGAAACTGGACCCCTTCCTCTCACCACATACAAAAATTAACTCAAGATTGATTAAAGCAGAGGTCCCCAACCCCTGGGCAATGGACTGGTACCATTCTGTGGCTTGTTAGGAACCAGGCCGCACAGCAGGAGATGAGTGGCTGGTAAGCAAGCATTACCACCTGAGCTCCACCTCCCGTCAGATCAGCAGCAGCATTAGATTCTCATAAGAGTGCGAACCCTATCGTGAAATGCACATGTGAGGGATCTAGGTTGTACACTCCTTTTGAGAATCTAACTAATACCTGATGATCTGAAGTGGAACAGTTTCATCCCGAAATCATCCCCCTGCCTACTGCTCTCTGTGGGAACATTGTCTTCCACAGAGTCAGTCCCTGGTGCCAAAAAGGTTGTGGACTGCTGGATTAAAGACTAAAATGTAAAACCCAAAACTGTAAAAACCCTGGAAGACAACCTAGGCAATACCATCCTGGACATAGAAATGGACAAAAATTTCATGATGAAGACACCAAAAGCAATTGCAACAAAAGCAAAATTTGACAGATAGAATCTAATTAAACTTAAGAGCCTCTGCAGAGCAAAAGAAGCCATCAACAAAGTAAACAGAAAACCTACAGAATAGGAGAAAATATTTGCAAACTATGCATCTGACAAAGACATAATATTCAGCATCTCTACGGAACTTAAAGAAATATACAAGAGAAAAACAACCCCATTAAAAACTGGGCAAAGGACATGAAGAGACGCTTTTCAAAAGAAGACATACATATGACCAACAAGCATATGAAAAAAAAAGCTCAATATCACTGATCATTAGAGAAACGCAAAACAAAACCACAATGCGATATCTTCTCACACAAGTCAGAATGGTTATTATTAAAAAGTCACAAAATAACAGATGCTGGAGAAAAGGGAAAGCTTGTATATTGTTGGTGGGAGTGCAAATTATTAGTTCAACCATTGTGGAAAGCAGTGTGGCAATTCCTCAAAGAGCTAAAAACAGAGCTACCATTTGACTCAGCAATCCCATTTGGGATTTATATACCCAGAGGAATATAAATCATTGTACTTTAAAAACACATGCACACAAATATTCATTGCAGCACTGTTCACAATAGCAAAGACATGGAATCAACTTAAATGACCATCAATAACAGATTAGATAAAGAACATGTGGCATATATACACCATGGAACACTATGCAGCCATAAAAAATGAGATCGTCTTTTTCAGGAACATGGATGGAGTGGGAGGCCATTATCCTTAGCAAACTAAGGCAGAAACAGAAAACCAGATACCACATGTTCTCACTTATAAGTGGGAGCTAAATGATCACAACACATGGACACATAGAGGGGAACAACACACAATGGGGCTTACTTGAGGGTGGAGGGTGGGAGGAGGGAGAGGAGCAGAAAAGATAACTAGTGGGTACTGGGTTTAATACCTGGGTGATGAAAAAAATCTGTACAACAAACGCCCATGACACGAGTTCACCTACGTAAACTGATAACAAACCTGAACATGCACCTTCAAACCTAAATTAAAAGTTTTTTTAAAAAAAGAAAGGTGAGAGTTTTATTAGAGAAATGTTAGGTATTGTTTGGAAAGAAAGCACATTGGCTCTGAAGAAGCTTCTGGGAGCTGGTGAGCTCTGACTGGTGAGTGACAGCTGGAGGTAAGGTTGGTCTTTGAGTCAGGGCAGTGTGTTTGAGGAAATATGAGCTTAAACTGGTCCTCGGGTTACAGCTAGGCTTGTGCAAAATTCAATTTTCAGAGCAGGTTCTCTTGGTATGACCAGTGCTCTTGTCCTGCAAGTCTGTCCCCATGCCATGACCACCCAGTAGACAGTCTCTCAGGGCCCGGGACCGTGGGGCTTCTGCATCATGGGCAGCAAGGACTTCAAGCATCCTCTCCATTTCCAGGTCACCCCCGGAAGCAAGGCTGCTGTAGCTAATTTGTGTATCAGAGATGTAATCACAGCCATGGACTGGGGGAACACCAGCCATAGGGCACAGTGGGAAGCTCAGAACAAAATCAAAAACAGCGCAGATGACATGACTCTTATGGGAGCCAGATCTGAACACAAAATCTCATCTCTGGTGACAGAGGAAGAGGAACATCATCCATACAAGATGAAATTAGCCTCTGCACCCCAGGAGGTCCTGCACGTAGGAAGGGCCCATGTCCGAAGCGCCATGCCCTTCACCACCTCACCGGCCTCCAGCACTGCCACCAGGATTATCACGAGTCAGTGCAACCACCCGGCTGGCCTCTGCTCCATCGAAAAATCTCCAGCTTTATCCACACCTTGCATTCAAAGACACTGCCAGGGGCAGGGTAGCTGCAGCCCCTCAGAGCAGGCTTAGCCTCCAAGCAGTCTCTCATTGACAACCTGAAGTTTATGAGACAATTCCAGAGAAATAGGAGTTAACGCAGATATTGTGCTTTCTACAAATTGAAGGTTTGTGGTAATCATGCATCAAGCAAATCTGTCATTGTTTTTCCAACAGCCTGTGCTCACTTCCTGCCTCTGTGTCACACTCTGGTAATTTTCACAATATTTAAAACTTTTTCATTATTGTTATTTCTGTTATGGTGATCTGTGATCAGTGATCTTTCATGTTCCTATTGTAATTGTTTTGAGGCATGAACCAAGTCCATATAAGATGGCAAATTTAATCAATAAATGTTGTCTGTTGACTGCTCCATCAATCGCCATTCCTCATCTCTCTCCCTCTCCTCAGGCCTCCCTATTCCCTGAGATGCAGCAATATTGAAGTTACGCCAGTTAATAACCCTACAATGGCCTCTAAGCGATCAGAGGAAAGGAAGAGTCACACAGCTCTCACTTTAAATCAAAAGCTAGGAATGATTAAGCTTAATGAGGAAGGCATGTTGGAAGCCAAGATAGGCCAAAAGTTTGACCTCTTGTGCTAAACATTTAGCCAAGTTGTGAATGCAAAAAAAAAGTTTTTGAAAGAAATGAAAAGTGCTACTCAGTGAACACAAGAATGATAAGAAAGCAAAACAACCTTATTGCTGAGCTGGAGAAAGTTTTAGGGGTGTGGAACCAGCTGTGGGTCAAAGCCTCATCCAGAGCAAGACCCTAACTCTCTGCAATTCCATGAACCCTGAGAGATGAGGAAGCTGCAGAAGAGAAGTTGAAGTCTAACAGAGGTTGTTCATGAGACTGAAAGAAAGAAGCTGTCTCCATAACATAAAAGTGCCAGGTAAAGCAGCAAGTGCCGATGTAGAAGTTGCAGCAAGTTCTCCAGAAGATCTAGATAACATCATTGATAAAGGTGGCTACACTAAACAACACATTTTCAATTTAGATGAAACAGCCTTCTATTGAAATAAGATGCTACCTAGGATTTTCATAGCTAGAAAGGACAAGTCAATGCCTGGCTTCCAAGTTTCAAAGGACAAGCTGACTCTCTTGTTAGGGGCTAATGCAGCTGGTGACTTTATATTGAAGCCAGTGCTCATTTACCATTGTGAAAATCCTAGGGCCCTTAAGAATTAAGCTAAATTAACTGCCTGTGCTCTATGAATGCGACAGGGCCTGGATGACAGCTCATCTGTTTACAGTATGGTTTACTGAACACTTTAAGCCTGTGATTGAGACCTATTGCTCAGAAAAAAAGATTCTCTTCAAAATATTGCTGCTTATTGACAATGCACGTAGTCACTCAGAAGCTCTGATGGAGATATACAAGGAGATTAATGTTGTTTTCATGCCTGCTAACACACATCCATTCTGCAGCCTGTGGATCAAGGGGTAGTTTTAGACTTTCAAGCCTTATCATTTAAGAAATATATTTCATAAGGCTATAGCTGCTATAGATAGTGATTCCTCTAATGGATCCAGGCAAAGTAAATTGAAAACCTACTGGAAAGGAGTCTCTGTTCTAGATTTTGTTAAAAACATTCATGATTCATGGAAGAAGGTCAAAATGTCAACATTAACAGGAGTTTGGAAGAAGTGGATTCCAACCCTCATGGATGACTTTGAAGGGTTCAAGACTTCAGTTGAGGTTACTTCTGATGTAGTGGAAATTGCAAGAGAACTTAGAATTAAAAGCGGAGCCTGAAGATAAGACTGAATTGCTGCAATCTCATGATTAACTGATGAAGAGTTGCTTCTGATGGATGAGCAAAGGCAGTGGTTTCTTGTGATAGAATCTGCTTCTGCTGAAGATGCTGTGAACATTTTGAAATGACAACAAAGGATTTGGAATATTACATAAACTTAGTGGATAAAGCAGCAGCAGGATTTAAGAGGATTGACTCAAATTTTGAAAGAAGATCTTCTGTGGGTCAAATGCTATCAAACAGCATCGCATGCTACAGAGATATCTTTAGTGAGAGGAAGGGTCAATCAATGTGGCAAATTTCATCATTGTCTTATTTTAAGAAATTGCCACAGGCTGGGCACAGTGGCTACACCTGTAATCCCAGCACTTCAGGTAATGGGAGGATCATTTGAGGCCAGGAGTTCAAGACCAGCTTGGGCAACATAGAAGGACCACATCTCTACAAAAAAAAAAAAAAATTTAAAAATTAGCCAGGCATGGTGGCATGTACCTGTGGTCCCAGCTACTCGGGAGGCTAAGGCAGGAGGATCACTTGAGCCTGGGAGTTTGAGGCTGCAGTGAGCTGTCATTGCACCACTGCACTCCAGCTTGGATGACAGAGCCAGACTCTGTCTCTAAAAAAAAAAAAAGAAAAGAAAAGAAAAAAAACATTGCCACAGCCACCCCAACCTTCAGAACCACCACCCTGATCAGTAAGTAGCCATCAACACTGAGGCAAGGCTCTGCAGCCAAAAGATTACAACTTGCTAATGGCTCAGAGGGTTGTTAGCATTTTTTAGCACTGAAGTGTTTTTAACTAAGGTGTGTACACTGTTTTAGACATATGCTATTGCACACTTCATAGACTACCATATAATGTAAACATAATGTTATATGCACTGGGAGACCAAAAAATTTGTGTGACTCTCTTAATTGTGGTGGCCTGGAACCAAACCTGCAATATCTCCAAGATATGCCTGTAGCTTTTTGTTTGTTTATTTTAGCTTTCTCATGGTGCTGAGTGTGTCTGTAGTTAAACAGCCCCTTGTCTTCATTCCCAGGAGCCAGCTGAGGAGGTGTGTCATGCAACTTGCCCCCCAGCCCTCCCCTTCTAAGGAACCCCCACACCTGCTCTGTCTTCCTGCTACAGTCTCTGAGAAAAGCCCTTTCATCTGTCAAGAACTACGAAAGTCATTCTTTAAGGTAAGAAAATGTGAGGAGCTGATCCATATAGGAAGTTAGAAATACGTACATCAATAAATTCCTATAAGAAAAATGTATAAAATGCCATTTAGTAATGAAAATCTCCTACATTTGCTACCACAAAAGCGAGAATTGTATCTTTTTAAAATGTGGGTGAAAATAAAATAGAAGTATTCGTTAGTGAATATTTTATCCCTGTAAAATATATGCTCCTAAATATAGATAACAACTGAGGAAGAAGACCAGGCAAAGTCAAAAACAACTAAGACAAACAAAACCAAGAAAACAAGTGTCTCAACGGTTGTGACAAATGGAGGAAGGGAGCTTGTCTTGGTCTGTTTCGTGTAGCTATAAAGGAACACCTGAGAGTGGGTAATTTATAAAGAAAAGAGGTCTGTTTGGCTCACGGTCTGCAGGCTGCACTGAAAGCATGATGCTGCCATCTGCTCTGCTCCTGGTGAGACCTCAAGTGGCTTCTTCTTGTGGCAGAAGGGGAAGGGAAGCTGGCCTGTGCAGTGATTACATGCTGAGACAGGAGGCAAGAGAGACAGGGGATGTTCAGGCTCTTTTTAACAACCAGCTCTCCCTGAGATTAATAGAGCTCAAGAGCTCACTCACCCCTGAGGGAGGGCATTAAATCCATTCACGAAGGATCTGCCCCCATTAGGCCCCACCTCCAACACTGAGGGTAAATTTCAACATACGATTTGGAGGAAACAAATATTCAAACTATAATAGAACTACCCAGGAATGAACTTGGGCAGAAACAGGAATAAAGATTCCCCATTCTGGAAACATCTGCACAAGGTGGCCAGAAGTGAAAAAATTGAGAAAGTCCATGCCGCCAGGGAAATGGAGTGAGGCTCTAAACACATTAATATAAAGGGCAGAATAGGAGCTTTGCTATTGAGGAGACCTCCAGACAGATGCCTGCAAGCACCTTTGTAGTCGTAAGCACTGCTTTGCTGTGTAAACCATTCTTGGTCAACATCCTAACTTGATCTCACTCCCACCTGCCTTACCTGTGGAAAGCCCTTTTCTCCTTCAAGACTCAAAAAACTGTGCTTTCCTTGAAATGGTATTTGTAATCAATAAAGGGTAAAAATTAAATACTGCATAACTAGATTCATGAAAGCAGAATACATAGAACAAGAGTATATTCAATACAGACAAAACATCTGTTCACAGATTTGCTCCTGTGAATGGAGAAAAATGAAATATAATTTTTTAAATTGGCAGTAAAATCAAAAGTTTTTATAATTAGTACTAGTACAAAAAAAATTCTTAACCTGTGATTCTCAGAGGGAGCTTGGAGAAATAGAAAAGAACAGTAAGGGCTTGCCTTTGGTGTCAAAGGGACAGCCCCAGAAAATCAAACTGCTTGGGGAGTGGACACTCTTTCTCTCCCAAAATGCCACCTTCCTCCCAGCTCACCCTCACCTACCACCAGCTGTCCCTGAAGAACACCCCGTGAGGATCAATTGCTCTTCTGTGTTTGTACCAGCAGTGCTAAATAAACAATGAAACAGACACAAAGTTAAAGTTACCTGATCCAAAAAGGAGTGAAGCCTAGACCCCAGCCCACTGACTCAGTCTCTAAGACCCCTCACTCAAATCTTCAATCAACAGTGGAGATGGCTGTGAGCTCTTCTGATTCCAGATGACAATACTCCTCCCTTTAATTCCTTGACATGTTTAATTATGTAAGTAAATTTAATTTAAAAATCATTGCATTAGAGTTCATTGTTTTTATACAAGATTCAGTGTGAGATCAACTTCATACTTCCAATTTGTCACGCTTATAGAGAACTGAGAAGAATCACATTATTTAAAATCTTAGCAAATGTGCATAATTCCTTTGGATAATTTTAAAGTGATAGGACTGGATCACATATGATGCAATTGCCTGGGTCTGTTTTGTTTTTAGATGTTTTTATCTCTCATATTGTGAATCTCATATTTATGTGACTAATTATCAGAAGATTTTATTTTTATTATGCATATTTAGTATAAAATGATCATACAGTGAAGAGTGTGTAAAATCAAAATAAAATGCCGTTCATCACCTCTGGCTCTCATTCCAAGAGACAGTCATTGGCCATTTCTCATGCAAATTTCCTGAAGAGTTCTAAGTAAATAGAAGATCTATGTACACACACTTAACCTAAACAGGAGTTTGGTCCTCAGTCTTCGCTCATATCCTTTAATGAGATTTATAATTAGTCCCACTGTTTCCATGGAACAAACTCAACCATTATAATACCTGTGTGTCTTTCTATGGTCTTGTATGACCATCATACCAAGAATACTTCTAGGAATCCCAAGTCTTTCCTGTAAGATTCTTCTGCTCTATGTGGTCTCCACCTGGGACGCATGATGGTTTTCAGTGGTGTCTGGGCTGGTTTCAGACGTGGATGGCCGCACTCGTGCCTTGGAAGGGTTGCTTCCAGAGAACCTGCACCTGGCCTCCAGCCTGCTGGTCTCAGGTGGTTGGACTTCTTCCATGGAGGCTCAGGGATCATGAAAAGAAAGCCCCAAGAGACAGGCAGGGAAAGGTGCCAGTGTCCTCAGTCCTGGGCCAGAAACCAGCAGGTGAATCTTTCCCCGCCCTTCAGTGGGCACAGCTGTCTCAGAGCCCGCCCTGTTTCCAGTTGAGGGGACGTGATCCCCACCCACCAGCAAGAGGATTGGACACTCAACTCATTCAGCCTTGACTCATCCTGGGTCACACTAACTCAGCCAAGGCTCCTGTTTGCCCAGCCAGGGCTCCAATTTGCCACCTGCTGCTCCCCGACCGAGGCGAGGCCTCCCTGGCCTTGGCTGAATCACTGAGGGTGGTCATTTGCATCCTTGGACACAGGCCCAGGCAGAGTCATCCAAACACCCACCATGGTTTCCTCAGCCACCAAGTGCCTAGGTTGGGATCCCGGCCCTCAGGGTGGGCCACATCTGGTGGACTTGAAGGTTCTGTGGACCCTCGCTGCCCCCTCCTGCCCTCACCAGGCTTCTACACACCTGGGGTGTGGGTTGGGTTTGAGTCTGAACAGGCCATGTCCAGGGAGAACTGTAGGGCTCACCCCGCAGTCCTGAGCAGTCTCATTTTCGTTTCCTCCTGCAGGTGGCCAACAGCAGGATTCCCTAGGGTCTCTGCATCTGAGCTGCAAATATTCAAAGATGCTTTAAGGACCATTTGTATTCACATTTTTCTTTTTTTCTGTCAATTTCAAGACTTTTTAAATATTAGCTAGATTAACCTTCTATCTGCTGCAAACATTGTCTCCCAATATTTTACTTGTATTTTGCTGTCATTTATGGTGTTTTTGGCCATGTAGAAAGGTTTCATTTAATATTTATGTATTAATTTGCTAGTTCATTCTGTGAGTGCATCAGATTCTTTGAAGCATAATGATAAAAGCCTTCTCTACACCCAGGTTTTCATAGAATTACTCATGTTCACTTCTGGTTCTTACATGGTTTCAGTTTCCACATTTAAATCTCCAGTCGATTGGAGTTTGATCTTGTGTGACATGTGAGATGTGTACCCAATCTCGTTGTTTTCAGGATGGCCATCTAGTTTCCCCAGCACCATTTATTTAAAAGTCCATCTTTTCCTCAGTGATTTGACATGATGCCTTTATCATATACCAAATTCCCACACATAGCTGGGATATTTCCAGGCTTTGTAGTCTTCATGGGTCAGCTGGTCTATTGCTGTGCTGTATTTTATGGCTTTAGTAGAGACACTTTGTAGTATATTTTAGATCTGGCAAAATATGTGTGTGTGCGTGTGTGTGTGTGTGTGTGTGTGTGTGTGTAGATATAGATATATGTAATTGAGTCAGCTGCCTTCAACCCCAGTTCATTTTTTTCAAGGTGTTCCTGGCTCCAGTGGAAGGGAGCAACTTAGTCTTTTTGTATATACTAATTTGTTCTGGGGACCCTCACAGCCCTGTTGCTTTGTGATAGCTTTATGCCTAGCAATAGAAAGGCTTTCTTTGCACCCTCTGGAACCTTTGTACATGCTTTGCTCTTCTTTTCTTTGAATATTTGGCAAAAGGATCATTCCGATGACTGCTTTGTAGTCAGTGTGATGTTTGAAAGGTTTATGTGCTGTAGATCCAGGAAACCCTGATAGCGAGGCTGTGACAGAGTGTACTTAATTTGCATTCAACTTTCTTTTCTTTCCATTCCTTTGTGAGAAAGGGTCTAAAATGGATCTGTGATATCAAAGCCTGTGGGTGGGCCATTGGGTGCAATTGCAGCATATGCGGCGGACTGTGCCCAGAGGAAATGTTTCCTAGGAACTAGCACAGTATTCCCTGTTCGATGCTCTAATTATAAGCTAAATTGTGTGCCTCTGAGCAGTGGGAACTCTTGGAAGGTCAAGCACCCTCTCCGGGGCAGCAGCACCTCTGCCTGGAGACCCAGAGGCAGAATCTGAGGGCAGAGGCGGCAGCAGGAGTGGGGTTGAGGCCGAGGCTGCTTACCTAACCCCGTCATGAGATTAGGAAGAAAATGCCCTAGGAATCTTTCAAACCCGCTATTCATTACGACCTTCCCTCCCTCCCACACCTGCAGTGGCTCCCTGCTGCCTGCAGAGATGAGTTATTCAGGGCCTCACCAGGAGTGGACTTGGAAACCCTGGGGTCCTGCTGAGCCAGGCCATTTAAACCACATACATTGAAACTTCCTGCTTTTCATCCTCTGCTCCTGGCTCCTCTCCACGACCCCACTTGTCCCAAGCCTCTCTCCATGGGCCACAGAGACTGGTTTACTCCCTCCCATCTATGAGTTCTCTTAGAATATTTTTGTGTAAACAAGGTCTCAGTAACTAAATCTTATTTCCATCTCCCTGAATCAGTGTTCTCTGGCTGGGTGGGCGGCGCTCCTTTGGCTCGGTTCTGCCGATGTCCTTAAAGGCCTCAGCCCGTGGAGTCAAAGCCTGGGGCCAGCGGCTGCAGGATTCTAAACACTGTGGGCGCTCAGTTTTGGGGCTGGCTGTGGGACTGTGTGAGGGCAAGAAGCATCCAGGGGTGGATGTGGCCAGGGATGGGAGGAGCCATCTGAGAGGTGGGCAGGACAGCTACCAGTTCCCCGGGAGAGGGGAGTCTTAGGAATTCAGAAATTCAGCCCCCATGACTGTGGTGAGTGAGGAGGAAGAATGTGGAATTGAGAGATGGAAGATGAGGAAGGAATTGGCCCCAGCCCTGGAAAGCCATCCCTCCTCTTGTCCTGAAAGCCCACTTCTCCCACCTGGACGTGCACCCCATCTCCCCGGGAGGCCCCGGAGCATGGCTGCACTCTGGCCTGCAACCTGCCCCATGCAGCATGTCTCTCTTGTCCTTGCCATAGTCTCTCTGCTGTTGGGCAGTGGCTTGTGATGTGTCTCATGCAATAGATGACCATTCCATTAGGATGAGTACAGTGTCTGTAAATTCCTGCCCGGGTTCCCCTTCCTGTCACACATGCAGGAAGGAAAGTCACTCCGGGGACCCCGAAAGATTCTCTAATTCCAAGAGGGCGCCCAGGAGCCTGGGAACTTCTAGGCAGGGAGGGGAGGCCAGGAGGCTGATCATGGCCCAATCAAGTTATTGAAGAGTTTTGAGGGTTCTTTATATGTTCTGGATGTGAGTCCTGGATCAGACTCCCAGTCTGTGTTTAGTCATTTCATCCTCTTAAGAGGGTCTTTCATAGAGCATGAGTTATTTTGATGACTTCCAATTTATCCACTTCTCTTTACAGATCGTGCTTTTGCGGTCAAGCCTTCAAAGATCTTTACCTAGCCCTAGGTACCTAACTTTTCTCTTAGAATCCTTTTCCCTAAAGTTTTCCAGTTTTGCGTTTCACATTGAAGTGTGTGATCCACCTCGAGTGAATGTTTGTACATGGTGAGGCTTCAGAGTCTAGATCAGGAGCTCTCTCTCTGCCTGCCTGCTTGCTGTGCCTGTGATGTGCGATTTCCCTACTTCCATGTGACAGAGCGGCCACCTTTCCCCCCATGAATTGCTTGAGCACATTTGTCAAAAATCACTTGGGCACTTTAATTTGGGTCTCCATTCTGTCCTGTTGATCGAAGTGTCTGTCCCTCTGCCTATGGGCACAGTCTTTATTCACTGTGTAATAAGTGTTGAAATAGGGGCAACTTTGTTCTTGTTTTCTTTCTTTTTTTTCTTTTTTTTTCTTTTTTTGAGTCAGAGTCACACTCTGTTGCCCAGGCTGCAGCACATAATCTTGGCTCACTGCAATCTCCGCCTCCTGGGGTCAAGCGATGCAGCCTCCTGGGTAGCTGGGATTACAGGTGTGTGCCACCAGACCCAGCTAATTTTTGTGTTTTTAGTAGAGACAGGGCTTCACCACGTTGGCCAGGCCAGTCTTCAATAGCTGGCCTCAAGTGATCTGTCCACCTCACCCTTCCAAAGTGCTGGGATTATAGGCATGAGCCACCTCCCCTGGCCTTGTTTTTTCAAAATTGCATTAGCTTTGCCAGTTCCTTTGCCTGTCCATATGAGCTTTTTTTTTTAAGGTAAGTATGCCTACTTTCAGGCGGGGCTGTCTTGTGGTGGGGGGAAGGTGGTGGGCTGTGAGTTAATTTCCATGTCTCTAGCATGGCATCAGCTCCTTCCAGTGGCTGGAGAGCAAGCGAGTGCTACTTGAAGACCTGTGGGCCTTCCTGTGCTCTTTGCCCTGCCTGGTAACAGCTTCTCCTTCCACTGCCAGGTGTGCCAGGGCTCTGCCCTTCCTGCCTGCCCCTCAGCCTCCCTCCCCACTGTCAAGACACAGGCTGGGCCAGGAGTGTGGGGTTCCCATACAGGGAGGGGCAGGGGAAGCTCGGGGTCAGCTGAGGCTAAGCTAAGAGTCGGGGAGCAGTGCTGGTGTCCCCAGCTTCCAACTGGGGTGGATGAGATCTCTGGGAACACGTGAAAGCCGTTCTCCTCCCAAATATTCAGTCATGGCCATTGTTCCTCACCCTTCTGAACTTAGAGCCTCAAGACTCCCAAATCTTAATTCCATGTTCAGGATATGTAAAGTTCTGGTCTCTTTTTGCCCTGGAGACTGAACAATAGAACTGTGACTGTCTGGTTCCCGTGCAGCCCCGGCACCCTGGTGGCTATGCAGTTCAGTAGAACGAGGGCACGGAAGGACTGACAAGACCAGGTCCTGACGCTTGTTCTTTGATGAGTCTTCTCACTTTCTAAGTCCCTGAGTGCTTGGGTTTGTTTTTTGTTTGTTTGTTTGTTTGTTCGTTGTTTTTTGTATTGGTTTTCTAAAGGCAGTATTCACAGAAACAAGTGAAGAAACCTGGGATGACCATGGGTGTCCCACGTGGCTTCAAACCCCCTGCCAGGTGCTGGTCAGTTTCCAGAAGTCCAAGCCGGCTCTCTGAAAGAGCTGAAGCCAACCTTTTCCCTCAGCTCCAGTTCCTGGGATAGTCTAAACTTCCCCCAAACTCAGCACAGAGAGGAAAAAACACTGTCCTTCCTTGGTAAATAAATGTATCCATTCAGGAAGATTCAGCGTGGCTGGTAGTGAGAAGTAAGGCCATCATTTTGCTGAAATTGAGGATGGAGGAGGACTTTCTGGGTGACTCAAGGAAACTGCCATGTGTGAGCATGGCCCATGGCCCTGCTGCTCTGGTCCGGGCTGTCAGGATCTGGCTGAGAAAACATTCCCTAGAAGCCTGGGAGTGGGTGACTGCAAGGTTGCTTGGTTTCTCGGACGCTGCCTGTGACCTTCTTATTGTGTGGAGCTCTCTGACACTCAGGCGCACAGAGCTGCAGCCCTCTGCCCTCTGCTGTGCTCGGGGAGGTGGGTGCCCTGCAATCACAGGGTGGCTCTGCCTGGGCCTTGAGCACCCCCTTGGGTGGACTTCTTTTCCTTGTGTTGGCTCCAGGCACGAGCCTGCCGTCCTCTGGGGGCTCCAGGCAATGGCTCACTTGTCTCTGGGTGTCCATATGCCCTTTACCCAAGAGATGGCTCTGCTGCTCAGTGGGCCTGGGCTCTGCCCAAGGCTTCATGCCATGGCTAGGCTTACCCTTCCCTCTCTTCAGAAGAAGAAATCACTGACACTAAGTTCCTCTTATTGGACCCCATGGCAGGAACTGGGGTGCAGGACCTGCTCATCTTCCTGGGCGAGGGGTCTTGAGTCCTGTACACCTATTTCTCCCTCCACTGCTAAGGGTCTCTGGCTGCTCTTGAGTCGATGACAGATTCTCGTCCTGTTTGCTGCCCTCTGTAGCCTGTGAGCAGAACCAGAAGGGACACTCTCACAGCCTGTTCGCCACGGAATCCAGGAGGCAGGTCCATGTTGGTGAGTTTGAGATCCTGAGAGAGCGTGATTAAGAATCATGTGATCAATAATCTTACATGGTTTCATTGAGATCTGTCTCTTTTTCGTGTTATTCATTTTTAAAATTGATTGATCCTGTGTATAGTGTAGGTGCAAAACTAAATAAAAAATAAATACATACATACATATATAAACATTGATTTTAAAAATATGGTCTTCTGATCCTTCTCCACCAATCTCAAATAAAGAGTTCTTTTCTACATGGATTTCTAAATTGTGGGGCATGGAATCTCAGCTGTTCAGGCACATGCAGGCTGCATTCTGCAGGGTCCAGCCCCTGAGACAGCTCCTGTGGGTCCCACCAGCCTGCTGAGGCCAGCAGCACTATCCAGCCCAGCCCATCAAAAGGGAATGGCATGGCCCAGAGACTCCTGCATTGGGCAGGTGGCAGGGGGCAGGGAAGCTGGTCCACAACCTGCACTGCAGTGTGGGGCTTAGCCCTGGAAGCCTGCCCCATGCCTAGCAGGGGGTCCCTGCTCAACCTATTCTAGACTACTGCCCTGCTCAACCTATTCTAGACTACTGATGTTTAAATCTCCCAAGAGTCCCCATCCCTAGGTCTTTCCATCCCAATAATAGATTTAGAAAAATGGGAGTTGGGAAGGGAAGATGAAAGCCTACTGTTTCAGTGGGCAGCCCTTGGGTTTCATTACCTGATTTGGGTACATGTTTTTTCCAAACTGGCAAATGTGGACACCACCGAATGCAGTCAGATGGCAGAAAGATGATCCCAACTCCATACAAATGAAAAAATGGAACCAAAGTTCCAGGGCTCATTAAAATGCAGAAGAAACCAAACAAAATTCTTCATCATCTGAAGCTCACAGCCACCTCAGGCACCTGAGCAGAGAATATGCTCTCCTGACTAGAGTTTAGGCCCACATCACAAAGCATCCTGAGCTCTGGGAGGGCACGAAGGAGGCAGGTGAACCCTTCCCACCATCCAGCCCAGTGAATCTCCAAGCCCACTGGGCCACCAGATTCTCATATCATTTGTCACTGGGGAAATGAAACTCAAAACCATAATGAGATAGCACTTCATACCTACTAGGATGCCTGTAATGTTTTTAATGGAAAATAACAAGTGTTGGCAAGGATGTGGAGAAATTGGAACTCTTGTATATTGCTGGTGGGAATGGAAAATGGTGCAGCTGCTATGGCAAACGGCATGGAGTTTCCTCAAAAAGTTAAACATAGAATTACCATATGGCCCTGCATTTCCACGCCTAGGTATAATCCAGAAAGCATTGAAAATAGGGACTCAAACAGATACTTGCATGCCAGTGTTAATAGCAGTATTATTCATAACAGCCAAAAGGGGTAAACAACCCAAGTGTCCAGCAACAGATGAAGGAGTGCGGAGTGCATCAAATGTGGTGTATACATACAATGGATTGTTATTCAGCCATAAAAAGAATGAAGTCCTGATACACACAACCACATGCATGAATGCTGAAAAAATGATGCTAAGTGAAACAAGCCAGTCACAAAAGGCCACATGTTGTGTGATTCCATTTATACAAAACAGCAAATACCTTAGTCTGTTACTTGTTGCTATAAAGGAATCCCTGCGGCTAGGTAATTTATAAAGAAAAGACATTTGTTTGGCTCACAGTTCTGCAGCCTGTATAGGAAGCATGGCACCAACATCTGTTTCTGGTGAGGCCTCAAGGAGCTTCCACTCGTGGCAGAAGGGGAAGGGAAGCCAGTGTGCACAGAGGTCACAGGGCGAGACAGGAGGCAAGAGAGAGAGGGAGGAGGTGCCAGGCTCTTTTTAACAACCAGCTCTCCCAGGAACTAGTAGAACAAGAGCTCACTCACCCTGAGGGAAAGCACTAATCTATTCATGAGGAATCCACCCCCATAACCCAGATGCCTCCCATTAGGCCCCATCGCCAACACTGGGGATAAATCTCAACGTGAGATTTTTAAGAGGTCGAACATGCAAACTACAGCATTCTCCCCTGTTGAATGCTACCAAACATTTAAAGAAGGATTAAAGCCTATCCATTCCCCACCAGGTGGCTGTCTCCACAACATGGCTTTTTCCCCTTGAAGACCATCAGAAGAGCCTGTATCTCCGCATCTGCGGAAATCGTCTTTGCCATGTAATGTGCCATAACCATGGGAGTGACATCGCATCACATCCCAGGGCCACCGCTGAGGAGGAGGGTGAGGATCTTGACCCTTATCTTAGAATTCTGCCCTGCCTGGCTTCCACTTGTCCTCTTCTAAATCTATCTTAACTCATTCCTTTGGTGCCTGTTTTTACTGCCTAAATTTTGGCAATAAAGGGAGGAATAAAAACACGTCATTTTTTTTCTTTTCTTGAATTCTCATTACATCCACACACAAGAAGTGTGTCACATGAAGGAAATGTATTTAGAATACCAGTTTTCCTATTTGGTTCATGATATTTTTCCAGGGTAAAATTGCCAACAGAATTTGGAAGCCCAAAGCAGGACATGATATAAATTAATGCTGGTGATCTATAAATTATATTTTATTTCATAAAATGGTAAATTTTCCCCTTTAGTCTGGTCAATTTTATGCAATTTGGCATCACATTTTATAAACGTATTACCCTTTTGAACATTTACTGAACTGAATGCACAAAGAGAATTATAAAAGAAAATCTGGAAGCACTTGTTGGTTTTATTTTAAGGTTGGAAAAGAATATAAAATGGAAGGCATGTATTAATTTTGGCATGGATATATTCATTTCCCGTGGTTGCTGTAACAAATTAGCACAAACTTGGTGGCTGAAGACAACAAATATTTATTCTGTCACAGTTCAGAGGCCAGGAGTCCTAAACCTGCCTCACTGGGCTGGAATCAAGGTGTCAGCAGGGCCGCGCTCCCTCCACAGGCTCCAGGAGACCCCAATCCTCGCCTCCTTCAGTTTCTAGTGGCTGCTGGCCACCTCCACCCTCTGCCTCCATGGTCACATGGCCACCTCCTCTTCTGTCTGTAGTAAAATGTCCCTCTGCCTCCCTCTGATAAAGACACATGTGATTGCATTTAGGACCACCTGGGTCATCTATCATAATCCCCCACTTCTCAAGACCTTAATTTAAATCACATCTGCAAAGATCCTTTCTCTGTGTCAGGGAACTGTCCTAGGTTCCAGGGGTGAGGGCCTGGATAATTCAGGGGCCGTGATTCCATCCACTGCAATGTGTCTTCTCTGACCCTGCTTGAGTGTGCTGGCAAGGACTGCTGCCTTGTCATCCATTCATATTAGTATCTGCAGCATTTGGCAATATGGTGTTTCTATTGAGAGAAAGTCATAATCAAGTAAAGTTCTTTCTTTTTTCCTTTGCCTCAGAGAGAAAAATCTCCATTCCACTATTCTCCCAGATCAGCTGCTTTTGGAAGGCAGGGAACAAGGCAGCATCAGTGAATTCCACAAGCACTGACCCGTTGCCACATTCCTTTGATATAAAGTAGCTTCCTGAGTCAGAGCAATTCTGAGTGGGACACCATGATGGTGAAAAGGTCTGTGGTTAACAGATCATACTTCCATGGAAAGATTGCGGGCAGAGAAGATAAGCCCATATTCAGAGTAAGTGCCTCTTCCAGGGAGAACATCTTGCTGCCCTCTTCATCCTGGAAGTGATCAAATGCAATCAGTCTGCCACGGGGATCCTGGGAAAAGGTGTCACCTCAGGCTTTTCCTTGGCTTGTAGACGGCCGTCTTCTCCCTGTGTCAGTCCTCACATGGTTGACCCTCTGTGCACACCTTCATTCTAATCTCTTCTTATAAGGACATCAGTCCGATTGAATTAGGGCCACCCTCATCACCTCACTCCACTTTAATTACCTCTTTAAAGATCCCATCTTCAAATGCAGTCACATTCTGAGGCACCAGGGTTAGGGCTTCAACATATGAATTGCGGGGACACAGCCCATAGCATGAGGAAAACAGCTCCCTTGCATTTGGTGGGCGAGCACAGGAGGAGCCAGGGGTGGAAAAGTCCTTTGATAGGTGGGGGATGATTCGGATGAAAGGGACAGAAAATGCAATTTAGAAAGTGGAGTTTGGGTACAGCGTCATCACGAGAGCTGCTCTGCGTTCTCTGGTCATGCAGGCTGGCATCTAATGCCAACTTTCCCCTGTCCATCAGCGCCTGTAGCCTCCACGTCCTCCTCACCCATGGCGGCCTCCACAGACCCCACTCAGCCCCTTCCATCAGCACCACCTGCTCCCCATCTATCACTTCTTCCTGGGAGAGCCCCACTCTTGGTCTTTTCTAAGCCTGCTTCACAGTAAGTGGCTGAAACCTGTGGGATAAGCTCCCATTAGCTTGTAGATTCTGCTGCCATAAATGTATGGTCTGACCATTGGTCAACTCCAACACTGTGTGGGAACAGTCCATCCATCCATGCGTCCATCCACCCATCTGTCTGTCCATTCATCCATTACAGACAAATTCGAAAAGTGCCTTCCTTATGAGCTAGAATGTCTGTGCACAAAACAGACAAAGTTGGCTGCTTCTTGGAGCTTACATCAGAGATCTCCAAACTTTTTCTATAAATGGTGAGATATTAAATATTTTAGGCTTCGTAGGCCATATGGTCTCTGTCACAACTACTCAATTCTGCCATGGTTTTGTAAAAGCAGCCATCAACAGTTCATAAACACTTCATGAAATGAGTGTGGTTCTGTGCCAAAGGACATTGGGAATTCATTCCACGTTCACGCATCATGAATACTATGCTTCATTAATAGAGCACAAAGGAAGCCTTCCTTTGACCCTAAAGAACCATGTTATCTGCACAGTACAATTGCTTTGATTCCTCCTGTTTTTGTCTTCATGCTGCCATCATGGGTACCTAGCACACTGTCAAATAAGGCTTTATTGCCTCTTAGCTCATGTAACAAAAATACTTCTGTTTTGTAAGTTCCCTCCTTTAAAGAGAAACATGCTTCATCTGATTTAGATATATCAGTCTATTCCAACTTAATTTGGAGTCTTAAAAATTAAGGATGGCCAGGCGTGGTGGCTCATGCCTATAATCCCAGCACTTTGGGAGGCCTAGGTGGGAGAATTGCTTGAGGTCAGGAGTTCAAGACCTGCCTGGGCAACACAGCGAGACCCTGTCTCTAAAAAAAATTAAGGATGCATTGTTTGAACATATACCTTACTATTTTAGAGATGAAAGTTTTATTTTTGTATCTTAGATACTGATGAATAGATGTTTAATTGTTGCCAGAGTTCAATGAACAGCCCATGTTACTGGTGGTGGTGTCAGTTGTTGCAACTAGTTTAGACCCTATTTAATCACTTATCTTCCAAATGTCATTCTCTTTGCTTAGCAAATGTATTTCTGTGAATGTACAATGAGTAAATAATGAAACATAAAGGAAAAAAGACAAGCTTAAAATTGGAATCTCGTTAAAATTTTCATTCTGTATTGTTATTTACTACCTAACCTGATCCCACTGGGACTTTCGATAAACATGATTTTAAGTGAATTTTGGTGATTTTTCCACCCTAATTTGAATAACTTCACTGTGTCCTCTGATATCTCATTGCTGGAAAAGATATTTGGCCAACTGAGTGCTGGTAAAAACAAGACTTCACTGTATTCATCAAGGATGTGTGGGCCTGCTACAGATCCTGGAGTCATGTCAATTTAGCAAACGCACAAGAGCCAGACACCAGTGCCTGGAGTTGAGTCCCTTACGGTGTTCCCCAGATGAAGCAATACATCCTGATGACTAGTGTTTTCCTGGCCTCCACGGGTTCCAGTTGGAATCCCTTGCCTAGACACATTCCAGGAAAATGGCTTCAGGGTACAATTATCATGAAAGTTTCCCCTTAAACCCAAAACAAGCAACAACAAAATAAATAAAAATATGGAAAGGTTGATGTATGTGCTTAGTCAAACAGTCAAAGAGCAGGAAGTATTCTATTCCCACATTAGTTTTGAGATTCACATTGTTTGGCCCTTTATATCACTTGAACATCATGAAAATGACAGTATTGAGCCCAGAATCTAAGACTTACAATTAATAGTGGGATTCACTAATGGCTCCTTTTGGGGGCATGACTTCCTGCCGCCATTTTCTGAGCAGAATGCCTTCATTGCAAGCCCTCGCAGAAAATCCCTTTTCAAAGGCAGACGATGCAACATGTGCCACATCCCAACATAGGTCAGCTGACTTAGGACTCGAAATGCTTTCATGGATGCTGTCCATGTCAGCACCAGGATTTTCACCGCTGAAAGCAGTTCAGGCAAACACACACACACTGAGGCCACACAGGGAAAAACACATAGTGGAACACACATACACACACACACATACACACACGACACAGGATGGCTTCGGGGCCAGTTAACCCAAACTCTCCCGGGACTCACTTGTGGCTCCAAGTTTTCTGTTACCCCGGGAAACAATAAAAGTGGCTCTAGCTTCCCTTTTTCCAGTCACCTGCCCCATGTTCTCCAATGCGGACCCTGTTCCTCCCTTAGCATGAATGTTCTGGAAACAGATGTGACTCCACGCCCCAGCTCGCCTGCATGTCCCTGCACCTTCATTTCCCAGGCATGACCATGGGAAAAAGTGCGGGCCACAGCTGGTTCAGTGCAAGGGGGATGGGATGTTGACAGGAGCTGCCCAGGCCTGGGACTGGGCTCTGATTTTTGTCCTTTTTAAATGGACAGTCCTGCTTCTTGTCCATAGCTCTTTGCTGGTCAATCTCCCCAACGCCCATTAGCAGAAAGGCAGGGGCTTTTGATTTGGGTCATTTCAGCCAAGGGCCAGCCAGTGTCTTCCAGGGGCTGGCGAGGGCGTGGGGTGCAGAATCACTACGGATGCGCCTGCTATGTAACTCAGGGTAAAGTGTAACTTGGAAATGAAAATATTCTGTAAGTCAGGAGTTATTTCCGGTCAGTAAAAAAATTCAGTAAATAGTTTTGCACATTTGAATGAAAATACAGTCAATATGAGCCATCCTTCATAATCCATGTGGATGTTCTTCCTCAGGCAAGCTCAAAGTTTCCTATTTTCTCTGTCCTCCTCCTCCCCGTTCCCCAGCACACACCCTACTCCAGATGATATGCACTGACAGGCCTTTTGAAACCCTTTACTGCCTTTACACGGCCCACACCACCTGGACAGCACCCTTTTCCCAACTCAGAAAATGGCCCGGGGTCCACAGCAGCCCAGCCTGCCTGCCTTAGTCCCTGCCAGGAGGGATTTCTGCAGCCACTTGTGCAGCAGTGGCCGGCCCAGCAGCAGGGAAGTGTGGAGCAGGGCACTGAGCGAGAGGAGTCGTCTCTGACTCCAAAGAGGGCGTAAGTCAATGCCAACACCATAGATCCAAGATCTAGAAGAATGCCCCAGAAAATCAGGGCAGGCTGTTCATGCACTCGTAAGCCAAGACATCTGTCTGCATTTCTGTCTGTGTCCACCTGAGAGCTACCCTTAGCTCCATCCATCTACTTACACAATTTTCTATCTTTACAGCATCTTTCTGTCTACCTGTTGCTCAGTTAGTGGATATTTGTCTCTGTATCCACTTTCTGCCTGTCTGTTAGTCCACGTCTGTCTCTCTGCCTGTCTTTCTGCTCATCCAACCATCTCTTTTTATCTGTGTGTCAATCTTCCTGCCAATTTGCCTCTGTCATTCCCAATGCCTTCCACCCCATGCCCTCTCCCAACCTCACCTTGCCACATCCTCAGTGTCTAGGTGTCTGGTGTCTTTAATCTCTCAGTCACTTGACTCTGTCCACAGCTGGTGGCTCCCCAGTCTCAAACTACAGACCCGACCTCTCCTCCAATGTGTCTGAAATCCAGACAGGCTGATGGCTCAACATACAAGGTTTTTGTGGCAACTTCTTTTTCTTTCCCCACTTTAAAAAAAATTTAAGGTGTAATGTACCTATACTCATCCTTTGCTGTGCACCGTCCTGTGAGTTTTGACAAAGTGCACATATCCGTGTAGCCATATTCAAGACACCAAGCCCCAAAACTGCCTCCTTTCCCTCATGGTAACCACGCCTCCACCCTCAGCCCCTGGCAGCTGCGGATGTGTTCTCCATCCCCTACTCCATTCACAGCTTCCATGGACACATGTGGGACCCACAGCAGGAAGTGGCGGGGCCTGGCTCCTTCCGCTCTGCCGCTTCCTTTGGGACACATTTATGGTGCCAGGTGTCAATATCCTTTCTCCCTGCTCGGGACGCTTCCATCTCGGGGTGGGCCACGGCTTGCTTGTCCCCTCACCAGGTGAGGCACGTGTGGGCCACTTCCTTGTTTGGGCGATTACTAGTAACACTGCTATAAACATCCACTTACAAGTTTTTGTGTGAACATGAGTCTCATTTCTCTTCAGTAGTACCTAGTTAACAAACGGCAGGACCGTCTGACAAGTGTACGTTTAACTTTATCAAGAAACTGCAAACCAACCTCCAAAGTGGCTGTGCCTTTGTTTGCATTTTAAAGCATCCAGAGAGGCCATCACTCTCCGCAAGCTTCTCCTCCTTAGTCCTCCCCATCTGCCTGGCTGCTCCCACCCAAGTCCACAGACCAGCCTGGATGCCGCGATGTTTCCTCGGGCCACTTTTTGGGCTGCACACTCAGCCCAGTCCCAGGGCCCTCCTCCCTGGCCTGCTTCCTACATGGCAACAGGAATGATCCTGAAAAGTCAAACATGTCAGGGGTCTTTCTTGCTTCTATCACACTGGAGTCAGCAGATCCCAGCCCCAGCCCCAGCCCATTCCTCCTCCCCGGCTCTAACTGGCCCAGCCCCACTGGCCTTCCCTTTCTCCTCCAGCCACAGAGCACCAGTCCAGGGTTGCCCCGCCTGGGATGCTTGTACCCCAGATAAGGCAGCTAGAGAGGAAAGCTGGTGCTCAGGCAGTGCCCCTGTGCCAGGTGCTGCCACAGGCGGTTGCCTACTTTTACCTGTGGCTTTATGATCATCAGCCCCATTTTACAGAGGAGAGAACAGGCACAGAGAAGTTAGTGCAGCCAAGGTCTTCAGAGTCCTCAGATGTCCTCTCTGGGTGGCTCCAGGACTGGCATAGGGTCATGCCTAAGAGGACCCCTAGCTTTCATTCCCTGCTATTCACTTGTCCATGGCATTCATAGTGTTTACGGCTTCTGGGCTAAGTGCAAAGGGAGTGCCCTCTAACAGCCATGAAGTGAAAGTCACGACCCACCATTGCAGCCTCCAAACAAGTGCAGGGCGAAGACCCTTGAACTGTCCTGGTGTTCCGTAGGGAGCACCCCATCCTCCCTCAGGTCGAGCAGACTTGGGGGCTGGGGGTTGGGGCGGGCAGGAGTGCTCTGACTCTGAGATTCAGCACTGGGTTCAAGAAATTACTCTGGCCCAGCCCAGCCCCTGTGGCCTGAACTCCCTCAGGGTCTGGGGATAAGCCTCAGGGCACGTGCACTGGGAAATGAGAAGCATTCAATCTCAACTTCGTCTCACTCTCAGAGAAGTTTTGCAATTTCTTCCTTGACAGACAAGGGTGAGCAGTGCCCAGTGCCTACTATCCTGTCGCCCACAGATCAGGAGGCATTCCCATGCCCTGTGACATTGCTGGCCCCCTTGGGAGGGGCTGTGCTCACCAGCCAGGGAGGCAGAGGCCATTAGCAGGTCCGTGAGGAAATAGAGCCATTAGTATACCACCAATGTATCTGTTCATATTTTGATAACTGCATTTCAATAAAACAGATTTCCTTTGAAACTCAGTGTGTTTTATTTTTTGCCTTTCGAAATGTTATTCTGACAGCACAGTGGATCCTGGTCGGTGGGTCCCTAATTTGAGGCTGGGGTTGCTTGTGTGGCCCACCCCCCAGCACCTCTGGCATTAGCTGTGCAGAGGAGCCCCTGGGACCCCTTGTGGACCCTATCCCTTCCTGCTCCTGGTCACTGGTGGTTACCACCCTACCCTGCCCTGCAGCAGGGTCCCAGGCACCCCAGGGACAGGCCCACACTGCACCAACTCTGGCTTGAAGGTCCTTTTACATCTTGAAGCAGCTAAGGATTTACTGAGAGCCTACTGGGTGCCAGTGCTTGCAGTTCTGGGGGCTGGGACCCAGCTACGAACAAAGCAGAACAAAAAAGTCCTGCTCCCAAGGGCTGATATTCTGGGTTGGGCAATGCAGCCATGCTGTGGCTATGGTGGAGGCCGGGGAGGGGCTGAGAACAAGACTGAGGCTGGGCCCTGCACAGAGTCCTTGGGCTCTCGGTGACCCGCCCACCCCAGCCAAGCATCTTCCTTCTTCTGTCTCCCACTGCAAGGCCTTTGGTTGTGCCTGTCCCTCTCCCTGGGAAGCACTTCCCTGTGTGCCTGGCAAACACCCAGTCATCCCACAGATCCCAGAGGAAGTGTCACTTCCTTTGGGAGGTCCCCGGTCCCTCCAGCCAGGCCTCCGTGCCTCCGGACGCAGCCCCTGCATGTGTCCCGCTGGATCCTGGGACCACGCTGCTCTGTAGCTCCTTGCTGCAGTGGACATGGTTGGGGCCACCCAGATCCGGTTCCTGGGAGGAGTGCCCATCTCCCTGCCACCCTCCTCTGGAGAATAGTCCTGGATCCATAGGAGCCACCTCCTCTCCCAGGGTGGCTGCAAGCAAGGAGTGACCAATGAGCGCAATAGCTGCCACCGCCGCCCCACCCCCCTCACCTAAGGAGGACAACCCCTTGCCCCTCTTCACACTCCTAGGAGTGCCAGACAGTGATGGGCTCCAGTGGCACCCATATCCTTCCTCAGCTCCTTCCTGCCTAGGCTGCTCCCCTCTCCCCTATCCTTCCCCTGCAGCAGAATCCCCGCTTGTAGAGGACTCAGGCCCAGACTCTTGTTCACCATCTGCTGGGCCTGGCTTCCTTCCCACCTGGCCCCTGATGCTCACAGTGGCAGCTCATAAACACTTGTCTGAAGGAATGAATGGAGTTCTTGTTCCATAGAAGGCAACTGAGGCCCAGAGTTGGCCAGTCATAAACACTTAAGGGCAGAGTCCAGAAGCCAGGCCATCCAGGTCCCAGTCCAGCTGTGGGTGAAAGGGGAGCCGCCTTCTATGTTTTCTTGGCAGCACCGAGGAGGAAAGCGGGTGGAGTACCCAGAGCCTTCCTTGGGCTCAAATCGCCTTCAGCACAAAAGCCCTTGTCCGCTCTGTTCCTGGTTCCCGGTTCCAGTTACCCCAGGCTGGGCTGCTCTCCCCTGGGTGTGGCTGGTGGCTGGGCCCCATCCTGGCTGGGTCAGCAAAAAGGGGGCCTCAGGTGGCAAGACCTGTAGAGCCCTCTGTGTGGGAGAGACGCCTGCAGGGCCCACACCCCCCATCCAAGCACACATGGAGCTCCTCCATGCCCTGCTCCTGGCACTGGGCACCAGCGGGGACCGAGATGGCAGTCCCTGCCCCACAGAGCTCGCAGCCTGGTGAGGACAGCAGACAGCAAGCCTGGGGGTGATGACTGCCTCCAGAGGGAGCATCTGCCATCCCTCGCACTGGGTCCAGAAAGGCCTAGACTCGAAAATTGAGGAGCTGGGTCTGCTAAGACCTGAGGGGAAAGTGTCAGGCAGAGGGAAGGCACGCGCAAAGGTCCTGGGGTAAGGGGACATGTGGAATGTCAGGAAACCCAAGGGACAGGGTGCCTGCAGCAGAGGGTCAGGAGCAGGAGGGAGAGCAGGGAAGGTTGGGCTGCATGGCGCGGGCTTGCAGAGGTGAACGGGCAGGGAGCAGCTGGGATTTTATTGCCAGTGTTAGGGAGAAGCCAGGGGGTGTTTCAGACAGGGGGCTGCAAGGCCTGATTCTGGTTGTAAGAAGACCACTCTGGTGCTGGGTGGAGAGTGGGCTGAAGGGGGTCCGACGTGTCCTTGGCGGCCCCACTACTGTTGGGGAGCACACAGGCAGCTCTGATCTGGGCTGTGATTCCTCCCAAGTTGTGGGGGTCCTCCCTGCAGACCGGTTTTAGGAAGGGAAAAGTGGAGATGAGTCCAGGGCAAGCCCCAGCTGGGGCACCCCTCCACTGGCAGAGACCGCAGCCCAGCCCTGGTCACCAGCAGGCAGAGGCCCTGTGGTGTCCAGTGGCCAGCAGGGTGGCAGCATCTGGGTCAACTGACCGAAGGGTCCAGGGCCTGGCTTAGATCCCAGCTTGAGGAACTGTGGGGGCCTCGAGCAAGTCCCTTAGCTTCCCTCGACCAACCTCCTCTAAAATAGGTTAGCAGTGCCTCTGAGGCCTGCTGACAGGGGCCAGCCCAAGATCAAGGGTGGGGCCTGACAGACCTCAAACATCAAGCTCGCAGGCGCTCAGTGAACACTCACAAGCTCTCCACCCCCATCCCAGCTCTACCTGTTTTAAAGCAGATTCTGGATTGGGCTCACATCATCCCTGGAGAGGCAGGGAAGTGCATGGAAGTCACGCAGACCTGGGGTTAGGCCTGGGCTATGTGTTCCTTGCTGTGACCTTGAGCCAGAGCAGCACCTCCGGGTGCCCCTCAGGAGGGCGGGCAGTGCCAGTGCAATCTGACTTAGCAGAAGGCAGGCACTGAGGAGCACTCACTATGTCAGGGTTCTTTCTCCTCCTTTCCAACAAACCTGTGAGCTGGCCATTCTTATGAACACTCCCTTTTTGCAGATCAGGAGACCGAGGCTGGAGGGGGAAAGGAATTCACAGGAGGTCCCCCAGCAAATGAGTGGCCTGCATTCTGACCCAGGGCCCTATGCGGCATTAGTGCAGCCAGGACAGCGCACCTGGAGACTCTACGATAAGCATTTGTTGAGCACCAACTGGGGCCAGGGCCTCATGCCTACCAGTCAGTGCCATGGGAATGGCCCGGAGGGCTTGAGTGCAGTGGAGACAGATGCCACCGTGTTTTGGCCCCAGTTGGCTTAGATCCTGCTACTGGGGTCCTAGGAGGGCCCCAGAGTCAGAAAGGAGGTCCCCACCAAACCAAGCCACCTCCAGGGTCCCCGGGTCACCCCAAGTCCAACCCAAGGGAGCTCCCATTGGGAAGCCTTCATGACCCCCTAGGCCCTGGCACCCAAACCCCTGCTCCACATTCTGCCATGCACGGCACCATCACCCAGGAATGACTCGGGCAGGGGATTCTTATCCATGATTGTCTGGAATCATCATCG
Organism: Homo sapiens; assembly: GCF_000001405.40. NCBI lineage: Eukaryota > Metazoa > Chordata > Mammalia > Primates > Hominidae > Homo > Homo sapiens. Next base: position 21,706,426 of record NC_000017.11, on the reverse strand, counting down.
AAATCCTGCAGAAAGAGGGTGCCCTGAGTCCTTTGCTGATGCAGAGGAGTGGAGAACTCTCCACTCACATAGTTTGGGAAGGGAAGGAATTCTCTCCCCACAAGTCCCTGCTGAAGACCTTGGAGATCTGGGGCTGAGCCTCAAGGTACAGATGAAAGTCTAGTTTCCCAAAACTGGGCCGTGTGTGTTCCCTCACCCCACTCCAGGCTTGTCTCGTCACCTCAGTGGAGACATTGGCACGCTCTGAAACTCTTCCTCGGCCCCTGCCTGCTACAAGCTGGAGCAGGGCTTCCCCTCCTGGGAAAGGAGTTGCCTGTCTCAGGTCAGCCTCCCCCAGCTGGGGAGGGCACTGCTGCAACTGCAGGCACCCAGCACATCCTTGCAGAAGGAAGGGAAGGCAGGAGGCTCGGCCCTGCCACCTGGGAGAGGTGACATCATGGGACAAGCCCTGTGTGCTTGCTGGAGACCACTGGGAGCTGCAAGGAGGGTGAGCTCTGTTCCGTCTCCCAACAACTGCCACCATGCCCCACCCTCACCCATGAGGAAGCCCCAGGAAACCCCCACCCAAGGCGGAGGCTGAGGAAGCCGGGTGGATGCCCAGCACGCTGTGGAGCCATGCAGGGGACCTTCAGAAAACACATCTCGACACAGGGGACCTCAAAGAGATCAAAATGCACTTAATGTGATCTAGTCTCATCGCCTATGTCTTTAGATACTGCTGTGCATTGAAAATAACATGAAAATTCTCCAGTTTCACCATTTAAAGTAATTTGACATTCTATGACCTCACGCAGGGCAGACACCCTATACAGGGGCCTCCCAACAGTGGCTCCTCCCCACCCCCCAGGACCCTCTGGGTGGGGACCGGGCAGCACAGCACCAGCAGAGGCTCAGGGGGTGGCCACCATGCTCTGAGCAGCAGGCATAGGCTGCACACAGACACACACTCAAGTACATGGGTTCACATGGGCACACACACAGCCTCCTACACAAGAGCCGGACGCACACGCTCACCTCCGGTCATCCCAGTTGGCAGGAGGGGGTAGTGATTCCTCTCCTTTCCTAAGATCTTTCCTCTGCCATTCAGCGTTGACCAGGGCCTGGCTGTGCCCTGCCTGAACTCTGCTGTGCTGCTCCAGGTGAGGGAGGGACAGGATGTGGTCCTATGTCAGGCAGACCTGGCCCCTGCCACATTCACAAGGCAGACAGAGGGGCTGGAGGAACTTCAGCAGCGGAGGTATGGGCGAGGTGGGGTGGGACAGGGTTGCAGGGAGATGAGCGAGCCCAGAAAGAACAGGACAACACGGAGTCTCTAACGCACGACTCACACTGTGGGCCCAGTGGGGACGGGGCTGCCAGCTTCCTCCTAGCCTGGGATCCTGACTTCCCTTCCCAAGGAGGCATCCTGGCCTATGGCTCCTAACCACCCCTCACTGTGGAATTGGGCGGAGGCCTGGACAGAAATGGAGAAAGAAGCAAAACAGGAAAATCGAGGGTGGGAGGAGGAACCCTCGATGGCAGGTCCCATGCCTGGCCCTGAGACACATCTCTAAGGTACAAAGGCAAACTCTAAAAGCTCAAACCACTTTCTTCCCAGACCCACCCAGCACCCCAAAGACAGCAGAAAGCTTTTATTACAATCATTAACATGGTCTTGATTTTTCTATCACAAACAGAGCCTAGCTGGCTCGTGAGCTCGACAAAGTGCGGCCCCAGAGCACCCTGCTTGCCCAGGGACTGCAGTGCCCACATACACGGGGAGAGGCCGGTCCCACCTCGGGGAACCCTCTGGAGCCTCCAGCCAGCTGCTGCATCCTGGCAGACCCATGGAATTCTAATTGTTCTTTTTGCCCCCTATGAATTAAAATTTTTTTCTCCAATTGCATGGTTTTTTTTTTTTTTGTAAACAGTCTCACCCAAGCTAAGGTCGAGAAAGCTGAAACCCGGTGTTTCTCCCCAAGTTAAAAACCAGCAAGGAGCACCGCAGCTAGCCAGCCTTGGACAGCAGAGGCTGGGCCCACCATCGAGCTGGGCTGCTTCCCCGCAGGCTGCAGCTCCATCTTCAGGCAGAAGCCCTGGCCCCCGTGGCCTGGCCCCCCAGGAGGCCACTTCTTTGCCCTGAGCCTGTGATAGCCTCTGAGGCCGGGGGCTGCCGCTCTGGCTGCCCCCTCTCCGGCCAACCTTCTGAGGCCTTTGCAAAGAAACATAAAACGACTAAAACGCTACTGAGTCTGCAACCCAGGGCACTGGGCCCGTTCTGCTCAAACCCAGGGCCCCTGAGCGACCGCGGGGCCTCTCCCCGGCCAGGGGTGGATGCTGCATGTCGGCCAAGGTTGGCTCAGATCTCTGACCCCCGTCTGTAGGGCCGCTGCTCCAGGACCCCGCCGCCAGCCTGGAGTCTGTCAAAGTCATGCCTGGCCTGGGGGCTGAGGCCATCCCGGCTTCGGCCGTCCTGGTCTCCGTCCGCCTCATCCTCCTCGTCACGGCTCAGGAAGGCCAGCTCGTTCTCATAGCAGAAGGAGTTGGCACTGGGCAGCAGGAACTTGTTCTCTACCAGATCCTTCGCACTGCAGCGGGGCGTAGAGGGCACCTCATAGGTCTTGTGGAAGTGCGAGTAGTCAATCTTGTACTGGTTCTTCTCCTCGAAGAGCACGGGCTCAAAGCGGTGACCCCACAGGATCTCATTGGCCAGGTAGGAGCTGCGGGCCTGGGTGGTCATGGCTGTGGCCTCCACCATGCCTTCCAGGATGACCACGATCTCAAAGTCGTCCGTCTCCAGGTCCTGCCGGCTGATGCCGAAGAGCGGGCTGGCCTCGTCAATTTCATGCAAGATGGTGATGGGCGACACCAGAAAGATGCGGTCCAGGCCCTTGTCGAAGCCCACATCGATGTCGATCTGGTCCAGCGGGATGTACTCGCCCTCCTCGGTGACCCGCGGCTTGATGAGCTGCGCGCGCACATGGGCCTCCACAATGTGGCTCTTGCGCAGGTTGCCCACACGCCACATGAGGCAGAGCTTGCCGTCACGCAGGGCCACCACGGCGTTGTGGCTGAACAGCAGCGTCTGTGCCCGCTTCTTGGGCCTTGCCATCTTGGCCATGATGGCACCAATCATGAAGGAGTCGATGATGCAGCCCACGATGGACTGGGCCACCACCATGAAGACGGCCACCAGGCACTCCTCCGTCACACAGCGCAGCCCGTAGCCGATGGTGGTCTGCGTCTCGATGGAGAAGAGGAAGGCCGCCATGAAGCCGTGCACCTGCATCACACAGGGTGTGCGGCCGTGGCCCTCAGCCGGCTCCAGGTCACCGTGTGCCACCGCGATGACCCAGAAGATGACGCCGAACAGCAGCCAGGAGGCAAGGAAGGCCAGCGAGAAGATGAGCAGCATGTAGCGCCAGCGGATGTCCACACAGGTGGTGAACATGTCAGCCAGGTAGCGCTGTGACTTCTCGTCCATGTTGGCGAACGCAATGTTGCACTGGCCATTCTTCTTGACGAAGCGGTTGCGGCACCTGCGCCGCGTGTGCACCTTGCCGTTGCCGAAGCCGTTGGCGCCCGACATGGTGACCAGGTGCAGCCCGTCCTCCTCCAATGACACGATGCTGTAGGGGTTGGCCCGGCTGGCCGCGGTCATCCCGGGGGTTGGGGGACCCTGGCTCACCCCCAGGCTAGCTCCAGGCAGGGCGGCTCCTGGAACAGAGAGGACAGCATGTCTGGCTGGGCTGGTGGCTCCAGGCTCCTCTACCCCCATCCCAGGGCCCCCAGACGTGACTGGAGGACGCTTCCACCCTGATTGACCCACAATCATGCTCTGGTCTTGCCTAAGCCAGCTCCCCACTCCGCCTTCCCAGTGCGAGTGGCCACCCCCTTCGGGCCCCCAGCAGCTCCAGCCAAAAACCTCAGCTCCACACCTCACTCCCACACTGAGGGCTCTGAAGAGTCTATTTAGGATCCGACCCCTTCTCCCACCCTCAAGGCCTGAATCTAACAGTGCCTGCCCAGCCAGTTCGGGGCACAACTTGCCAGCCTCTCTGCCTCTGCCGATGGCCCCCCAGTCTCCATGGCAGCCACAGAGGGCCTGTGGAAGCTGAGTCGGTGCCTATCCCTCCCTTGCTCAATGTCAGAGGCCCCCCAGGACATGCAGAACCTGCACAGGGAAGCTCCTGACCCCTCGGACTTCACCTCCCAGCCTCCTCCAGCGGACTCCCCATCCAGCCACAGCCCCTGGCACCAGGCTGTCCCTCAAACCCACCCTGGACACCCTCCCGCAAGACATCCTGCCACTGCCTCGCCACCTTGGCACCAGAGGCCTCCTTGTGCCCCAGGAAGACCCATGTCCCATCCCTGCTATATCCACAGCACTGCCCTTTCTAAGGGCACAATGGCGGCAGCAATAACAATAACGTAGCTGGGGGCACTCAACCATCAACCCCACCCTGAGACCACCACTCCCTAAGGGTAGCACATTTTCTTTTTTTTTCTTTTCTTTTTTCTTTTTTTTTTCTTTTTTAGACAGAATCTTCCTCTCATCACCTAGGCTGGAATGCAATGGCGCAATTTCAGCTCACTGCCATCTCCGCCTCCTAGGTTCAAGCGATTCTCCTGCCTCAGCTTCCTGAGCAGCTGGGATTATAGGTGCCCGCCACCACATCCAGCTAACTTTTGTATTTTAAGTAGAGACGGGGTTTCACCATGTTGGCCAGGCTGGTCTCAAACTCTTGACCTCAGGTGATCCACCTGCCTCGGCCTCCTGAAGTGCTGGGATTACAGGCGTGAGACGTTTTCTCTTTTGCTTCTTGTTGTCCTTCCCAGGGCCTAGAATGCGGCCTGCCACCCCTGTCGCCACCCACTTTGAACACCCCAAGCTGGGTCCCACCACCCTCCTGACACCCACATGCCATGCTTGCAGCTTCTTGGTCACCAGCAGTGCCAAAGAGGGTAAGATCTGGCACCCAGACATGGGCTGCTCCCTGGCTGACCTCAGCCGAGGGCCCTCCCCAGCCCCTGCTTCCCGCATCTCTAAGGAAGATTGCAAGGCTGCTACCCTGGCACCTGGGCAGTGCTCAGGGGTGTCACCTGTTCCCAGCACCACCCTCAGCTCACTGCAGGCAGCACCTGGCTCCAGGCCAGCCTACTGCACATTCAGGCACCCCAAGACAGGCCCCGCAGCAGGGCATCCATGCCAGCCAGAACAAAGCCTGCTCTCAGCCACTGATGTGCCCACCCCCGGGACACACAGGCTGTGCTGCCCCCACTAAAGGCCCCACACCGGCCTGTCAGTGACAGGCTAGGGCATCTGCAAGCTAGGGGCTATGGCACCGCCTGGCCCACAGCCACATCTGGATGGCAGCCTGCCTTGGCTGGGCTAGGCTGGAAGCAGGGAGACCTGGGCCTTCCAGCATTAGCCCCGACGGAGGAGCTGGACAGGCCCACCCCTCCCCGCCCACAGGGACCCAGCACCCCCAGTCCCAGTCCAGTCACACCATAACCTCAGAGCTAGACAAAGCCTTCTCCCTTAGCACACCTGCAGCCACATTACTCAGTTACGAAGACACTGAGGCCCCAAGAGAACATCCTGGGGGGATGGCACCACTGTGAACCAGGCGCTGCACACAGCCTTCTGCAGGCCTCTCAAGCCCTCCAGGGAGGGGTGGGCCACCCTGCTTTACAAACAAGGACCTGGAGGCCCAGAAGCCAGAATGGACTTGTCCCAGTCCCATAGGCAGGAGGCAGCAATGCCAGGACTCAGCCCCGGTCTGTGTGACCCAGCTTCTGGCCACGTCCACACTAGTCTGGGCCTCGGAGCAGGCGCGGCCTCTGAGCTCTGCTCCAAACACCTGAGCAACAGGTGATGGTGGAGCCGCCTGCCCGGCCAGGCTGTGGAACACTCCCAGGGGCTGCCTGGTTGCTTAGCCCCGAGCCCGCTGGTCCGAGCAGCACACAGCAACTGCCGCCTGAGAGAGACACAGGGAGAGCAGGCGGGGTCCTGGGCGCCTTGGGGGACAGATCCATCAACAGCTGCCCTCAGATCGTCCTCTCAACAACCCGGGGGTGCAGCCACCATCCAGGTTCAGAGAAGTTAAGTGACTTCCCCCAGGCCACACAGCCATTAAGCAGGAGAGTTGAGTTTTAAACCACCTCTAGCGCCGTCCCCCACCATGGGCCCCCAAGCTCTGCAGGGATGCCTTTCCTTACTCTGCCGTCCTTCCCCAACACCGCTGTGGCTGACCACCTCACCATGACGCTGAGGAGCTGGGACGCAGGGCCGGAATGGTGGACACTGCTTCTGCCTGGGCCTGGAAGTAGGGAGCTGGCGGCAGGGGGGACCCCTGAGGCTGTGCTGGGAAAGGGGCTCAGCCCCAGATTCCTGGACCCTCCAGAAGGAGGCAGCCAGGGCCGGGGCACTCAGACGCCGGCGTGAGGCCACCAGCTGACAGGGGCTGGATTTGTGTGGCCCAGGGGCCTTGAGGGACTTCCAGCGGGTCATGGCTGCTCCAGCCCCTGCTCCAAGCAGCTCAAAGCCTGCAAGGAACAGAATCACAAGAATTAAAGGCCAGAGAGCCCGGTCTGCATGTGCTCCCAGTAGCTGGCGGCCTCGAAACTGGCCAGCTACCAGACTGGTGAGGGTGCTGCCACAGCTCCTGGCATCTCTGCCAGGGCTGGGCACCCCAGACCTGCCCAGATGGTGTCATACAGGCTTGGAAACCCCCACTTCTGTTGACGTTCCTCTCTGCGTGGTTTTACCACACAGAGAGCATCAACAAGGTCAAGTTCATGCCCCACTCCCTCATTTCTCAGAGCCAAAAACTGACAAAGACACCTGTCCCAGGACCCCTGGAAACTGAGCAGAAGAGAGAGTTGGAGCCCAGAATGTCAGTCCTCAGCCTCACACAGCCCTGCTCTGCCGTGTGTGCATGTGTGTGTGTGTGAGAGAGAGAGAGAGAGACCCTCCCCAGGGGTGCTGGGAGCCCCCTCACTGGGCACTTGGTGAATACAGCACCACAAAGACAGACCCAGAAGGGGACCCTGGCATAGAAACCCTAGCACCACAAGCTAGACAATGTCCCAAGAACACTCCTGCGTAAACACAGGTGTGGCAAGAAGTTACACAAACATGCGGCCTTCAAGGTCGCAATTTAAGAAATATAGGACAATATCCTCCACCAGGGACACACAGGCCTTTTTGGCTCTTGCTCAATGGGGTGCATACAGTGAAATCAGACAAGACATGAAATCAGAGAAACTGTTTTGCTGGAAGAGGCCTTAGCAAGCAAGAAGGCTGGCTCCCCATTTCACAGATGGGAGAACCAAGTCCAAAAAGAAAAAGAGACTTGTCCCAGGTCACAAAGCAATTCCAGGGCCAAGACAAGGTGCTCACTACTAAAGTTAGGACCGTTTTCCACAGACACCGGGGTTGGCCTGCCAGGGTCCCAGGGTCGCCGGGAGGGGAATGGGAGAGGGGCGCTGGGGTACACTACCTGAGCTAGACAAGGCGGTTTCAACACCAAGGGGCAGTGAAGCAAACCCAGGAGGGAGAGAGCAGGCAGTGGGGAGAGAGCGCGGGCCCGGCAGACCCCCGGAGATCCCTGCTTTCCTGCTGGCCACAGTGCCTACAGACGCAGCCTCCCAGCGACCAGTCCACTTGAAGAACAGACCAGGGCCTGGGCTGGGAGCTTTTAGAGAGGATGCCAGACGGCAGCTGCCACGTGACCTAAGGGTGGGGTCCAGGAGTCACCGGGAGGTGCTTCCGGATGGAACTGGATGCCCCATGCCCACTGCCCTGAGGCCCTGGGCTTCTCAGGTTTCGGTGACATCTGGGAGGAGCCCAGGGCAAGGCCTGGACCCACATTCCCAGACACCAAGAAAGCACTGACTGGAAGGGAGAGTGCAGGCGCCTGCATCACCCAGGGTAAGACATAGGGACTCGGAGGGGGAGGCGCCAACAGCCCCCATCCCTCATGCAGAGACTGTTCAGCTAGCTAGGGCGCCTCATGAGGCACGAACACAGCACTCAGTATCTATCAAGTGCTTACTACCTGCCACGTGCTCTTCTAAGAGCTTTAATAAACTGATTCATTTAATCCCTTCCATCACACTGTGATTATTATCCCCATTTTCCAGATGAGCAGACGGAAGCCTAGGAAGATTGAGTCACTGTGATGGTTACACAGCCTTTCAGGAGTGAAGCTTCCAGGCTGGGCTGTAGGGGTGAAACCAGTGCCCCACAACACCAAGACCTGAGGCCTGACTGTGTGCGTGGCACTGCAATCCTTTTGGTCCCAAGCCCCTGCAATCCCAGGTGGTGATGAGATGTAGACTGCCACAAATCGGCACTCAAAAGAACAGGTTCAAGGGCCCTCACCAGCACTCCAACCCACAGCCACTCACCCTCATTCGGAGATGGGGCACTCTACCTCATGATCAAGCCTTACCATTGGAAGACCCCTTGGAGATCACTCAATGCAGGGAAGGCTGGCACACGCCTCCCCGCCCAAGGTGCCTGCTCCAGCCTCGCCCAGGCAAGCACCATTCCTCAGCCACAGAGCTTCATCCACTGCATCCAGAGCAGCTCAGAATCTTTCCTAATCCAGGCACCATTCATCAGATGCAGCACTGGGGCCTGGAAAGCCCAGCCCTTCCTTTGCAGATGGGGAGACTGAGGCTCTGAGCCAGTGGTGCCCTTGCTCCATCACATAGGGTGTGAGAGGCAGGGCTGGCTGCAGGGTTAGGGGCTCTCCCTCATGCCAGGCCCTGCCCTGGGTGTAGGACCACATCAAGGCTAGGCTGGGCACAGGCAGCCAGGAGGGGCACTGCTGGGGGACACTGCCAGAGCCAGGAGTGGGAGGCAAAGACGTGCTGGGCACCCTGGGGCAGTGAGGAAGCTTGGCTGGATGGGGGAGAACCCAGGCTGGTGTGGAGGGGAGAGGGAGAGTGGTGGGTGGCATTCCTATGTCTCATAATCTGGGAAGAAGATGATGACCTCTTACGCCCAATCCCCTTTCCAGGCCAAACTTCCCCACCAGAGACTCACCTGGCCTCTGTCCACCAAGCTAACCCATGGCCCTCAAACATTTGGGTCCAATGCCATGATGGCTTCCTATGCCAAATGCAGGCTAGGCCCGAGGAGAGAGGCAGCAGCAACACATCACTGTGTGCAGGGCATGGGGTGGTGGGTGCCCCACTGATATCCTAGGCCCTTACCACCTCAGGCCCACCTGTCTCAATTCCTACACGAACCAGTGTCTCTCTGCCCAAAAACTCTCTCTAGCCGTGGACATGCTCTGCCATTCAGAGGGCAGGCTGAGGAGCTGATGCTGCCAGGACAGCTTTCAGTCAGTGACTGATGGGAGCAGGTGGCTGGGCCCCAGCAAGCTGCCCCTGGGAGGGGCACTGCTTCCCTGGCCTCCCCAGCGGGAGTCAGCTCCAGTGCCCCAGCAGTAACTGTATCAACGACATGCCCTTTATCACTTCCTTCTCTTTCTCACCTCATTTCCTTATTTCCTGGGATCACCTCCCAGGAAACTACTTGCGCTGGAACCTTTGTCTCCTGGGCCTTCCTCATAGGGTCTCCAGTAGCCTCTCCACAGCAAAGGCTCTTGAACCCTGGCCTCCCCTCCTGGATGCTGTACACCAAGTCTCCTCCTGCTCTTCCTCCTCCACCTTCTGCCCCACAATACTGAGCTGCCTTCTCCTCCGCCTCCTCCACCTCCTCCTCCTCCCCTGGCCCCCTTTAGGATCCTCTAGCACTGGGCTTTTCCCATTCAGGCCAGAAGCTACTTCCCACCTTGTGTGAGAGTTGATCTTGCCCAGGCCCCATCTCTGACCAAGCTCAGAGGTCTAGAGAGGCTGATGCAGGTACTAGCAAAGAGGGGCACCCAGGAAATGCATCCCAGCCAGATGAAGGGTGAAGGACTAAGCAGCTGAATGGGATGGATGAGGAGATGGGTGGAAGAGTGATTGAATCAACATGTGGGTGGTCAGGCAGATGGGTGGATAAATCGGGTTGACAGATGGGTGGGTGGATGATAGGGGTGAGCAGATAGATGGACTGGCTAGGTGGGTGGAAGGATGGGTGGATGGATGGTTGAGCAGATGAATGGGTGGGGGAATGGGTGAGGAACGGATGGCATGGGCGAGGGGATGGATGGAGGGGTGGAGGCATGGGTGGGTGGATGGAAGGCTGAGCAGATAAATGGGTGGGGGAATGGGTGATGAAAGGATGGCATGGTGGGTGGAGGGGTGAAGGATGTACAGATGAGAGTCTGGTGGAAGGAATGCCTAGATGCACAAGAGCATGTCAATGACTTCACTCTTACCTCTTGAGTTCTGTCTTCTACGTAATGGTGCTGAGTAGGCACGGTACTGTCTTCAAGGCTGAATTAGTAGTGGCTGCCATTTCCCAGGCACCAGCTGGAAAGGATCCAGTCACTAGAACATCCTAAAGTTAAAAGAGTAAAGCCAAGTTACTGCAGGCGGTGCTGCTCTTCTCAGAGGGGCACAGAAGTAAGACATAACCACATGAACCCACATTTCTGCTCACTTCCCCAGGGCCCCACAGGAGATGGAAGGGCCTCTGGCCTGCACCTTTGATGCCCCACACCTTCACAGCATAGCAACCATCCAGAACCAGAGAAGAGCAGAACAAGATGGAGTGTCAGAGAAAAATGACCGCTGACAATTATTGAGTGCCTATTGCATGCCAGACACTATAGTAGGCATTTTACATACATCATCTCACATAATCCTCACAATTCCACAAGGTTGGAACTATTGTTGTTACTATTCCAGAGAAGTAGTTAATGTGGTAATTCTCCCACTGTCACAAAGGAATTCAGGCCCTCAGCCTGTACTCCCAGCCACCACCTGCAGAGCCTTCCCAACGCCAACCTTGGAGCCAGTTGTGAATAGCTGGGGGGGTGGATGAATGAATGGGTAGATGGATGGATGGATGGATGGATGGATGGAAGGATGGATGGATGATGGATAGGTGGGTGGAAAAATGAATGCAGGGATGAATGGGTAGGTGGATGGATAAATGGATGAGTGGGTATATGGATGAATGAATACATGGGTGGGTGGATGGATGGATGGGTGAATGAGTGGTTGGGTGTGAGGGTGGATGGCTGTATGGAGGAAGGATGGATGAGTGGATGAATGGGTGAATGGATGAGTGGATGAATGGATAATAGGATGGAAAGATGGATGGATGGATGGATGGATGAATGGATGGATGGATGGATGGTTGGATAGATGGATGGATAAGTGTGAAAGTAGATGATTGGATGGATGGATGAACAGAAGGGTAGATGGGTGGGTGACTGAGCGGATGGGTAGATGAATGAATGGAGGGATAGATGGGTGAATGGGTGGATGGATGGATGGATGGGTGGATGGATGGGTAATGGGTGGGTGGATGGATGGATAGACGAATGGGATGGATGGATGGGCAGATGATTGGGTGGATGGATGGGTGAGTGAATGAGTGGATGGGTGAGTGAAGAAGTGAATGGATAGAGGGATGGCTGGGTGGATGGGTGGGTATATGGTTGAGTGGGTGGATGAACAGATTAATGGATGAATGGGTGACGGGTGCATGGATGGATGGATGGATGGAATGTTGGGTGATGGATGGGTGGAGTGAATGAGTGGATGAGTGGATGGGTGGATAGATGGACAGGTGGATGAGTGTATGGGTGGGTAAAGAAATGAATGGATAGAGGGATGGAAGGGTGGATGGATGGACAGATGGGTGAATGGATGGGTGGGTGGATGGGTGGGTAGATGGATAGATGGATGGGTGGATGGGTGGATGGATGGGTGGGTAGATGGATAGATGGATGGGTGGATGAGTGTGAGGGTGGGTGATGAGTGGGTAGATGGATGGATAGGGTGTTTGGGCAAGTAGGATAGATGACTAGATGGATGAGCAGGTGGGCACATGGCTAACTACATGGATGGGCACACATCAGTAATTTGCCAGAGATTTGCCTTGGGTACACATACATCCTACATGGTCCCTGCAATCCCAAAGATGCAATTTCCCCACCTGTCAAAGGGATCCCCCTGCCTTCCTATCCAGTGTGCCGTGAGAATCAGAGAAGAGGTTGGTGGGAAGGGGCTCTGAGGATCTCCACGGTGAGCCACCTGACATGCTTCTCACCTCCGCACCTCCCAGCCATGGAGTTCATGGGGCCTGCCCTTTCCAAGGTTACAGCCGAGGCTGGTTTGTCACACTGGTTTTTCTGGCTGGAATTAAGGCAACTGTTGGTGAGTCACCCCCACATCATCAGCCTCCTGGGACAGGTGACAGTGGTTTACAGGCACACAGACCTAGATTCAAATCCCAGCTCTGCCCCTCATAAGCTGTGTGACCTTGAGTGAGTCACTTCCCCTCTCTCAGCTTGTTCTGAAATGGGATGGCCTGCCTGGTCTCTAGTGGCCCTTCAGTCCCTCTTCACCCTCCAAGTCCCCCAATCCCCAGCCCCTTCTTCCCCATCCCTCATCATTCTGGGAGCAGAAGCCACAGGCCTACACTTTGCCTCTCTCAGCCATTCCATCCTCAAAACTGATGGGGACACAGAGGTTCAGAGATGGATGGGTGGATGGATGGACGGGTGGATGGATGGACAGGTGGATGAGCTGCAGAGTTTCAGAGAGGTTCTGTCACAAGCCAACATCAAACAGCTGGGGACCTCCACGGCAGGGACTTGGGTCCACCCCCTTCCCCGAGTGAGCCAACACTGTGCTTGGCCCTGCATGCTTGGCAGCTGGCTGCAGTCATCCCGATGCTCACAGCCCTGCCTTGGAGGAGGGACAATTCTCCCCTCTGGACAGATAGGAAAACTGAGGCTGAGAGAAGCTAAGTCACCTGCACAGTCACCTGGAGCTGGAACTCTGAGCAGCGAAGGTCGGATATTGCCACAGGGCCATGGGGAGCCAAGCAGGGGTGGGGGCCAGAAGTGTGGGCAGCAGCATCTATCCACATCCTGCTGGTCACCTGGCTTGCACCAGGCTCTCCCAACCTCGTCCCTCACTCCCTACTACCTGAAAGGGGCATTCCCCAGACCACAAATCCAGCTGGATTTGTTTTTATCTAGGAGGAAGGCAAAATTAGCTCTACTCTACACAGGGGTACTGAGACGTAGAGCAGAGAAGCGAATTTCCTGAAGTCACAGGGCAGGGCAGCACCCTGCAAACAGGAGCCAGCCTTCCGGATGCCCTGGCCAGAGCTCCCGCCACCTGCAGGGGCCACAGCAGCCGCCATGTGAGCTCACCCCGCCAAGTCCCACAAATGCTTCCCGGGGTTATGGTCACAATCCTGGATGGGGAGGTGGGCTGCAGGGGCAGTGCTTCCCCATGACCACGACTGAGGGCCAACAGGCCGGGCTGGCCCACAGCGTCCCGCAGGGGAGGGCAGGGCCTGGGCTGAGGATGGGGCTGAAATCCCCCACGGAACAGGGCAAGGCACTTCCCCTTCCTGAGGCTCAGCTTCCCCTGAAAAATGAGGCTGGTGTCGCCTGCCAGGCCTCTCAGAGGGTGTGCCATGAAATTGAAGGTGGTGACGAAGCTGCAGTCCGGGCACTGGGCCTCGCCCCAGCGGGTCTCTGGGAGGTGGCAGCCGTCACCCTCCCTGGAGAGGCCTGGCAGCCCCCCAGCTGACTGGGGCCTGAAACTCCCCATCTGCAAAATGAGGAGACCCCACACACCTCGGGAGACTGTCACGAGGGTAAGCCAAGCCCTGGCTTCAGTATCTGTCCCACAGAGACGATGCAGCAGTGTGGGTCCTGCAGGCGTTCACTGTGACCGGCGTTCCTGACACCACGTAGGCACTGAAAGCAGAAACAGGCTTCCCAACAGGACGGAAAGCTGACTGTGCCCAAGCCTCCCTGTGGCCTGCTGGATGTCCTCAGAAGCCCCCCTGGCCCGCAAGGAGCCACAAAACGCACAAGGGCAGGATCTGCCTCGCTGTTCCATGCTCGGGATGCGCCCAGCCCACAGAGGATGCTCAGAAAGTGGAAGCTGCAGGAACCTTGAGTGACACTGACCCCTCACATTCTGTGGCGTAAAGATGGGGGCTGGACATATGGACCCCAGAAAGAGGCTGCACCAAGCGGCTAGAAAAGGCAAATGTCCACCCTTAAGCCCTGAGGTGAGGCCAGGTCAGAAGATTCTGGCCCCACAGGGTGGACGACAGTCACACCAAACACCAGGGAATGTTTCTGACGGTATTTTTATCTTGAGAACATCCTTCTTCACAGAGGGTGGGGGCAGGAGGGACAGAGGGTGTCCTTGGCCCCAGGCCCCTGGGAGAAGCAGAGAACAGAGGCCCTGCAGTAGTGCCCTCTGCTGGGGTGGCCATCACAGACACTGCCCCATCCCTGGGCTCCATTAAGTCCCACGAACAGGGGAGACCTGGAGGGTCTTGGGGCCCTTCTAGGACTCCTGGCTCTGCCCCAACTTGCTGTGTGACCTGGAGCAGGGCTCTGTCCCTCTCTGGGTCTCCCTCTTCAAGTCCTCACTGGGCACCGAGGACTTGAAGAGGAAGCATTGGGCGCCTGCCTTCATGGGGCACCCTGCCTCACAGGGCAGACGGTGAGAAGTCAGCAGTCATAAGTCGCTGGGCCCTCTGGAGCCCAGGGGAGGTGTCTAACCCAGTGGCAGGAGGGGTGCTTCCTAGAGGAGTATCTGCCAGTGGGGAGGCAGCAGCGAGCAGCAGGGGTGACAACCCCGCCTGAGACTAACCATAGCACAGTGACACAGCTAAGAGCACCAGAGTCCTGCAGTCTTGGTGCAGATTCCAGCTTCACTCTCCAGGCACTGGGCCTTGGGCAAGACCCACCCTGACTGTGTGCAAACCAGGGGGCTGGCCCAGCTACTCCACAGAAGCCCTGCCAGCCCTCCATTCCAGGATCTAAACTATTCGGGGTTTGTGGGGAAGGTGTGACGAGATGGGCACAGCCTTGACACCATCATATCAGGGAAGCTCAGCGTGTGCAGGCACAGAGGCTGAGGCATCACCCCAGGGGGCCTCAGATGTCATATTAATGAGCCTAGACTTGATCCCAAAGGCAATGGGGAGCCCAAGGGCCATAAGAGAGCTTGAAACTATAAGAGTTCTGGGGCAACAAGGCATGAATTCAAATCCTGTCTCCATCCCTTCTTGTGTGGCCTTGGGCTAGCCACATAACCTCTCTGAACCGCAGTTTTCTCACCTATAAAATGGAACTAATCATAGCACCTATCTCATGAGGTTGCAATGGAGTTTCCATGAGTGAACACATGGTGACTGGCCAGCTGGGAACTCCCTGTCCCCCCACCCTCTCCCTTCATCACAGCTATGAGCCTCTGCCTCACCCTGCAGAGAGTCACAGGCCCCTTTAGGGTCTCAGCTGGACCCCACTCCAGGCAAGAAGGAATGATGGGCAGGAAACCCAGCGGGAGGCACAGGTCAGCAAAGGCACCCTGGCTTCTGATTTTCATACAGCTGTAAATTTTCCAGCTTCAACTTAATTGGAGTCTCAGACACGTCCTGAGCAGCCAGCATGTGCACAGGAGAGCAAGGACCCAAGGTAAGGACACAAGAAGCATCCTGGGACCAGAAAGACCACCAAAGGAAAGGCTGGGAAATTTGCCAACATAAAAATATGTATGATGTCAAAACCAATCATAAGTAAAATAAAAGAAAAATAATGTGTTTGTTTAAAAAGGACCCATGTGCTTAATATATAAAGAGTTCTTATGAATCAATAAGAAAAAAGGACACAGTAGGAATGAGCAGAGAGCTAGGGTTGGGCTTCCAATGTCTCTGGAATGTCCCACAACTCAGAGCCTCAGCCGGAGCTGGCCCCTCACCATGAAATGCCTTTCTCTGCCTCTCAGAATGCAATGCATCCTCCAAGCTCAAAGGATGCCTCCTTCATGAAGTCTTCCATGATTTCCCCAAGTCCCTTGCTCCTCCGTGAGTACTCCTAGCATGTTTCTTGAGCCCCTAGGACCCAGTACTTGGCTTCTGCTCGCTGCATCACAGAAGTCCCAGGTGGGGTGGCCCAAGCTTCTTTGAGAGGAGGAAATGAGGTGCAGAGAGGAGCCATGCCCAAGGTCACCAGTCTGAGCCAGAGCTGGGCCTAGCACCCAGGTGTCCTGCCTCAGTCCCTCTGTAATCCAGCCACCAACCCCTCAGTGAGCCCTCCAGGCCTGCCTTGCTCCCAGCAAGGAAGTCCCCAGCTTGAGGGGTGCATTTATTTCTTCACAAAGGGCCAGCCAGGATTAGGGCCTCAGCCCCCCATAACCTGTCTGCTCTCTGTAGGGGAGCACGTTACAGTTGCTTTCTTAGCTTCCTTCTTTTATTTTGTAAATTTGGCCTTATTTCAGGTACAGAAGTTTCCCTGGGAGGGCCTGACAGACTCTAAGGGCTCTGGGGTTCACCCTACCATGGGCAGAAGGCTGACCTCAGAGATGTGGAGTCCAGGAAAATAGAGTAGGCCTTCCAGAAAGCCTATCGCTCAGGCCCCATTTACACTTCAGATCTGTGAGCGCACCACGGCCTGGCACTGCTGCCAGAACCACACTCAGCATTGACTCACACGCTCAGCGGCGTCTGCCCAGCCTCTACTATGCGCTGACATCATGCCTGGGGGCCCACATGCTGCTGGGGCAAGACAGACCAAAAAAAACAGGCTGAGGAAAAAAAAAGAACTTGAGTAAATCCAGAGATGGGTGGAGACTATTCCAGAGGTCAGGGAAGACTGCCTGAGTAGGTGACATCTGGAGAGCTAGTGAGAACAGAATGAGGGAAGAGGGAACTCCTTGAAGTGGGAACTGTAGCCACAAAGGCCTTGAGGCTGAGGCCAGGGGAGGGCAGCGGGGCTGAAGTGAGTGTGCCAGGGAGGTGGGGGAAAGGGAGGCAAGGACAGCAGATGGATGGCGAGACAGAAGCACACAGCTCAGAAAGGGAGGGGACTTGGCCGAGGACGTGCAGCACGCTGGGCAGATGGGAGCACCTCTTCGTCGATGGCGCTCAGAGGAAGCTGCATGCCAGACACTACCCAAGGCCCTCTCTTCCCCATTCTCCCTCAAACTCCTATGCATCCTTCAACACCCCTTTCCAAGCCCCACCCCTTGTGCTTCCCTCTGTCCTGGATCAGACCATGCTGGGTGCAGCCGGTCTTTCTGAGTCCACCAGGCCAAGGGTCTCCTGAGGGTAGAACCTGGGTCTGACTGCGTTGAGGGGCCTCAGCACAGAACCAGGTCCCTGGGGGAAGTTAAGGGATTGGGAACTAGGATTCTGTCCCTGTGCCCCAAGAGTGCTCTAGAGTCCTTAAAGTCTGAATCACAAGATGGCAGGCAGCACTGCAGCCCACCCAAGGCCACTCCAGCTTCAGCTCACCATGGGACCGCCCCGTCCCTGTCCCCTCTGGGTCTCAGTTTCCCCATTTGTCAAATGAGAGGTCCCATAGCTTGGGAACAGGGCATCTCCACCTTCCTCCCTTATGAACTGCTCACAGCAGGGTGGCCCCTGCAGGAAGAAAGCATGGCTGTCACTCTCTGACCCCTGCTGAGCTCTGAGTTTGGCCCACAGGGCAGGAAATGTCAGCTTTCTGCCAGGCCGGCAGGAGAGTTCCAGCTGAGCCTGGGGGTGATGGGAGATCCTCTCTGCTCTATGGCCTTGCTGGGGGACTCACAATGCACAACAGCCAGGTGTGGGGGCCTGGGGATGCAGCTGACCCTGACCACTTCTCCCCCACCATGGCTGGGAAACTAAAGCTCAGGTCCCCAGACCCCCAGGAGGGCTACCCAAGGACCCTGGGGGCAAGGCAAGGGGGCCGGGCAAAGCAGGGGCAGGCTTTGCAGTCCCCAAGACAGTGGAGCAGGTTCCCGGAGGTCCTGCCACAGAGCCCAAGGACAGAAGCCAGCGCTTTGTGAACTTGATGGGGGAAAAATCATCAATTTCCCCGCCTTCAGCCTCTCTGTGAAATGTACGCTGGACACACTGAGCCTGAGCTCACCCCAGGCCCTATAGCAATGCCGACCGCTGGAGCTGCACAGCTCTCCTCCCTGCTCCCATGGAGTCGGTAGGACGGCTGCCACCAGGTCTTGCTAGTTAAGGCACTCGTAGGCAACAGCATGCTAATTACTAGATCACGCATTTTAAAAGAATGTTTTGATAAGTACTGCAACACTTTTCCTCTGTAGCCCTATATGGGTTCTCTCTTGCACTCGAAAGTGTTATTCTGAGAAGGAGGATGTCAAAGGCATCCCTAGCACATGAACAGCTCAGGACGCTGGATCAGAGGGAGAAGGGCTGAGCACCTGCCAGCTCAGGGCCAGGGCCTTGTCGGGAAAGGACAGGGCAGCCTGGCCCCTCGCCCACCCATCCAGCCACTTGTTCATTCCCCGTTCATTCCATAAACAAGTCTTTCCTGAGCACCAAACCCGTTTGAGGCTCTGTGCGGGGTGTAGCATGAAAAGGGTGGTCAGCCCTGTGCCCGGCTCCTCACAGATGGGGGGAGACAGACATTCCAGGAGAAACCGGAGAAACACAGGAGATTCCGGCTACAGGAGGGACTGTGTGACCACCCGGGAGGAGGGACTCGAGGCCAGCTGGGGGGCAACAGGTCTGGAAACAGGAGCAGGGTCCCCGGCCCAGGACACAAGGCAGGGTGTGAGGAGACAGGAGGGAGGGGCAGGGAAATGAGCTCTGAGAGGGGACAGCGTGGGGGCAGGCCGCTCAGAGGCCAGGAGCTTGCTCCCCACCCCTAGGTGGCCTTTGCATGTGCAGCCCACCCAGGTGGGGTGGGGAGCCCTTCAGGCCACATGGAAGGGTCTGGAAGCACTGGCTGCACTTTTTCCTGCACTCCCTCTAGTACTAGGTAGCAGGTGGCTCTACATGGCCTGATTTCAGAGTGAGGAGACTCAGGCTCTCCATAGCTAGACGGTAGCGAGCGGGGCCCCACAGAGGCTGTTCTGACCCCATACCGCCTTGCACGGACCTCTTACTGCCACACACGCTTTCCAACCCCAGTAAACTGGAAGTGCGCAACTGCTGTGCATCAGGAACACTCATCACTGTGACACATGCCATTTCCATTCACATTAGTTTCTTTTGATAGAGGCAAGAAACTGGGGATCAGTTAGGATGAGTGCCGTGCCTAGGGAAATGCAGCCAGTCCATGGCAAAGCTGGGATAGAAATTCACCGCCCCTTATGCCTGTGGCAGTGGCACGATGCTGTATCCTGCGTGGGCTCTGGCCTCTGCTCTGTCCTCCCTCTTGCTCTGCCTCCCCTGTTTCTCAGGGGCCTGGATGCCTCTCACTCTGGCCAAATGTCTTCAATAAAGATGACTTCCCAGTCCGTCAGGGAGACACTTCCTGGAGATCCGTCTCATGATTGTTTCTCTCTCCAAATGTGTTTCTGCTTGATTGGGCACGTCTCATGACCCTGGAGCTCTTGGCTTCCACACTTGTCTCAGACAGGGAAGCTTCCTTCTTCTCCAAGTTTCCCCTCATGGGTGGGTGGATTGCCTAGTATGAGCACTAGGAAACTGTGACCGGCCTTGTCTTATAGGACAGGTGGTGACGCATTTCCTCTGCACTTCCTGTCTCATTCTTCAGGGACATCCTCTCCTCTCCTCCTGGGTGGATTGACTCCCTTGAACTTCTGGCTGAAACCAATGTCAGGGAACCAAAGGGACTCGACTAGGGCTTGGGCTGGGGTTGGAGCTGGGTGCAGGGGAAGTTGCATCAGGGCGACAAGGGCGGTGGAGGATAGGGGTGGGATGAATTTTGCAGAAACCTCTTTGCTCCTCTGGCAGGCATTTGAAAACGTGGCTTGGGTCAGGCACAGGCCCCACCAAACCCCGGGTCGCAGGTGTTCTTTGATTTTCCTTGGCATTGATGGAAATGTCACTCGTACCCCCTTGCAACAGCACATGCCTGGACACCACCGTTTGTTTCACAGTCGCCCCACATGCCTCCGGTGACACACATTCACACCATCTGCTGTGAGATACACCAGTACCACGCATGGTCACATGGTCTCCACCTCCGATTCGCCCCTCTTCCTGTTTGCACATGTCCTGTAAAGCCCAGTCGGCCTTCCGGAGCCCCAGGGCTTTTAGAAGCGGGACAGGTCAAGGCTCTTTCAAAGGAGGAGGGAAGCAGAGGGCTGATGGATCAGTGAATTTTCAGCGGACACTATGCCTTGAGACGTATGGGATCATTCTGTGGTGCAGCGAGGTCGTGCCTGCCTCACCAGATGTGATGAGCCCACCCTATCTCACTCGGAGGGGGCGAAAATCGGATCTGAAAGGGAGTCTGCAGAACACAGCAGGCGTCCTGAAGCTCCCTCTCCCTGGGTGGAAGTCGGCTCAAGGAGCTCCTGAGGACAGGATTTCTGGGGGTTTGGCCCTGGGACAGGACACTCGCGGCCCCCTCTGCCATGCCGCCCCAAACTGGACCCTGGATCCAGCCGCCGCCGCGGCTGCAACAGGAGACTCACTGCCGCCGCGCAGCGGTGGCGTTAATTAAAGGGGACGCAGCCTGACTGCCCGGAGCGCAGCGCCAGTCGGCCCAGCCAATGGGCATCCGCGAGGCACGAGCGCTTCTCCTGTCACAGTGCTTCCCACGCTTGTCTTAGAAACCAGTCCCTGAGGCTTGGCACAGCAGGAGCCCTCCGTGGCACTGCTTGGGTGTCGGGGCTCTAAGGCTCCGGCCTGACCTCTCCACCGGGTCGACGTCAATGTCTCCGGATGCCGCGAGTCGCAAAGGGCCGACCAGGAGGAGGAAACCCCAGGCGGAGTCCAGGGGAAGCAGCACGGGATCCCAACCTCAGGCCTGCCCAGACGGTGCTGGCGAGAATCTTCCCAAAAGTCGTGTCGACGTGATCACGAGGAGAGGTTGGCCTGCGTGTCCCTGGGCTGCTCTCTCACCCGAGGGTGGATCTGGTGGACAGAAGAACCTCTTTGCTCCTCTGGTAGGCATTTGAAAACGTGTCTTGGGTCAGGCACAGGCCCCCAACCCCACGGGTCCCAGGTGTTCTTTGATTATCCTTGATATGGATGGAAAGGTCACTCGTACCACCCTTCCACCGGACCACGCCTGGACACCACCGTTTCTTTTGCCGTCGCCCCGTATGCCTCGGGTGACACACATTCACAACATCTGCTCTGAGATACGCCGGTGCCACGCGTGGTCACATGGTCTCCACCTCGGATTCGCCCCTCTTCCTGTTTGCACGTGTCCTGTAAAGCGCAGTCGGCCTTCCAGAGCCCCAGGGCTTTTAGAAGCGGGACAGGCCATGGCTCTTTCAAAGGAGGAGGGAAGCAGAGGGCTGATGGATCAGTGAATTTTCAGCGGACACTATGCCTTGAGACGTATGGGATCATTCTGTGCTGCAGCGAGGTCCTGCCTGCCTCACGAGATGTGGTGAGCCCACCCTATCTCACTCAGAGGGGGCCAAAATCGGATCTGAAAGGGAGTCCACAGAACACAGCAGGCGTCCTGAAGCTCCCTCTCCCTGGGTGGAAGTCGGCTCAAGGAGCTCCTGAGGACAGGACTTCTGGGGGTTTGGCCCTGGGACAGGACACTCGTGGCCCCCTCTGCCATGCCGCCCCAAACTGGACCCTGGATCCAGCCGCCGCCGCCGCTGCAGCAGGAGCCTCGCTGCCGCCGTGCAGTGGTGGCGTTAATTAAAGGGGACGCAGCCTGACTGCCCGGAGCGCAGCGCCAGTCGGCCCAGCCAGTGCCCATCCGCGAGGCGCGAGCCTCTTCTCCTGTCACAGTGCTTCCCACGCTTGTCTTAGAAACCAGTCCCTGAGGCTTGGCACAGCAGTAGACCTCCGTGGCAGTGCTTGGGTGTCGGGCCTCTGAGGCTCCGGCCTGACCTCTCCACCCGGTCGACGTCAACGTCTCCGGATGCCGCGAGTCGCAAAGGGCCGACCAGGAGGAGGAAACCCCAGGCGGAGTCCAGGGGAAGCAGCACGGGATCCCAACCTCAGGCCTGCCCAGACGGTGTTGGCGAGAGTCTTCCCAAAAGTCGTGTCGCCGTGATCTCGAGGAGAGGTCAGCCTGCGTGTCCCTGGGCTGCTCTCTCACACGAGGGTGGTTCTCGTGGAGAGCAGAACCTCTTTGCTCCTCTGGTAGGCATTTGAAAACGTGTCTTGGGTCAGGCACAGACCACCGACCCCACGGGTCCCAGGTGTTCTTTGACTTTCCTTGGCATTGGTGGAAATGTCACTCGTTCCCCCCTTCCACCGGAGCATGCCTGCACACCACTGTTTTTTTCGCCGTCGCCCCGTATGCCTCCGGTGAAACACATTCACACCATCTGCTGTGAGATACACCAGTGCCACGCATGGTCACATGGTCTCCACCTCCGATTCGCCCCTGTTCCTGTTTGCACGTGTCCTGTAAAGCCCAGTCGGCCTTCCGGAGCCCCAGGGCTTTTAGAAGCGGGACAGGCCACTGCTCTTTCAAAGGAAGAGGGAAGAAGAGGACTGATGGATCAGTGAATTTTCCGCTGACACTACTGCTTGAGACCTGTGGGATCATTCCATGCTGCAGCGAGGTCCTGCCTGCCTCAACAGATATGGTGGGCCCATCCTATCTCACTTGGAGGTGGCCAAAATCGGATCTGAAGGGGAGTCCGGAGAACACAGCAGGCGTCCTGAAGCTCCCTCTCCCTGGGTGGAAGTTGGCTCAAGGAGCTCCTGAGGACAGGACTTCTGGGGGTTTGGCCCTGGGACAGGACACTCGTGGCCCCCTCTGCCATGCCGCCCCAAACTGGACCCTGGATCCAGCCGCCGCCGCCGCTGCAGCAGGAGCCTCGCTGCCGCCGTGCAGTGGTGGCGTTAATTAAAGGGGACGCAGCCTGACTGCCCGGAGCGCAGCGCCAGTCGGCCCAGCCAATGCGCATGCGCGAGCCGCGAGCCGCTTCTCCTGTCACAGTGCTTCCCACGGTTGTCTTAGAAACCAGTCCCTGAGGCTTGGCACAGCAGTAGACCTCCGTGGCAGTGCTTGGGTGTCGGGACTCTGAGGCTCCGGCCTGACCTCTCCACCGGGTCGACCGCAAAGTCTCCAGATGCCGTGAGTGGCAAAGGGCCGACCAGGACGAGGAAAGCCCAGGCGGAGTCCGGGGGAAGCAGCGCGGCATCCCAGCCTCAGGCCTGCACAGACGGTGTTGGCGAGAGTCTTCCCAAAAGTCGTGTCGCCGTGATCTCGAGGAGACGTCGGCCTGCGTGTCCCTGGTCTGCTCTCTCACACGAGAGTGGTTCTCGTGGAGAGCAGAACCTTTTTGCTCCTCTGGTAGGCATTTGAAAACGTGTCTTGGGTCAGGCACAGACCACCCACCCCACGGGTCCCAGGTGTTCTTTGATTTTCCTTGGCATTGGTGGAAATGTCACTCGTTCCCCCCTTCCACCGGAGCATGCCTGCACACCACTGTTTTTTTTGCCGTCGCCCCATATGCCTCCGGTGAAACACATTCACACCATCTACTGTGAGATACGCCAGTGCCACGCATGGTCACATGGTCTCCACCTCGGATTCACCCCAGTTCCTGTTTGCACGTGTCCTGTAAAGCCCAGTCGGCCTTCCGGAGCCCCAGGGCTTTTAGAAGCGGGACAGGCCACTGCTCTTTCAAAGGAAGAGGGAAGAAGAGGACTGATGGATCGGTGAATTTTCCGCTGACACTACTGCTTGAGACCTGTGGGATCATTCCGTGCTGCAGCGAGGTCCTGGCTGCCTCAACAGATGTGGTGAGCCCACCCTATCTCACTCGGAGGGGGCGAAAATCGGATCTGAGAGGGAGTCCGCAGAACACAGCAGGCGTCCTGAAGCTCCCTCTCCCTGGGTGGAAGTCGGCTCAAGGAGCTCCTGAGGACAGGACTTCTGGGGGTTTGGCCCTGGGACAGGACACTCGCGGCCCCCTCTGCCATGCCGCCCCAAACTGGACCCTGGATCCAGCCGCCGCCGCGGCTGCAACAGGAGCCTCACTGCCGCCGTGCAGCGGTGGCGTTAATTAAAGCGGACGCAGCCTGACTGCCCGGAGCGCAGCGCCAGTCGGCCCAGCCAATGCTCATGCGCGAGGCGCGAGGGGCTTCTCCGTTCACAGTGCTTCCCACGCTTGTCTTAGAAACCAGTCCCTGAGGCTTGGCACAGCAGGAGCCCTCCGTGGCAGTGCTTGCTTGTCGGGGCTCTAAGGCTCCGGCCTGACCTCTCCACCGGGTCGACGTCAACGTCTCCGGATGCCGCGAGTCGCAAAGGGCCGACCAGGAGGAGGAAACCCCAGGCGGAGTCCAGGGGAAGCAGCACGGGATCCCAACCTCAGGCCTGCCCAGACGGTGTTGGCGAGAGTCTTCCCAAAAGTCGTGTCGCCGTGATCTCGAGGAGAGGTCAGCCTGCGTGTCCCTGGGCTGCTCTCTCACACGAGGGTGGTTCTCGTGGAGAGCAGAACCTCTTTGCTCCTCTGGTAGGCATTTGAAAACGTGTCTTGGGTCAGGCACAGACCACCCACCCCACGGGTCCCAGGTGTTCTTTGACTTTCCTTGGCATTGGTGGAAATGTCACTCGTTCCCCCCTTCCACCGGAACATGCCTGCACACCACTGCTTTTTTCGCCGTCGCCCCGTATGCCTCGGGTGACACACATTCACACCATCTGCTCTGAGATACGCCGGTGCCACGCATGGTCACATGGTCTCCACCTCGGATTCGCCCCTGTTCCTGTTTGCACGTGTCCTGTAAAGCCCAGTCGGCCTTCCGGAGCCCCAGGGCTTTTAGAAGCGGGACAGGCCACTGCTCTTTCAAAGGAAGAGGGAAGAAGAGGACTGATGGATCGGTGAATTTTCCGCTGACACTACTGCTTGAGACCTGTGGGATCATTCCATGCTGCAGCGAGGTCCTGCCTGCCTCAACAGATATGGTGGGCCCATCCTATCTCACTTGGAGGTGGCCAAAATCGGATCTGAAAGGGAGTCCGGAGAACACAGCAGGCGTCCTGAAGCTCCCTCTCCCTGGGTGGAAGTTGGCTCAAGGAGCTCCTGAGGACAGGACTTCTGGGGGTTTGGCCCTGGGACAGGACACTCGCGGCCCCGTCTCCCATGCCGCCCCATGCTGGACCCTGGATCCAGCCGCTACCGCGGCTGCAGCAGGAGCCTCGCTGCCGCCGCGCAGCGGTGGCGTTAATTAAAGGGGACGCAGCCTGACTGCCTCGAGCGCAGCACCAGTCGGCCCAGCCAATGCGCATGCTCGAGGCGCGAGCCGCTTCTCCTGTCACAGTGCTTCCCACGGTTGTCTTAGAAACCAGTCCCTGAGGCTTGGCACAGCAGGAGCCCTCCGTGGCACTGCTTGGGTGTCGGGGCTCTGAGGCTCCGGCCTGACCTCTCCACCGGGTCGACGGCAAAGTCTCCAGATGCCGCGAGTCGCAAAGGGCCGACCAGGAGGAGGAAAGCCCAGGCGGAGTCCAGGGGAAGCAGCGCGGCATCCCAGCCTCAGGCCTGCCCAGATGGTGCTGGCGAGAGTCTTCCCAAAAGTCGTGTCGACGTGATCACGAGGAGAGGTTGGCCTGCGTGTCCCTGGGCTGCTCTCTCACCCGAGGTTGGATCTCGTGGACAGAAGAACCTCTTTGCTCCTCTGGTAGGCATTTGAAAACGTGTCTTGGGTCAGGCACAGGCCCCCAACCCCACGGGTCCCAGGTGTTCTTTGATTTTCCTTGACATTGGTTGAAAGGTCACTCGTACCACCCTTCTACCGGACCACGCCTGGACACCACCGTTTTCTTCGCCGTCGCCCCATATGCCTCGGGTGACACACAATCACACCATCTGCTGTGAGATAAGCCAGTGCCATGCGTGGTCACATGGTCTCCACCTCGGATTCGCCCCTGTTCCTGTTTGCACGTGTCCTGTAAAGCGCAGTCGGCCTTCCGGAGCCCCAGGGCTTTTAGAAGCGGGACAGGCCACTGCTCTTTCAAAGGAAAAGGGAAGAAGAGGACTGGTGGATCAGTGAATTTTCCGCTGACACTACTACTTGAGACCTGTGGGATCATTCCGTGCTGCAGCGAGGTCCTGCCTGCCTCAACAGATACGGTGGGCCCATCCTATCTCACTTGGAGGTGGCCAAAATCGGATCTGAAGGGGAGTCCGGAGAACACAGCAGGCGTCCTAAAGCTCCCTCTCCCTGGGTGGAAGTTGGCTTAAGGAGCTCCTGAGGACAGGACTTCTGGGGGTTTGGCCCTGGGACAGGACACTGGTGGCCCCGTCTCCCATGCCGCCCCAAACTGGACCCTGGATCCCGCCGCCGCGGCTGCAGCAGGAGCCTCGCTACCGCCGCGCAGTGGTGGTGTTAATTAAAGGGGACGCAGCCTGACTGCCTCGAGCGCAGTGCCAGTCGGCCTAGCCAATGCACATGCGCGAGGCGCGAGCGGCTTCTCCGGTCACAGTGCTTCCCACGGTTGTCTCAGAAACCAGTCCCTGAGGCTTGGCACAGCAGGAGCCCTCCGTGGCAGTGCTTGGGTGTCGGGGCTCTGAGGCTCCGGCCTGACCTCTCCACCGGGTCGACGGCAACGTCTCCGGATGCCGCGAGTCGCAAAGGGCCGACCAGGATGAGGAATCCCCAGACAGAGTCCATGGGAAGCAGCACGGCATCCCGGCCCCAGGCCTGCGCAGACGGTCTTAGCGAGAGTCTCCCCAAAATCGTGCCGCCGTGATCTTGAGGACAGGTCCCCCTGCGTGCCCCTGGGCTGCTCTCTCACCCCATGGTCCTTCGCGTGGAGAGCAGAACCTCTTTGCTCCTCTGGTAGACATTTGAAGACGTGCCTTTTGTCAGGCACAGGCCCCCGACCCCCCGTGTCCCAGGTGTTCTGTGATTTTCCTTGGCATTGATGGAAAGGTCACTCGTTCTCCCCTTCCACCGGCGCATGCCTGGACACCACCGTTTGTTTCCCCGTCGCCCCATATGCCTCCGGTGACACACATGCAAACCATCTGTTGTGGGATACGCCAGTGCCACGCGTGGTCATATGGTCTCCCTCTCGGTTTCGCCCCTGTTCCTGTTTGCCCGTGTCCTGTAAATTGCGGTCGCCCTTCCGGAGCCCCAGGGCTTTTAGAAGCGGGACAGGCCACTGCTCTTTCAAAGTAGGAGGGAGGCAGAGGGCTGATGCATCAGTGAATTTTCACCTGACACTTCTCCTTGAGACCTATGGGATCATTCTGTGCTGCAGCGAGGCCCTGCCTGCCTCACCAGTTGTGGTGAGCCCATCCTATCTCTCTCAGAGTGCGTTTATATCGGATCTGAAGAGGAGTCCCGAGAACCCAGCAGGCTTCCTGAAGCTCCCCCTCCCTGGGTAGAAGTCGGCTCAAGGAGGTCCTGAGGACAGGACTCCTGGTGGTTTGGCCCTGGGACAGGACACTCGCGGCCCCCTCTGCCACGCCACCCCAAACTGGACCCCGGATTCAGCCCCCGCCGCGGCTGCAGCAGGAGCCTCGTTGCCGCCGCACAGAGGTGGCGTTATTTAAAGTAGACGCAGCCTGGCTACCTGGAGTGCAGCGCCTGTGGGCCCAGCCAATGCGCATGCGCGAGGCGCGAGCGGCTTCTCCTGTCACAGTGCTTCCCACGGTTGTCTTAGAAACCAGTCCCTGAGGCTTGGCACAGCAGGAGACCTCCTTTGCAGTGCTTGGGTGTCCGGGCGCTGAGGCTCCGGCCTGACCTCTTCATGGGATCGACGGCAACGTCTCCGGATGCCAGGAGTCACAAAGGGCCGACCAGGATGAGGAAACCCCAGGCGGAGTCCAGGGGAAGCAGCACGGCATCCCAGCCTCATGCCTGCCCAGACGGTGTTGGGGTGAGTCTCCCCAAAATTCATGCCGCTGTGATGTCGAGGACAGGTCGGCCAGCATGCCCCTTGGCTGCTGTCTCACCGGAGGGTCGTTCTCGTCGAGAGCCGAACCCCGCAGCCTCAGGGGTTGCCTAGTGGTGTGTGTTTCAATGCGTCTGCTGTATGACTGTGTGTGTTTCTGTCTGTGTGTGGGTGTGTGTGTGTGTCTTCCGTTCTCTCTTCTCTCTCTGTCTCTCAGTCTCTGTGTGTTTCTTTCCCTCTCTCTGCCGGTTTGTGTGTTTGTGTCCGTGTGCATGTGTGTCTTCAGCCGAATGTGCCCTGTGTGCCACAAAGCGATTTCTCGCATGGCGGCCAGCCTTTGGTGAGCCTCTTTCTGCGTTTCTGCCTGGCTCATGAGGCTGGTTGTCAATCGTTTTCGCCACCGCGGAGCTGCTTTTTGTGTGTGAAGACCAGACCCACGTGAGGAGATGCATCGGTCCCGGAGCAATTGAAATCTCCTCCCCATCCTGAGCAGCCTCTTTTCTAGTATCAAGATGAACACACTGCAGCCGAGTACAAGAGCCCCACAGGAGTTCTTTGTCCCGCAGGGGAGGAGCGGACCCACGTCAGAGAAGATGATTTTATCTTTTCACTGCTCTTCTGTGGGAAATGAAGCCACAGCATGATACAGTCTGCAAGAGGAAGCCAGAAATGGGAGATGGCAACAATCCCTGTCACTGGAATGCTGGCCTCTCTGGACAAGCCACCCTTTTGGAACCCCTCCCCTTATGCCCGTGGCAGTGACATGGTGCTATATCCTGCCTGGGCTTCGGCCTCTGCTCTGTCCTCCCTCTTGCTCTGTCCTCCCTCTGCTCTGTCCTCCCTCTTGCTCTGTCTCCCCTGGCCTAGATGCCTCTCACTCTGGCCACATGTCTTCCCTGTCCGTCAGGGACTTCCCAGTGCTTGACTTCCCAGTCTGTCAGGGAGACTTTTCCTGGAGATCCCTGTAATGATTGCTTCTCTCTGCAAACCTGTTTCTGCTTGATTGGGCAGATCTCGTGACCATTGAGCTCTTTGCTCCCATAAGTGTCTCAGACAGGAAAGCTTGCTTGTTCTCCGTGTTTCCCCTCATGGGTGGGTGGATTGCCTAGAATGAGTGCTAGGCGACCGTGACTGGCCTTGTCTTCTAGGACAGGTGGTGTAGCATTTCCTCTGCACTTCCTGTCTCACTCTTGAGGGACATCCTCTCCTCTGCTCCTGGGTGGACTGACTCCCTGGATCTTTTAGCCGTAACGGATGTCAGGGAACCAAGGGGACTGGGCTGGGTCTGGGGCTGGGTCTGGGGCTGCGGCTGGTGCTGGGGCTGGGGCTTGGTGCAGGGTACGTTGTGTGAGGGCTACCTGGGCGATGGAGCTTTGGCGGTGGGTTGAATTTTGCGGAAACCTCTTTGCTCCTCTGGCAGGAATTTCAAAATTTGGCTCCGGTCAGTCACAAGCCCCCTCCTGGTTCACAGGTGTTCTTTAATTTTTCATTGCTGTGATGGAAATGTCACTTGTTCCCCCCTTCCACTGGGCACATGCCTAGACACCACCGTTTGTTTTGGCTTCGCCCCACATTCCTCTGGTTACACACATTCACGCCATCTGCTGTGGGATGGGCCAGTGCCACGCGTCATCGCATGGTCTCCACCTGGGGTTCGCCCCGTTCCTGTTTGCACGTGTCCTGTAAATTGCGGTCGGCCTTCCGGAGCCCCAGGGCTTTTAGAAGCCGGGCAGGCCAGTGCTCTTTCAAAGGAGGAGGGAGGCAGAGGGCTGATGGATCAGTGAATTTTCAACTGACACCACGCCGTAAGACCCATGGGATCATTCTGTGCTGCAGCTAGGCCCTGCCTGTCTCACCAGATATGGTGAGCCCATCCTATCTCACTCGGAGGGGGCCCAGATTGGATCTGAAGGGGAGTCCCAAGAACCCAGCAGGCATCCCAAAGCTCCCGCTCCCTTGGTGGGAGTTGGTTCAAGGAGGTCCTGACGACAGGACTCCTGGGGGTTTGGCCCCAGGACAGCACACCCGCGGTACCCTCTCCCACGCCACCGCAAACTGGACCTCGGATCCAGTCACTGCCGAGGCTGCAACAGGAGCCCCTCTGCTACCGCGCAGTAGCCATTGTTTCAAGGGGCAGCAGCCTGACTTCCAGCACCGGAGCTTTAGTCGGCCTAGCCAATGTGCCTCCACGAGGCTCTAGCTGATTGTCTCGTCACAGTGATTTCCACTGTTGTCTTGATATCCAGTCCCTGAATTTTGGCATAGAAGGAGTTCTCCATGGCTGTGCTTCAGTGAAGGGGCTTTGTGCCTCCGGCCTGTCTTGCAGGAGTCTTAATACCCTTCCCATCCTGTGTTGCCTCCTTGCTAGGATCAAGACGACTGCACCCCAGCCAAGGACAAAGGCCTCACAGGTGCTCATTGTCCACCCGCAGGACAGTGCCCACAGACCTTCAAGAAGATGGTTCTCACTCCTCTCACCCTTTGCCCTCATTGAGAAATCTACCCACAGCTATACACTGGGACGGAGAAGGAAGCTGGCTACAAGATGGGGCAAACATGTCTGTCACTCAAACGCTGGCCTTCCTGCCAAGTCACCCATTTGGCACTTTCTCCCAGATGTCCGTGATAGTGGCATTGTGCTGTGGCATTGGCCTCTGCTCTGTCCTCCCTCTTGCTCTGTCTGCCCAGTTCCTGTGAAGCCTAGAGGCTTCTTAGTCTGGCTCAATGTCTTCAACAAAGAACACTTCCCAGTCCATTAGGGAGAAATTTCATTGGGGTCCCTTTTATGATTGCTTCCCTCTCCAAACCTATTTCTGGATGATAGGGTATGATGATCCTGGAGTTCTGGGCTTCCATACCTGTCTTGGACAGGGGAGCTCCCTTTGTCTGCATGTCCCAATGATGGCTTTGTGGTCAGTCCAGGAAGGGCGGGAGGCAACCCCACCGTGGCTGACCTTTGCCTTCTAGAAAAGTTAGTGTTGCATCCCACCTGCCCTTCCTCTCTCATTCCTGAAGGCCATCTGGTTCCTCTGCTCCTGGGGAAAGTGCCTCCAAGCACTGAATCTTTTGGCTGCCACGGATGTCAGGGAGCCAAACGGACTGGGTTTTTCTGGGTGCAGGGGAGGTGGCATCAGGGGTACCTACCGGTGGCGGAATGTCGGTGTGGTGTCATTTGTTGAAACCTCTTGGCCCCTCTGGCAGTCATCCCTGAATGTGGCTTGGACTCAGGCACAGGCCCTGTCTCACAGGTTTTCTAGTGTGCTTGGCTTTTCCTTGGCTTTGTGTGGGAGGTCCCAGCGACCCACCTGTGCACACCTGGATGTCACTATCTGTCTCAGCATCGCCCCATACAGCCTCAAAGACACACACTGACTCCATCTGCTCTTGGGGAACATTAGTGCCACGTGTGGTCACATTGGCTCCATCTCGGACTCGCCTCTGTCTCTCCTTGCACATGTCGTGGAAAGCAGTGTCAGGATGCCAGAGCCCCGAACCTTGGAGATGAAGTCAGGCCACAGCTCCACCTAGGAAGGAGGGAGGCAGTGGGCTCATGGATCAGTGCATTTTCAGCTGACAGTATGCCTTGCAGCCCTTAGGATCTTTCTGTGCCCCAGCGAGACCCTTCCCGCCTCACTGCATTGTAACCCCATTCCTGATCACCCCGTGGGATCCATAGTCAGATCTGAAGAGGAGTCCAGAGAGCCCAGCCGCACCCTGAAGCTCCTCCTCCACTGGGAACCGAAGCAGAAGACCGATCAAGAAGGTCCTGATGACAGGACCTCTATGGGTCCAAACCTTGGGCCTCCTGCAGGACCCTCTCGTAGTCCTCTTCCCACCCGCCGCCTCGGACTGCGCTGCCGCCGCCACCGCTGCCCCAGTCCCCAGTCCCCTCAGCCGCGCGTCGCCGCCATTTTTTAAAGGACCCGCCGCCTGACTCCGGAGCAAGCGGGGATTCGGCCTCGCCAGTGCGCATGCACAAGGCCTGAACCTCCGCTTTGGTCGTAGTGATTGCCACTGTTGCCCGAGGATGGGTCCCTGAGACTTTGCGAAGTAGGAGCCCCGTGTGATTGTGCGTCAGAGTCGGGTCTGAGAGCAGTCCTGGCCAGGGCATTAAGAGGATGGTCTCCGGAGCCTGGGATTCTCGGAGGGTCGACCACCAGGAAGAAACCTCAGAAGGAAGAAACCTCAGGCGGATCGCCAGGGCGGCAGCGCGAGATCCCAGCCTCAGGCCTGGATTCGGGGAGGGTGGACGAGGGCCCTCTCCCAATCTTCACTTCACCCGCCGCCGCCCCAGTCCCCGCAGCCGCCGCTCCGCGGTCATTTTTCTTTTCTTTCTTTTTCTTTTTTTATAGTCGGAGTCTCACTCTGTCACTCAGTCGAATGCAGTGGCGGGATCTCAGCTGACTGCAAACTCTGCCGCCCGGGTTCAAGTGATTCTCTTGCCTCCGCCTCCCGAGTACCTGAGACTAGAGGGATTAGTCAGAGTCGGGACTGAGACCAGTCCTGGCCAGGGCATCAACAGGATAGTCTCTGGAGGCCGGGATTCACGGAGGGTCGTCCAGGAGGAAGAAACTGCGGGCGGAGGGCCAGGGAAGCAGCGCGGGTTCCCAGCCTCAGGCCTGCACGGACGGTGTGCCAGTGAGTCTCTTCAAAAAAGGAGAGGTTTGCTTGTGTGCCCGTGGGCTGCTCTCTCACCAGTGGGTTGTAGTCGTGGAGAGCAGAACCCTGAAAATTCAGGGGCTGCCTGGGGGTAGGTGTTACCGTGCCACTGCTGTATGTCTTTGTGCGTTTGTGTGTGTGCGTATGTCTCTCTCTTGTTTCTCTCTCCCCCCTTTCTCACTCTTTAGCTCTGTGTCCGTCTGTGTGTGCGTGTGTGTGTGTTGGGACACATGTGCCCTGTGTGCCAGAGGGCGGTATCTTCTACGTCCACCTTTCCTGTGGTCAGCCTCTCTCCGCGTCTCTGCCTGGCTTGTGTGGCCCGTTGTCAGTCATTTTTCTGGCGGTTCCAGTTTAGGTTTGTGAAGGTCCAGATGAGGTGGGGAGCTGCGTCTCTCTTGAAAGAATTTAAATCACCTCCCCACCCTGAGAGGCCTCTTTTCTAGGATTAAGGCCTCACCCCCCAGCCAAGGATAATAGCCTCACCGGAGAGATCATTGTCTACCTGCAAGAACAGTGCAGAGCGACCTGAAAGAAGATGGTTCTCATTCGTCTCTCTCTTTCAACTCCTTGAAATATCTAGCCACAGGGTAACACAGGTTTTGAGAGGATGGGAACGGAACGTGGCAAGGATCTGTGAGTGTGCAGGCTGTGTTTCACATATCATTAAACTTAGTCTAGTGAGGGTTCTGCAGATAGCTGGTGTTTAAGTTTGTTTTATTGAATCAAGGAAAAGAAAAAATGCTAAGAAAAAAATGACACAACTTGCCTGCCAGCCCATCTGACTGTTACAAATTTAATAGTAATTTTAATTTATCTTCTCATGTAAAGGTCCTTGGCAGTGATACCTAATTTCCTAAGATAGCCTTGCTTTATATTGTATGATTAAGATGTCATGCATATCAGACTATCTGGAAATTCTTCCCAACGTCCTTGACATACGTGATTAATCACATTTCCAAAATAACATACCAAAACGAATAACAGAAAATCATTTTAAGTTGTGGTTCCTTCATGCACAAAACATTTCATGTGTGTCTGGCACTCTTCCGGCCACAGATTTCATCTTAACCTAAGTATTGAAATGCTTGTGCCCTTTGATTAATGTTTCTATGTAAATACTTTGATAATAAGCTACATTGAGGCCAGGTGCAGTGGCTCACACCTCTAATCCCAGTTCTTTTGGAGGCTGAGGCCAGCAGATCACGAAGTCAGGAGATCAAGACCATCCTGGCCAACATGGTGAAACCCCGTCTCTTCAAATATACAAAGAATTAGCCAGGTGAGGCCAGGCTCTGGCTCATGCCTGTAATTCCACACTTTGGGAGGCTGAAGAGGGTAGATCACCTAAGGTCAGGAGTTCGAGACCAGTCTGCCCAACATGGTAAAACCCTGTTTCTACTAAAAATACAAAAAATTAGCCGGCTGTGGTGGCAGGCGCCTGTAATCCCAGCTACTTGGAAGTCTGAGGCAGAAGAATCACTTGAACCGAGGAGGCAGAGGTTGCATTGAGCTGAGATCATGCCACTGCACCGTCTGGCCTGGGGGACAAGAGTGAAACTCTGTCAAAAAAAAAAAAAAAACCTGGTCTATACTGAAAATACAAAAATTAGACCCTGAAGGTCACGTCCAAATGAGAAAGACATTGTTTGTCTCAAATTGTCTGACACTAAGGAATAGTGCAGACTGGACAAGTGAGGTGACTGACACCTGTAATCCCAGCACTTTGGGAGGCCGAGGCTGGTGGATCACCTGAGTTCAGGAGTTGGAGACCAGCCTGACCAACATCGTGAAACTCCATCTCTACTAAAAAAAGAGTACATGAAAATTAGCCGGCTATGGTGGTGCATGCCTGTAAATCCCAGCTACTCAGGAGGCTGAGGCAGGAGACTTACTTGGACCTGGGTGGCAGAGGTTGCGGTGAGTGGAGATCACACCACTGCACTCCAGCCTGGGCAACAAGAGTGAAACTCTGTCTCAAAAAACAGAATAGTGCATAGTAAAAGCAGATTTATGTATGTATGTATGTATGTATTTTCAGAGAAGCAGGGAATCTGGAATTTTGGGTGAAATGTCTGTTTCCAAAAGCTGAAAATGCTCTCAAATGGAAACTTCAGGTTAGCCTATATCAAACTTCTCCTTGTTCTATGTGTGAATAGCATGGGACAGAGGGAACAGCTTGAGCCAAGGCAGGATGGTGGGATGGGACAGATGGCCAGGGCTGCTGCACTGGGGGCTGTGGTGGAGGATTTGGCTGGAAATGCAGGTGGGATCAGACCATGAAGAGTCTCAAACACAGACCTGAGGACCCTGACCTTTATCCTGGGGGCGGCACGAAGCCATGTTAGGTGAAGGAACAAGGCTGTTTCTCCCTCAGCACTAGTGCAAGGAAAGGCCAGGGAGGCCCTCAGTGGAAGCTTGCTGCTGGATTTGTTGATGTGCCTTTTCTCCTGCCTGCACTAGGGTCAGAATGGCCTGGGGTACTGCACACTTCCTCCCAGGAATAGAAGGCCCCACAGCTATAGCACCTCTCTTCCCTTTAGTTCTTTGGAAGGATGAGCAAAATTATTCAGCCTCTCTGAGCCTCAGTTTTCTCATCCATAAAATAAGGACAGTACACCAACCTCGCAGGTCACAAGGATGTTATGAAATCAGGTGAGCACAGCATAGCAGGTGTATTTTTGGGTCCTATTATTACATGTGAACTAAGTTGCCTTGTAGAAAAGGCACAGGCTCAGGGGACCTGTGTTTCAATCCCACTATGCCCCTGTAATGCCCACCTCTCAGGGATGATGGAAAGATTAAATTCACGGAGATGATGCTTGTGCAGCATCTGATACCCAGCAGATGCCTAAGAACCTAACCTACCACCCACCTGAGCAAGCACAAGCAGTCCTGCTCCTCCTGCAAGCACTGGGAATGCTGCCTCCCACCCGCCTTAGAACACTGCTCCTCCTCCCTCTCTGCAGGGGGCATTTTGTAGGCCTCAGTCGCTGGGCTTGCTGTCCTCTTGCCTGCCTCTCAGCACGGGGCTCAGAGCACACATTCTTCACCTTTGCAAGAAGCTTCTCTACGCATCCCTGCCCCCAGGCTTGCTGAGTGCATTCACCTATTGTCTTATTTATAATCAGGACAGAGTTGCTCCCTACTGCGTAGATGAGGAAGTGGAGACCTAGAAAGGGAAGGAAAGACCAACACTTTGAGCACCTGCAATGTGCCTGAGGCAATGTACCCATTAGCTCTGCTTCACAGCAGCCCAAGAGGGAGGTATTATTCTTCCTCTGTGTAAATGTGGGTGTTGAGGCTCAGAGAAGGGCAGCAACTTGTCCAAGGTCACATAGCAAGCAACCGTCAGTGGCTGAGGGCAAACCCAGGTCTTTCTGACTTCAGAGTGTGGGATTTAGAACAAACATTTGCAACGTGAGGTTGACAGATCCATCCCCCAGTGCTGTTCCAAGGACCAGATGGGGTCATAAGTGTGTGAGTACCTGACATGGTGCCCAAGGACTGGGAGTAGAAGCAGAATCCCATCCACCTCCACCTAATCATACAGAGAAAAGAGGCAGAAGCCCAGGGAAGGCAGTGCTGTGCCCAGGCTGTCAGCAAGCAGTAGGCAGAGCCCAGGCCCTTGCTTTCCCATGCCCACCCCTTTCCAGTTCAGGGCAAGGCCACCTCTCCAGGACCTTTCCCTCCCCTAGAGAGGAAACTCCCCAAGTTCCTCTGACCAGGCGGGAGAGCGAATGAGAGCAGAATATTCCACTTCGGCACACACACCTGGAGCCTGAGGCTGAAAGCTGGAATCCCAGACTTTGACACTCAAGAAGGCACCTCTACACTCTTTCAGCACCTCCACCTGGGACCTTCATGAGCACCTTGCTTCCCTCCCAGGGGAGAGGGGGTGTCCCAGAGACACTGGAGCCCTTAGAAGGCACTATGAGTTGGCAGTGACTGCAGCAGCGTGGTGGGATTGCGGGTGGTGTAGGAAGCAGGGGAAGCAGATCACAGCACTCAGGATGGCCAGAGCTGAAGACATCAGAGTCTCCTGCCCTTGCTCTGCAAAAAAAACCCATGGCATATTCCCCTCCCACTCCACACCTCCCAAGGTCAGCAGTCGGCCCCAGAGGAGGAGCAGCGAGGCCTCAGGAGGACGGCAGCCACTGCTGGCAAGGCGTTGGTGTTCTCTTGTTGAACTGCACAGGTTGTCAGCATCAGACAGGGTCGCTCTGTGACCATGATGGGTCAAGACAAAGCAAGGTCACTTGGTAGCTATCATGGCTCAGCTCATGCAAAACATGGACAAAAATGACCTCACAGCCCCTCCCCTGTGTCTATGTCATGACCACTACCTCTTTGTCAATTGCAGCATTAGCTTCGGTCTTGTCTTCTTCCTTCCTTCTAGGTAAGATTGGGGAAGATGCCAGGTGATAGAATCCACCCTGCCTCTGACAGCATCCAATCTGGAGCAAAGGCTTCTTTCAACCCTCCCCCAAGCTCCCAATACAAGCCCAAATTCTGGAACAAGTCCTTTCCAACACCTCCTTCAGAGAAACTCCCTGGCTCCAGGCAGTGCTTGCTCCCCTCACTGCAGCAGGAAGCCCAGCTTGCGAACTGCAGGTGTGCTCCAGGTGGTCGCTGGATGCAGGGTATTCACAGAAGGATCCCATCGATACCCCCACTGCATAACCATGTAAGCATATCATCCCCCACTTGCACATGAGGAAACAGAGGTCCACAGGGTGGGGAAGGGAAGACATAATTTGTCCTTCAAATGCGATACCGGTGAGATGTGAGAGGCAGCACCCCTCATAACTCAGCGAGGCAGTGGGCACACCAGGACCCTCCCAGGCAGATCGGGTGTGTGGTCGCCCCCATTGCATAGCATGGGCGGGATTTGGGGGACCACACATGGGTCTCGCCACCTCTCCACTGGCCCGACCTCCCTGCAGACCCCCAGGACAGGGTTAGCATCTGCTTGCTGGCTGGCGTGGCCACCAGAGGTCTTTGCTTATGTCTAATGTCCCTGTAGTTGTTCACAGGATGGGAGCTGCTCCTGAGATTCAGCACCACACAGGCACTGCACAGCATGATGGTGGGCACTCGCAGGCATGATGCATCATTTACCCTATCCTGAGTGCAATAGGTGGTTTTATAGAAAAAACTTGGGCCAGGCGCGGTGGCTCACACCTGTAATCCCAGCACTTTAGGAGGCCAAGGCAGGCGGATCACAAGGTCAGGAGCTCAAGACCAGCCTGGCTAATATAGTGAAACCTTGTCTCTATGAAAAATACAAAAATTAGCCAGATGTGGTGGTGGGCGCCTGTAGTCCCAGCTACTTGGGAGGCTGAGGCAGGAGAATCGCTTGAACCCGGGAGGCAGAGATTGTGGTGAGACAAGATCAGGCCACTGCACTCCAGCCTAGGCAACAGAGCAAGACTCCATCTCAAAAAAAAAAAAAAAGAAAAGAAAAGAAAAGAAAAGGAAAAGTATTTGTAGATGAATGAAGGTGACTCCTTTGAATATTGGAAATGATTTTATTGTAGCCATTGGTCTGGCACTCATTCTGATGGGGTGACATGTGCCCCTGCCTTAGTCAGCAGAGCACAGGAGTGTGCTACACCTCCCCTCATCTGAAGATTCAGCCCACGAGCAGGAACGCCTGTCTTTGTGTCATACCAACAGAGAGGATGTGTCTGGTTTCACCATTCACTGCAGAGGCAGAAATTACCCAGAAAGAAGAGACAGTCTGTTCCCGGGAGTGTGTCCTTTTGACCTAGCATGGGGGTCATCTCCCTTCCTTGGCCAGGACCCCCAACCTGAACACAGAGGCAGAGAACATGTGAAGGGCTCCCATTCCCAGGCGGCCCAGGGTGCAAGCTCTGAGCCTGTGGTCCTCGTCACTGCCCTTTTATCCACAGCATGGCTGCCACCATCCTGGGCTGGGGCACAGAGGGGCTTTGCAGAGATCAGCATAACAAAAGCAACACTGAGATGCTGCAATAGGAAACCGTGATACCTTCGTGGGCTGCCAAGGCAGCCTAAGCTATTTGTTACTGCACTCAGTGTCCCCAGACACCTGTGTGGCTGTCACTGCCTCTGGTGTGTCCATTTTACTTCTCTTCTCCTGCCTGAGCTTCTGCTCTGAACTCTGTCTCTAACTTACAAGAAATCAAGCTCACTGGATTCTGAGCTCTTCGGGGTCAGGGACTGTGTCAGTAGTTCATGTCTCTTTCTAGAGATCACAGCTTAGTATCTGGCACAGAGCAGATACTCAGCCAATGCCAAATGATTCATTTGCCGGAAAGCTGAATTTCATCCATAATCCTAGTCAATGCAAATACATTCTGCCGGTGGGGTGTGTTTGTTCTCTGAAGGCATTTTCCCAGGCTTTGTAAATACATACAGGCCATTTAGAAATTTGAATGTCAAAGAGTAAAGGAGCTTAGAAAGTAAACATTGGAGAAGTGTGGGAGGGTGGTATTATTTGCAAAACATTCTTGGGTCCTTGTGAGTTCTTTACACCCTCGATGAGCACCAATTCTGGGCCAGGCCAGACACCCAGCTGGACCCAGGAGATACTGAGGTGAGTAAAGCCAAAATGCCTCCCTTCAGCAGGAGTTAGGCAGTCACACCAAAGTGATAAAGGCACAAAACCCAGAGGCAGCAGAGGAGCAAGGACTACCTTGTTCCTGGACTGTGTGACCTCAGGGAGAGCTTTCAGAGGAGGACATCTGTGCAAGGCTTGGAAGGATGAACACAAATTTGCCTAGCAGAAAGGGGAGCCAAGGAAATCCTGATGGAGAACAGCTTGGGTGAGAGTGTGAGCCACAGGATTGAGGGGCACAGGCATGGAACTGGAGGAGCAGAAAGAATGAGGGAGGATAAAGTTGGGAGGTCAGCAGAAGTCAGTCACAGAAGGTTTTGAATCCTGGTGAGGGAGCAGTGGGTGCTGCACAAGGGACATGGGCCTGGAGGAGATGCAGTTAGCTCTGAGTGAAGATGGAGCATGCCATCCACTAGGGAACCACAAGATGCAAGAAAATAAGAACCCCGAGAAGCCTGCACAAAGGATGAGGGGCCCAGGGGTAGCACCAAGAAGGTCCCTGTCAGAGGCCAGCTTTGAACGGAGACAGAAAAGACTCTTGAGGGCCTCAGCTGCTGCAAACCTCCTCAACAAATCATATTTTACCTTCAAATATTTGCTAAAGAATACTAACTATTGGAAGAGCAATGGTCCATTGATAATAATTATTCCCTCACTGTACATTTTTTACAGTTCTCAAAATGCTCTCAGTCCAGTGTCTCATTGGAACCCCCATAAAATCCCATTTTACAAATAGGGAAATGAGGCCCTGTGATGTCACACTGAGGTTTGCAGCAGTTCCAGGATAGAAAATAGGGAGCACTTTCATCTCAGCCCTGGGTATAAGTCTCAAAGTTCCTTTTCTGGGAGGGGGTCCTTGAGGCCATCCAGCAGCCCATAGTCCAAGTCTTCTTCTTCCTCCTTGGGCTTCTCCACACCTGTGCCCAAAGCCTCCTTCTCCTCCTTTGTTCTCAGGTACCACTACCGGTTGTTGGGCAGGGAGACCTCCTGCTGCTGCCCATCCTAGGGTGCATCCTCCAACATGGGTGCATTGTGGTTCAGCCAGCACCTACACCACCTGCAGCCCAGGGCTCCTGTGGTGGACCTGAGGTTCCTCCCTATCAAATGGAGATGTGCTGGGGTTGCTGCCTTTGCTGAAGCCCATGTCCAGGTCATCTTCGGGGTGGCCAAGGGTACAGGGCCCTGGGGACAGGCCAGAGGGCTACAGGGGCAAAAACCAAGAGGATGAGGGGATCTCTGAGTCAGACCACCTGGATCCACATCCCAGAGACTAGCTGCAAGGCCTGGGGAAGACTGGTTTACCTCTCTGGGCATCAGTTTCCTCCCCTGTAAAGTGGGAGGTATAACAGATTCACTCCTACAGTTGTCTCTGAGCTTTACAGCCGGTAATGTGTGCGAAGTACTTCGCACAATGCCTGGCACATGGTAGGTGATAATAAACAGGGTTACTATGATATCATCATCTGAGCTAGGTCACTCATGCACTTCTCCAATGCCTCAGGGTTCCCCTCCATCCCTCACAGGGTAGCAGCAAGTGAAAGGGATGCCCCTGGCCTTGAGGAGCTCACATCTTCTCATTTCCCAGGGGTCTCCATCCAGTGCCCACACATGCCTGGCATGCAGTAGGTGCCTCATCCACATCTGGTGAAAGAGTGGAAAGCAGGTCATTGTCATGTATTGTTTGGCACAGAATCTGCAGTAGGGGACAGAGAAGTGAGTGACTGTAGTTGTGCCCACCAGTTCCTGTCCCTGAACTTTCAGGGATCAAGAGGCCTTAGCAAGTCTAGTACCAGGGAGTGGGCACTGTGTGGTGGAGCAGGAGGCAGGTCCTAAGAAAGGCAGTGGGGTGAGGAGAGGAGCTCTGCCTTTGTGATCTAGGAGATCCTCCACCAGGACCTCACCAAAGGCCCCGGGAAGGTCATCCCTCCTCCCAGAATCTCTCTAT
Organism: Homo sapiens; assembly: GCF_000001405.40. NCBI lineage: Eukaryota > Metazoa > Chordata > Mammalia > Primates > Hominidae > Homo > Homo sapiens. The sequence continues at coordinate 21,665,367 of NC_000017.11, read as the reverse complement.
GCTCTTCTGTATAATGGGGCTAGCCTGGAAGAGATACTTGCACAACCATGTTCAGAGCAGCATCATCCACAATAACCAAAAGGTGGAAGCAACCCAAGTGTCCATGGATGGATGGATGGATCAACAAAATGCTGTCTATGCATACAGTGGAATAGTGTTCAGCCTTGAAAAGGAAGGAGAGTCTGACACCTGCTGCATCAAGAATGAACCTTGAGGACATTAGGCTGAGCAAAATAAGCCAGACCAAAAAGACAAATGCTGTATTATTCCACTTTTCCAAGGCACCTAGAGTAGTCAAATCCATAGAGACAGACAGGAGAATGGTGGCTACCAGGTCCTGGGGAGGATGGTGATTGGGGAGTTCTTTCTAAATGAGTTACAGAATTGTAGTTTTACAAGATGAAAAGCATTCTGGAAATTGGTTGCACAACATTGCGAATGTATTTAATGCCACTGAAATGTAAACTTAAACATAGTTAGACAGTAAATTTTAGTTTATTTTGCCACAATTTTTAAAATGGGGTAGTTATGCCTGTCTCCTTGTGTTGCTGTAGGATTTCATGAGATAACATATAAGGAACCACCCAACATGTTGCCTGGCACATAGTAACTGCTCAATAAATCACAACTGGATGCTATTGAAGATAAAGTTACCTGAGTTCTCTGAGGCTTGCTCTCTTCAGCTGAAAATCCTCCCAAAATATATTAGATGAGATCCTACTGTATTATACTGGGTTCATAAATAGCACTCCCCCTTTTCCCTTCCCACAGAGTGCAGTGAATAGAAGACACTTCTCTGCACCCCAAAAGCTCCATGCTGATTGCGAGAAGGAAATGCTGGATGGAGGAGTTCCTGGAACTACTGTGAGGGGTGAGCTTTCCCCAGATGTCTAGAAATGAGGCAGGGGCCCGACATCTTCCACCCCCACTAAGGTTGCCTTGCAGTTCCCAGCTGGCTCTATACTTCCTAGAAACTGCCATTTTTCTGCCTCCATTACCTCATAGCCCAGTCAGCACTATCATCATCATCACCATGATCGCCATCACCATCCTTACAATCACAAACACTATCATCGTCGCCATCACCATTCTTACCCTCGCCATTCTCACCATCATCAACACCAGCATCTTCACCGTAACTATCACTATCGTTATCACCACCTTCACCATCACCATCCTCACCATAATACTTATTGTCACCCTCCCCACCCTCATAATCATCATCATTATCACCATTACCATCACTATCATCATCACTATCACCATTCTCACCATCATCATCCTCATCATCACCATTATCCTCACCATAAATATCACTATTATCATCACAACCTTCACCATCACCATCCTTATCATCACCATCACAATCACCACCATCACCATTCTCACCATCACCATGTTCACCTTTACCATTCTCACCATCATCATCACCTTCATCATCCTCAACATAACTATCACTTCATTATCACCACATCCACTTTCACCATCACCATCCTCACCATCATCATCACCACCATCACAATGATCCTTGCTACATGGAACCATGCATTCTGGGTAGGAGGGCTCTTGGGTCAGGGCATCTAACACATCTTGTAGGATAGAAACCCAGCCCCTCAGGGTCTCACAGTTGGTGAAGTAACTGATTCTTGTGAGGTCATGTTTCTCTGGGTGATGTGGGATGTCACAAGACCAATAAATATGGGCTGAAGCCCATGGCATCACTTCTTTTTTTGTAAAATAAGCCCCATCATCAATAGTAATTGTATGATAGCAGAGAATAAGAACTCAGCAAATGTAAATAATTTGATGCTATGAGAAGCATATGAAGTGGAGTCCATATTCCGATATGCATCTATTCCAGTGAGGGCAATTCTTTACCACTTCCATGAAGGAAGGGAAAAAATATTATTACAACATTACCAGAAATCTGTCTGGTCTAGGCAAGGTAGCTCCTCTTTCCAGGGTCTCAGCATTGCTCATTGTTGGCAGTCAGGGCACTCATCTGGGCAGTAGGCAGCACTGCTGCAGGGAAGTTCATGTTATTGGAAACATGTAGCATCTTCTCCTGCTACCATCGCCACATTCTCCATGAACCCACTGGGCAAATGATGAGGAATGTGGGAAAAGTTCTCATAACCAGAATATAATCATCCACATCAGGATATCAGCATTCACCCAACACTACGGTCCAATCAACAGATGCTATAATCTCATCCAAATTTTCTCAGGTGTGCCCTAAATACATTTTTTTTTAACTTTGTAATCCGGGATCCAATCCAGGATTTCCCATTGCATTAATTGTCATGTATCTTAAGCTCCTTCAACTTCAAACAGTTCCTCTGTTTTGCCCTATTTTTCATAACCTTAAGAGTTTTAAAGAGCATAAGCATTTAAGAAGGATGTGTTCACCTTTTTCCATCTGATGTGTTTCCACATCCAGACTTAGGTCATGTATCTTTCACAAGAAAACCACAGAAATAATGCTGTGGTCTTCCTAGGACATCACAGCAGGAGGCACATGATCAAGTTTGTGCCAGATTTCTCCACTGCAAAGTCATCATTCTTCCAATTGTAATTGATAAGTATTTCATATGAAGATATTAATTATGCATACACATGAATGTATTTTATATGTAAAATACATACAAAATATTATTTCAATGTCTAACCAATATAAAAGTTATTAATTAGATATGTTTAATTTTATTTCCTACTAAGTCTTCAAAATCTGGTGTGTGTTTTACCCTGACAGCACATCTCGGTCCAGCCTAGCCACATTTCAAATGCTCAATATTCACATGGCTGTGGCTACCATATTTGTCAGGGCAGCACTAAAGCACTAAAGAACTTCTTCCTTGGAGAAGTTCTAAGCTTTCAAAAAGTTTGGCAAATACATTTTATAAAATTCTTCAGAATCCATAAATAGGCAATGACACATTTAGTAAGCCATAGAATCCAACATGACATTAAAAATGAATCCCTCGACAAAAAAGAAGGTAGGCAAAATGTTCTTCAGACCAAATGGACAAATCAATTATGATTACCTAACATGCCCATTATTATTTATTAACATCCTTCATTAATACCCCCAAACCCCATCAACAGGTAAATGAATAAATGCATTGAGGCCTATCTGAACAATATCCCAATTCCTTACCATTCTTACTTCTTTTGCAAGCAGAAAAGACTCAGTATTAGCAAAGACTATTCAGATAGTTTGTTCTTATGCCAGTAGTTGTAATTTCCTGGAGGTCTATGTGACATCAATTATGTACTTCAATACCTCTCACAAGTACTTTTCCTGTTTGGCCATTTTCTGCAGTATATCCATGCTCCCATTTTCTCTATTCTTTTATTTCTAGCCTAGACTTTTCTTTCATCCTATAATTCTTTATCCTAAAGATATTAATTTAAGGATAACATCACAAAATAGTATATTTCTTCAGATGATACTCCAAATTGATACCTAATATACAGAAATGACTATCATGGACATAACCCACAACATGTGAAATATATGGCTCATTCTACTGACATTATAAAGGAAAGTTAATGACAACTGAATTTCCAGTCATTGTTCACCCAACCAGTTGCTTATAAAATGGCAAGGAATTGTAGGTATGTACGCAGTGGCTATTTTTTGGTGGAGTGTTCAGCACCTCTCCTCTTGAGAGCCCCCCTTTTCTTTGGGGACCATTTCAATGAGCACCAACTGGGCCTGACCCAACCTACCAGCCCCAGCCCTAGAGGTGATCATGATGCCCAGCTCTGGCAAAAGACTCTACCCTTGGATCATAGCAACTGTTTCAGTACTTTTTTTTTTGGAATCATCAGGAAGGACTCTTGCTTTTTCTACCACTGTGGTCTGTGAGGAAAAAGTAAAGTGGGTTATTTGTAGCACTATCTCTTGCTACAGAGAGAGAAGAGAGTCATCTTCAGAAGGAAAAAATGAGGCTAAAACAAAAGGAAAAGTGTCAAGAGAAAGAAGGAGAACATTTCTTGAAGATTTTATATAAGCCCCCGGGTCCAGCTATGCATGACAGCGACTTGGGTTAAAGCTCTGTCACTTATAGGATCATTGACTTAAATATAAAATAAAGTATTAAAAGCTATGAAGTTTTAGATGAAAATACAGAAAAAAAATCTTTGTAATATTCAATTAATCAAAAAGTCTTAGATGAAGCCCCAAAAACCAAATGCACAAGAACAATTAATAAATTGGACCCCATCAAAATTAAGAGCATCTGCTATTTGAAAGATAATGTTATGAGAACAAAAAAGAAAACTCAACGGGAAAATACTGGCAAATCTCATATCTAATAAGGGATTTGAATCCAGAGTATATAAAGAAACTATTAAAATTTAATAATGAGAAAATAAGCAAAGAAAAAAACAAAAAAGGGAGAAGCAAAAAAAAATGTGAACATACACTTTACCAAATATATACAGATGGCATGTAAGTATATAAAGAGATACTACATATTATTAGGCATTATGGAACCACAATAAAATACTATTGTACACACGTGAAAATGTCTAAAATTTTAAAAGAAGGCCCATACAAAGTGTTGGCAAGAGTGTGGAATTCTTATATACTGCTGATAAAAATATAAAATGGTACAACCATTTTGGCAAACATTTTGACAGTCTCTTAAAACTAAACCTAAACCTATTAGCTATTACACTCCTAATATTTACTCAAAGTTATAAGAACTTATGTACATGAATGTTCATTGCAAATGTATTTGTATAAGTCCAAAACCGGAAGCAATGCTGAAACCCATCAACAGGCAAATGGATATATAAGTTGTGACCGATCTGCACAATAGAATACTACTCAGTAATAAAATTAATGACCTATTGATGCCTGCAATATAGCTGAATCTCAAAATAATTATGCTGTGTGAAAGATGCCAGACACCTCCAAAAAAGGGTCCGTACTACACTTCATTTATATAAATGTCTAGACAAGGCAAACTATTTTATAGTGACAGATTGGTTATTGCCAGGGAGAGTGGTAAGGTAGGAAGATACAGAAAGTTTGGGATTATAAAAGGGCAAGGGGAAACTTTTATGAGTGCTGGATATGTTCATTATTTTTATTTTGGTGATGGATTTGCAAGTACATATAATAAATAACACGCAATGGAAGTAGAAACAGTTTTTTTGTTTCTTTCTTTAAAAAGCACAATTTACTTACTAATGGGATGTGTGTGCCTGTTGGGCACACAGCACAACTTTTCAAATCTTAAAATCAGACTGGATCTCAACCACTGGACCTTATTCCTATTCCACACTGACTTTAGCACAATACTTGCTTTCTTCGCGGTAATTAACAACACCCACCTTAAAGGTAAAGAAATGCACTTCTAACTAACTACTTTTGAAACTATAAACTGCCTCAGCTAGTAGTTCTTAAGGTCTCCAGCAAATGTTGCTTCGTTTCCCTCGAAAATATACAGCCTGGGCAACATGGCAAAACCCCGTCTCTACTAAAATTACAAAACTTAGCCAGGCATGGTGGTGCATGCCTGTTGTCCCAGCTACTCAGGGAGGCAGAGGCTGCAGTGAGCCTAGACCTCACACTCCACTCCAGTCTGGGGGACAGAGTGAGACCCCCATCTCGAATATACACACACACATACACAGACTCACACGCTATCCGCTGGTGCCCCTGTCAGTTAAACACAGCATCTCAGGGCACCTTAGCACACAGTGTGAGAGCCGTGGTCCTAAACACTTCAATTAGAAGTGAAACATCTCTGGCTGGATTTTTAGAATATTTACTTTTTAATGTTTTATATTATATTTATTTTTTATGTTTTAATTAATTTATCTGAATACAAGACTCCAGACATTTGGAAGTAAAACAATGGAAAACATGCCTGCAAACACTAATCAGCACAAAGCTCATGTTGCTATGTTATTATTGACAGTTTAGATTTAAGCAAAGAAATATTGCTAAGATAAAAAAGATTTTACAATGTCAGTCACTAGAAAAGTATGCCAATTTTAAATATGTATAAATATAAAATACCCCTTCAAATTATTTACTACAGAAACTGATATAACTAAAAGAAAAATGGACTAATCTACAATATAGATTTTAACATACCTTTCAATTACCGATGGGACCAACAGAAAAAAATCCATAAGAGAAAGGGAGATTTGATGAACACAATGAACAAATTTGACATAAACTGACATATACAGAACGCGACACTCAACAACTACTGAATACACATCCTTTTCCAGTGCACGTATCATATTTACCAACATAGATTATACGTTGGAATTTAAAGGGACTCATCACAGAGTATTCAGTCGTGGGATTTTGCCTAAACTTGTCTGGCCTTCAACAGAGTTCAAATACAGTTAAATTCTTATTTCATCTAAAGAGTCCTATCCTTTTTTTTCGGAAATTTTACCGCAACAATCTAAATTTGCATAACAACTGAACCCAGCCCTTGGAACTTGAAGTTTATTCTAGCCAAAGGCAGATTAAACTGTCTAAGTAGTAATGTCCTTCAAATTGTTGTCCCCTGCTCCAGTAACGGAGTATAGCTCCAAGAAGCTAACAGACTATTTGTCCTTCATAGTATACATTCTATGTTACATCAAAACGTGGTATAAAGCCTTGAAATCAGCAGCAGAGAGAAAATGAGATCAACAACCATCTAGCCATGACCTCACTACTTAGTAATTACGCTTTTAGCTGACTCCTTTACTTGATTCCTAACTGCTTATTTCTGGCAGGGTAGCACTAATCTCTGACCAAGCTGACCTTTTAAGAAATGAGCAGAACGAAAAGGCTCTACCACCAGTGATCAGTTTAACAAGCTGCAACACTAGTCACTGGCTGCATCTCTAGTCACTGGCTGCAACTCATATTGTGGGTTTTAAGAGCTCACAATTAACATGGAGATACTATTGACTCGAAAAGAAACCCAGAAATCTCTGGGAATCCAGCAAAGATAGAAAGGGTCCTCTCAATAGTCACCACTCACACTTTGCTTTGTTTTGGTAACTATTTTGTTACATACGGAGAATATCAAAAAAAGTATGCCTTTTCCTCATTGTTAATGCTAACCCTAAAATGGTAAGGCTCTTGCAGGTTGAAACCCCCAGGCTCTCACTGGCCCTTCAACAGAAGGCAGTGAAGTCACCTGCAAGAGCGATCACCCAAAAGCTTCCAGGCTGGACAAGTTTGGACTCAGTTCTTGCAGTTCCCAAATTCACAGTTCTCTTGGGACATGGTTATTTACGGAGCTCCTGAAGATGAGAAATTCCACCCAGGAAATTCTGTTTATAAAAGATTATTCACATCTAATTATCTCAGGAGACATTAACACAGCAATGTTGAAAATCTCCCATTGTTAATCCATGGAGAAAAACTGGACAAATATTTTTTAAAATATGAAAAGCTTCGTATAATACAAATTATACTTCCATATGTGATTCAATTTCTATTCATTAATGCCAGAGAAGTTAATAATTATGAATTGCCAGTGGTTAAAAAAAAACATTCATCATTGGAGAAGTGCAGAAGGTTTAAAAGAGATAAGAATTAGTTTTTGGCTTTGGGGCGTTTTATGCTTTCCAAAAGGTTTTGCTCTTTTTTTTTTTTTTTTTTTTTTTTTTTTTGCGCATAGCTTTCTCTCTCTCTCTCTCTCTCTCTCTCTCTCTCTCTCTCTCTCTCTTTCTTTCTGATTTCAGCTTCTTTTGATTTCTCCTGCTTAGAAATGGTGAGAGAACTTTGGATGTGGAATGTGGAGTAGGAGGAACACGAAGTGGGGATCTGCACTTGGGGTGGTCAGCACTGCGGATGCCCAGCAAAGGCACTGCCTGGTCCACATCCCGGAGTGGTCTCTGCGCCCGAGTCGGCATCGCAGCTGATGGTGAAACTTTTGGTGTGGCAGAAGAGTGTCCACAAACTTTGGAAGGTATCCGCTGCCTCCTCCATAGCCGTGTATCCCTGCCGAGGGCAATCATCTCGGGGAGCCGAAAGTCCGGCTCATGGGCCAGGGCTGGCTGGCTGGAGCCACTTGCGCGGCGCAGCCCTGGCGGAGGTTCAGGCGGCCCCGGTGTCGCAAGCGGCTGTGAGTGATGCCTCCTTGGTGCCGGAGGGGTCCCAGGAAGTCTGCAGACCAGGGCTGACCAGCGGGCAGCATGGTGGCCGCGATGGAAGGTGACGGGGTTCGCAGCGCCAGGGGACCCAGCAGAGCCAGAGCCCGGGCATCCCGCATCTCCAGCAGCACCGCGGGGAGGCCTGGCGCTGGTGACGTGGCGGCCAGTGCACAAGGCCCACGACCCAGTCCCAGAGGCCAGCCCATCGTCAGCTAACTTCAGGAACCCCGGGCCAGCTGAGGCCCCGGGCCCCACGGGCAAGACAAAGGGCAGAGGGTCCGCAGGCGGGGCCGAGAGCAGGCAGTGCAGGCCTGGCTCCACAACCGCGGAGCTCGCAGGGCGCAGCAGGCACCCGGCAGCAACCAGGGCTTCCAGAGGAGGCTGTGCACCCCCGCAAAGGCTCCTGCCCGGCGTACAGCCTATCCGCGGGGACTCCACGTGCACCCCCTCCTCATTGTCCTTGTCTAGGGTCGCAGCAAGGTCCTCGCTCCCATGGCCTGACTCTGGGGACGCAGGAGCCTGGGCTGAGCAGGTGGAGTAGGGTGAGCACCGCCAAGAACCCAGCGAGAGTGGCGCCCCAGGGCGGCACAGAAGGCCGCATTTAACGTATAAATCATCTCAAAGATTTTATGGCATCTTCTTTTTTTTGACATCTTATAATATCTATAATGTCTATTATATCTTGTGATATAATTATTAACACCACTTCATTGTGATTATTATGATTATTTTTATACCAACACATCTTCGATTATTAATATTCCCAGTTGCTAGAGAAAAATGAAAACGACTAGTTTTGAAAGCCTTACTTCTGCCAATGGAAGCACATTCCAGCATGTCGACAAGGCAATCCACTTTCCACCACTTTCACAAGAAACGTTACTGCACAATTTTACTATCCTACCCTTATATACTTTTTGTGTGTGTGTGTGTACTTGTATGCATGTATGTTACATATGTTATATATATATATATATATATATAAAGTATGCCAGAGATGAACAAGTATTAGAAAATTAAATGCACACGAGTCATGTCAGTGCTATGTATAATGTGGTGTACTAAGTATAGATGTTCAACAGTGTGGGATCCAGGCCAGAACAAGACTCCTAGTCTTAAGCAATTCTTTCTAGGTTCAGTCTCTGGAAATAATGCTTTGTATCAAATGTGCGAGAAAATTAATGGGTTTTAAAGACTATTCTATGTCAACTATAACATTTCATTTGGGGATTTCTGTCCCTTATAGTATCTACCTCATTTTGGATGGATTCCTTGAGGGCTGGTTTATTTTTCTTTTCCTTTCTATACATCGCTGCTCAGAGTGATGAATGGCGTTGTATTTTGAATAAAATATCTAAGCATCCTTTTGTGAGCAAGGAGCATGATGGTTGGTACTTAGACCTACCATTTCTCGTTACAGTGGTTATGGTTACAGTGGGGCTGGGGTGTTTACCTGGAGCCTGGACGTCCACTGGGACATGATACCCACTGGGATTTTTTTGTGTCAACCTGGTCTATGATGTCCACCTGGGGACTGGGTATCCACCTAAGGCCTGATGTTTACCTGGAGCCAGATGTGCACCTGAGGCCTGATGTCTATCTGTGGCCTTATGTTCACCTGGGGACCGATGCACATCTGAAGCATAGGTATTCACCTGGGGCCTCATATCCACCTGTAGTATGGGTGTCAACCTTGGGGCGGATGTTCAGCTGGCGTCCACTCTCTACCTGGGGCCTGGTGTACACATGGGGCCTGGGCATCCACCTGAGACTTGATGTTTAATATGGTCTGGAGTTTTCTTGGGGCCTGTTCTCCCCTGGAGCCTGGGTGTACACCTGGAGCCTGATGTCCCAGGTGGACACCCGGGTCCCAGGTGATCTTCAGGCCCTAGGTGAAAACTCCAGGCTCTAAGTGGACAACCAGGCCCCAGGCTGATGTTTACTGGGGCCAGATGTCTACCAGGCCCCAGGTGAAAACTCCAGGCTCCAAGTGGACAACATGGCTCCAGGTTCCAGGTAGACACTGGAATCCAAATCAACACCAGGCCCCAGATGGACACCCCGGCCTGTGGTGGACATCAGACTCCAGAAGGTCATCTGGCTGGAAGTGGACATCAAGCCCCAGGTGGATACCTAGTCCCCAGGTAGATATCAGGCCCCACTTTGACACCAGTCCCTGGGTAGATACCTTGGCCTCAGGTGGATATCCAGTCTCTAGCTAAGCCTCAGGCTCCAGGTGGACCCAGGCCCCAGCTGACTGGGGACTAGTGTTCATATGGGGCCACATGTCCATCTGGGCCCTAGGTGTCAACTTGTAGCCTGATGTCAACCTGGGAGCTGGTGTTCACCAGAGGACTAAAGTCCTCCTGGTGGCTGATGTCCAACTTGGGACTTTGTGTCCACCTGGAGACTGATGTCCACTTGGGACCAGATGTCCAACTGGAGCAAGATGTCCACCTGTAGCCTAGAACTTCACCTAAGGCCTGATGTTCCCCAGGGCCTACAGGGCCTGTGTATCTACCTAGGGACTTGTGTCCAGGTGGGGCCTGAGTTCCATCTGGGGTCTGGAATTAACCTGGGACCTGATGTCCACCTGAGGCCTTGGTGTTCCTCTGGAGTCTGATATCTATCTGGGGCCTAGGTGTCCTCCTATGGTCTGATGTCCACTTGTAGGCTGGTGTCCACCTGGGGCCTGGGTGTCCACCTAGGAACCTGATGTATACCTGAAGTCCAGTATCTACCTGGGTACTGATGTCTACCAGGAAAGTGATATAAACCTGGGGCCTGATAGCCACCTGGGCCCCGAGTGTCCACATATGTTCTGATTTCTGCTTTTGGCCTGAGTGTAGGGCCTGGGTGCCACCTGGGTCCTGATGTTCACCAGGAACCTAGGTATTCACTTGGGGCTTGCTGTCCACCTGGGGCCTAATGTCCACGCGAGACCTGGTGTTCACCTAGAGCCTGGGCATCCCCCTGTGGCCTGATGTTCAGTTGGCGACTGGGAATTCCACTAAGGCTTGATGTCCACCTGGGGCATAGGTGACCACTTGTGGCCTAGTGTTGCCCTGAAGCCTAGGTGTCAACCCAGGGCATAATGTCTTCTTGGGGCCTGCTGTCCACCTGCAGACTGGTGTCTGCATAGGGCCTGGTATCCACCTGGGGTCTGGTGTCTGCATGGGGCCTAGTGTCCACCTGAAGACTGAGTACAGACCTCACACCTGATGTATGCCTGGGGCCTATTTATCCACCTGGGGACTAGCATTCATCTGGCGCCTCATGTCCACTTAAGCCCTGGGTGTCAACCTGGTGCCTAATGGCCACCAGGGATCTATGTACTCACTTGGGGCCTGGTGCTCCCATAGGGCCTAGGTATACACCTGGGGAATGATGTGCAGGTGGAGGCGGATGTCTTCCTGGGTGCTGCTGTTCACCTGGGGACAAGGGTCTCCCTGGGGACCGGTGTTTATCGGGAGCCTCATATGCACCTTGAACCTGCTGTCTACCTAGGGCCCGATGTCCATGTTAAGGCTGGGTGTCCACCTGGGACCTGGGTGTCCACTTGGGGCCTAATGTCCACCTAAGACCTAGTGTTCACCTAGGGCCTGGGTGTCCACCTGGAGCCTGATGTTCAGCTGGAGATGCATCCACCCGAGACCTAGGTATCCACCCAGGGTCTGGTGTCGAACTGAGGCCTTATGTCCACCGGGGGACTAGATATCTACCCGAGGCTTGATGTCCACCTGGAGCCCATATCCACCTCAGAGCTGGGTGTCCACCCAGGTTCTGGTATCCACCCGGAGCCTGGTGTTCATCTGGGGCCCGGTGCCCACCTGGAACCTGGGTATCACCATGGGGCCTGGGTGTCCACTTGGAGCGTGGCGGGTTCCAGCCCAGACGCAGGGGTCAGCGAGGGGTGATGTGACAGTGAGCACAGACCCTGGGTGGTGGTGACAGTGGCTGTCATGGGGAGGAAAGGAATGGAAAAGGGACCTCATGGGAGCAGAAAGACAGGCCTTAGCTGCAGATGGGCCAGGACCCCGCCAGGAATCCAGAACCCGCATCCTAATCCCAGCTCCGCTGTAAGTCCACAGCGGAACTCTGGCAACGACTTTCCCGTTTCTGAGCCTCATTTTACTCATCAGTAAAATGGTGACGATAAATCCAACTTCACCAAGGAGATGCAAGGCTCAATGAGATGATGGATCTGAAAATGCCTTATGTTTCGTGGCACAAAGGAGAGGGATTCCTGACATGCGACAAGCACAGGGAGAGAGGAAGGATGGGGTCTGTAAATGGCCAGGTGGCAGCCCCACCCCTCCACACACACAAACACCCACCGTGTCACCCACACTGGTGATTTTCCCAGGAGCTCCCCTGGCCTGGAATTAGCACTGTCAGGTGGGCAGGGAGGACTGCAGTCCCATTACAGGGGTGAGGATACAGGCTGTGGATGGTCCCACAGGGAATAAGGAGCAGGGTCTAGCTCCCCATGGCAGGCAGGGAAGATTGAAGTTGCTCCCTGGGAAGAGGAAGGGAGACATTGACTGGCACTCCGTGATTTAGATGAGAAGCCCAGGCTCAGCCCGGTGACTTGAGCTTCCTGATGTAGAAGGTGAAGGATGCAGAGGAGACAGAGGGCAGGAGGAAGAAGATAAGGAAGAGAGCAGCAAACTGGAGTCACTACAGGACACTAGCTCCTCCAGGCTGCTCTGTCCCATTCTAAGAGAAAAGGAAAAGTGGGAATGGGGATCACAGATCATGTCCAGATTTCTCACTGGCATGGATGCTGCTATGGAAACATCCCTGATGGTCCAGGTTTGTGGTGGGAGAGATTGCAACACTCTGCTTCCTGGAAATCTGTGTTTACAGCCAACACAGTTGCTGCCCGAGACAGCCCCACCTGAAAACCCCAGAGCTGCCCCAGCTTGCCAGGCTTCCCCTCCTCCTGTTATCATCCCATGCTGCTGAGAACCTGCCTGGCAGGCTGCCCAGCCAAGGCCGGGGCCTAATCTCAAGTGAAACTGACATGTCCTCGTGAGGGCTGAGGAACATCCTCTCTCCCCACAGAGCCTCACTCAGGTTCTCATCTACTTCCTTGGGGTCTGCCCCGCCTCCCTCAGGAGTTTGGAACCACATACTGTTCTGGAGGGGACCTCTCACTGCTGCAGAACCTGTCCTCCAGGATACCCACAAGTGTTCATCTCGGTCGTGGCTAATTAACTTATCATATGGTAGTGAACTACCTTCTGGGGCCTCAATATTTAGTTTATTTTCTAAAAATAAAATTAGTACCATTGTTTATTTTCTGAATGTACAGAAATATTTGTCTGATTATTATTTACATGCCCTTTGGGAAAACTTTATAAAATAAAAAAAGAAGGAGAATCCTACCACACAGAGATAATCACTTTATTTTTCTATTTATATTTGCACATACAGGTATATATGGGATCATGCTCTGTATCTGTTGGGAGTGCATTAATCTGAAAGTTCAGTCACTTAAACAAAGACAGGTTCATTTTTCTTACATAGTTAGGGTATCTATGGTTCCTGGCTATGGTTCACTGGTTCAACAATGTTAGACCCAGCATCTTTGTGAGTTTATTGGAATTTAGCTCATGGCTGTAAGACGGCTACTGCAGCTCCAACCACTACATGAGTTTACAAGGCCAGCAAAAGCAGTCACTTCTGTATTCTTATTAGAAAAGCAGGAACTTCAGAGGTGACCCCCAGAGGATTTCTCTTTAGGTCTGGAAATCTGTGTTTAGATTGGCCAGAACCTGATCTCATGACCATCTCTAGCAGTAGAGAATAGCATTGTCATGATTGACTTTGGATCAATCATAATTTATTGACTGAGAGTGCATATGTGGTCACCCAAAGAAGATCAAGAAAGGAGGGAATTAGCAGTGTGTACTACAGTATGCATGCTGTTTTATGATCTGCTCCTTCTCTTAATTGCGTATTTCAAACATCTTTCCATACTAAGAAATACAGATTCAGTCATTCATTTAACAACAAATTATTGAGAGTGTACTGTGTTCCAGGAACTTAACTTGGCATGGAGGACACAACAATGAACATAGTATACTCCTTGCCTCCATGGAGCTTAGCATCTAATGAGGGATACAGAAAGTCATCAAAGAGGTTCACAAAGAAATGTAAAATTACAATTGTAATTTGCTGAAAAGAAGGGAGGTGTGTGGTGTGTGAGAGCAGTGACAGGAGATTTGACTCAATCAGGAGGGTCTGTGTTCTGAATGGCCATAAGCCAGCCCCTTGCCTAGCTGTAGCACAATTATTTAGCCAATCTCTTATTGCTGGACATTCACAGTTTTCCCACATCTTACTTACTATCATCAATGAAACAATAAATACCCTTCTTTAAGTACTGCTTGGCACACTTGTCTGATTACTTCCTCAGGATAAATTCCTAGGGTAAAGCCAGGCACCATGGTTCATGTCTGTAATCACAGCTACTCAGGAGGCCAAAGTGGGAGGATCACTCGTGGCCAGTAGTTCGTGGCCAGCCTGGGCAACATAGGGAAGTCTTGACTCAAAAAAAAAAATCCTGGAAGAAATGAACAATTCTTAGATGTCGAATTGCCAAATCAAGGGGTGCACCATCACCATCCCCATACTCACCATCACCATCCTCATTATCATCATCAGTCTCACCCTCACCATTCTCACCAGCATCAGCAGCAGCATCCTCACCATAATTATCAGTATCATCACCACCTTCACCATCACCATCCTCACCATCACCATCATCTTCATTATCACCACCACCATTTTCACCATCACCATCCTGACCATCACCATCATTATCACCTCATCACCATCCTTATCATCACCATCACCATGCTCACCTTCACCATTCTCACCATCATCCTCCTCCTCAGCATAACTATCACTATCATTATCACCACCTTCACCATCACCTTCCTCACCATCACCAACATTATCACCATCACTATCCTCACCATCATCCTCAACATCATCATCCTCCTCAGCATAACTATCACTATCATTATCACCACCTTCATCATCACCATCTTCACCATCATCATCATCATCACAACCACAATTATGAAAATCTTGGAGGAAAAGGAGAGGAGATAGCATATTAAAATACAGGTACTTTGATGCGGAGGAACAGGCAGAGTTGAAGCTGGGGAGGGGATATCAAACAATGGAGACCCCCAGAACATAAAACTAAGAAGCTCAGGCTTTGCTGAGAATCAGAGGCATCCTTGAAGATTTATCAGCAGGAGAGTATGCAGATTCCTCTTTAGCCAGAACATTGAGCAGTCCTCAGAAGGAAGAAGCAGAGGGAGGGAGGCCCACAGAGGAGACAGAACCTTCAACACCAGCCAGGGTCCTGGTCCTGGGTCCAGCAGATCTGGCAGGAATGAGGAATGGGAGGCTCATGGGTAAAGGCTGCAGCCAGGCAGGGAAAGGACTCACTCTCCCTGCCACTCCTTTCCCTGCTCCCCACTTTCCTGTCCCATCTTTGCTAATAGGCTCAGCATCTCCAACTGCACCCACCCACTAGATTTGCCTGAATTCCTCCTCCTCTCTCATGCCTGAGGCCCAGGTGGCTTCCAGAGCTGACCAGGTCTACTTTAGAATTTTAATGAGATAATCTGGGTAGAAGTGCTGGTGCCCTGCCAGCCACAGCAGGTACTCCTCATATGGTAAACTGGAACTGTCTTCTCAGTTCCTACAGCCTTGGGTTCAAATTCTGCCTAATCCAGATGACCACTGTCTCTCACCTGAGCAGAGAAGCCTCCCATTGGTCTCGCTGCCCCAGACCTTCCTCTTTCCAGATATCAGCCTGACAATTTTCTCAAACTGCAAACCTGGTCATGTCCCTCCCTTGTCCTTTTGATTAAAGGGTAAGATCCAAATTCCTTAGCATGACACCCCAGGCACTGAGGAGCTGAGGCCCCTCCATTTCCACCTTGACTTGTTCCCCTCCCCGTCTAGTAGCATTGCTGACCCACTTGCCTTGTTCTTTCACCACATGGCTTTGATCCTGTTGCTCTTCTGCCTGGAGCATCTTCCTACATCTTCTCTGCCTGGTGAATTTCTACTTAACCTACAAAGCCAAGCTCACCTTCTCTGTGAATCCTACTTCCTCCCCATCATGCCGCAAATTGTCTCTCTCACTAGACCTCCAGCCCCTAAAAATCAGGGACAGGTTAATCCATGTTGGAAATGGCTACTCCTCACTTAATTACCCTAATTAGCTAGTTATATTCCCTTATATTTATGTTTCCCCATTTACTGAAGCTTTCCACAGGCCAGGCACTGAGATCCAGGGGAGGACCCTGAGGGTAGGACAAGCATGAGCACTGAAGGCTACAATGGCACAGGCACCAACAGACCATGTGGGGTGCAGGAAGCCTCATCTCTAGAGTGTCTTCCTGGTTTACCATACGCTTTCTTCCCTTCCCTTATTGGAGTCACCTTGTGCTGACTTTGATAGCCTGTGTCCCTGAAACATGCACTCCCACACACACAAACCGACCCACACCTATCCACATGTACCTGCCCATACATACACAGACCTCTCTGTGTATCCCCCAGAGCTACAAATGCCAATCTTGAGAATGAAGATTTTGCAAGTGCTCTGTGCCAGGCATGATGCCAGGTCCCTGACAACACAAGACTCCTCTGGTTTCTCCCACTCAGCTGTGCAAGGTTCGGGGTTGAGGAGCTCCCCCTGCCAAGGTCACAGACGTGGAACATGAGGTAACAGCTATTTGAATGTAAGCCTGTAGGTCACCAAAACATAAGCCATCTGCCCCCCACCACACTGCCTCCAAAGCACATGAAGCCATGAGTCTATCAACTGTGACTCATTAGTACCCAGTAATATTTCCTCCTCCACTTCGCTTCCCACTGCCACTCCAGTATCTCTGCCCACAGTCCCAGAGCCACCTCTGCTTAACGGGGAGGTCAGGAGAGATGCTCCATTCCACCCAATGCCATCTCCCAGGGTGCAGCCTCCTCACGGGAAAGAGGACTACCATGGCTAGTGGTGACATGGGTGGCTCTGGCCCCCAGGACTTCTCCCCGGGACTTCTGCTCAGGACATGGCACGGACAGAGGTGAGGTTACCATAAAACTGCCTTGGAAATGACTACAAACCAGCTCAGACCATTCCAGCACCTAACACACTGACAGCCCACGGTGGGCCCACAGAAGGGGAAGGGCTAGGGAGTCCAGGGCCGCAAGAGTTCACCCTCCCTGAGCCCTTGAGCACAGCCACCCAGGTGTAAAGGACAATATGGGGGTTCTGGGGATTCCCAAGCCTGGGCCCTAGAGGTGAGTTCTAGCAGGGCCCCCAGATATCATCCCCGTCCATCCCCTCATCCTGTCTCACATATTGTAAAAACAAGGAAACTGAGGCCTAGAGAGGGAAGGGGCTTGAGCAGTCTCCCAGGCAGTTAGAGACAGAGCCCAAGTGAGAATCTGTGTTTCTCTCATTTTTTTCCCCTAGGTCTGTCTCTGACTAGCTATGTGACCTTGGAAGAGGCACTCCACCTCTCTGGGCATTGACGGTTTACAACTTCTGACATGTTCATTCCAGAGGGTTGTCAGGACCTGACAGCCCTTCACCTAAACAAAACACTCTACAGTCTACTAATATTCGTATATCTCTTCTCTTCTCTGACCTCTGTAATAGCCCTATGAGGCTGTGAAAATTGGTTCTTGTGTCAGAAAGACAAAGATCACGCAGAAAATTTGGGACAGGACTGGAACTAGAACCCAGGTCTCCCAAAGCAGGGTCCTTGCCATCACTAAGGCTAGGAATACATTAAGACTCCAAAATATGGAGAGTTGCTCAATGCATGCCACCAAGGTTAGAGCTGACCAACCCCAGAATGCTCAGTGGCTCTGAGACCCTGGAGTGGAGGACTCAAGGCAGAGGGTGATGCCGAAATCACACACATCTGAGCTCCAATCCAAACTCCACTACGCAGCTGTGTGACCCCACTTTATGAGGCTCAGCATTCTCTAGTACAAAATGAAACTACAGAAGGTACCAAAAAGCTCAGGATGAGGGGAGAACTGCACCCTGAATGCAGGACTGCCAGGCAGGTGGTAAGCACTCATTAGCTTGTTTCAAGCACACAAATCATATGTTGTTTTTCATCATGTCTCCCCATGGTGTCTGGTCTATGGCTCCAGAACCAGGAGGCTTCTGATCAATCCTTATGCTAAATGATAGACAGATAGATGGGTGGGTGGTTAGACAAATAAATGGATGGATGCATGGATTGATAGATTGATGCTGGGATGAATGGATGGATGAATAGATGGATGAATGGATAAATGAATGGATAGGTGCTCAGAAGACAGAATAAAACAGGGAGTCAAAATGAAAATAACAAGATGATTGAAGGATGGGGCTGATACATGGAAGAGAGGTACAAGATCCAGCCCTTCTGGCTCCATTCAGCCCCACAACCACATACCTTGGGGTAGCACTGGCACATGCTCCAGATGATACCCCTGGACACCATGCTGCTGCCACAGAAGGCTTCATTGAACTGGGGCCCATCACGGCTCAGGAGGAATGTACTGAGAGCCAGGAGAAGACCAATACATTGAAGCTGAAGCAGAAGGTCTTCTCATCTGCCAAAGTCTCCTCACCTGCTATGGCTGCCAGCCAGGCCCTGACCTGTGCACCCTGCCAGAAGTGGCCTGTGCCATCCAGCATAAACATCCAGACAAGCTCACAGGAAGAGATGAAGCTCTTGGATCACTGCAAATCAAGGCTTAAAGTTAAAGGGAGGGCAAGACCCCTTCAGATCCAGGCCCATTCCCTGGACCCACCAGTGCAGCAGGGCTGAAGGCAGCATGCTTCGGTGGACCAGTGAACCCACTCCCCACCCTCTCTCCTTCCCTTGGGGCCCAGAAGGCCTGGAGTGCATGTGTGAACATGGGTGAGGGAGCATGCAAGGGAGGGACAAGGGGAAGTTACAGGGGCTGGGCCCCAGGCAAGCCTGTGACAAAACCTTCTTTGCCTACTTTGGGGCTGAACTGAGTAAGCAGCTGATCCCACACCTTCTAGCCCTGGGAAACAGGGTACAATTCTGCAGCCAAAATATGTTAGAATGCTGCCAGAGGATTTCAGGATCCCACTGCCAGGCATTTCAGGATCCTAGATTTTAGACCCTTCAAGGATATGTGTCCATCTGGGATTCAGGCATGATGGCCCATATGTAGTGGATGGTGATGATGGGCATGGCATCATTATAAGCATGTTACAGCTGTAACTCAAGGGACTCCATGAGGCAGGTATTGCTACACCCACTATGCAGAGGACACTGAGCACAGACAACTAACTTGCCCAAGGTCGCACAGCTGGAAATGGTAGAGAAGCTGGAATTTGAACCCAGAAGCTGTGCCCCTGGCCACAGGGCAATCCTGCTTAAAGGCAGCACGAGGTTATGGGTGAGAGCGCTGATGGCAAGGCAGGCTGCCTGGGTTTAGATCCTGGCTCCTGTACTGTGGGGCAGCGTGGTCTTGATCACATTACCTGCCTGTGTCTGTTTCCTCCTCTGTAAAATGGGGATAATAACGGTACCTCCCAGCATTGGCGCTGTCTCCAGGCCTAGGTGTCCTGGATCCTTCTGCCCCCTTTACACTCTGTGCAGCACCCAGACCTGCTTGTAGTGAGCTCCTCTACTCCCCCACCAAAGCTCTGGTGAATTAATGTCCCTGTGGGGTATAAGTGACTGACAGTAACTTCCTCAATCTCCTTGCAGCCTAATCTAAGAAGATGCCTTCTAAAGAATAGCATTCTAATGTGAAATTTTAGTCCTGTGAAAGGCTAATGGGAGAAATCAGATTCCTTTACAAGATTACAGAAAAAACAGGACAATGAGTATCTCTAAAAGAGAATGTTCACTTGGAGTGTTGATGGGGTTAGGTGGCCAATACAGGATGAAAGGCTTTCATTTGGCTCCCTGACCTGCTGGATTTGGGGATTTCCCTGGTCCTGGTCATTACCTCTTTCCTCCTGCCCTGCATGTGCTCACACCAGCCCCCCTGCCTCATAGTCCTTCCCACAGGCCTTTTTTCTTACATTATTTTAGAGAAGGTAAGCTCAGAGGGGCTTTTAATATGCCAATCAATGTTAATAAAACACAAGCCAAAGACAAGTGCAAACATGCTTTCAACCAACATTAATGAGGAAACAAGACACAAATTCTTTTTCTTTTTATATTTTATTTTATTTTATTTTTGAGATGGAATCTCGCTCTGTCGCCCAAGCTGGAGTGCAGTGGCGTGATCTCCACTCACCACAAGCTCCTCCTTCTGGGTTCACGCCATTCTCCTGCCTCAGACTCCTGAGTAGCTGGGACTACAGGCACCTGCAACCACGCCAGCTAATTTTTTGTATTATGGTAAAGATGGGGTTTCACCGTGTTAGCCAGGATGGTCTCGATCTCCTGACCTTGTGATATGCCTGCCTCAGCCTCCCAAAGTGCTGGGATTACAGGTTGAGCCACTGAGCCTGGCCCTGTTTGTTCTTTTACATTAAATTTACAATGTATTTGCCATGTTTTAAAAATAAATTTAATTGGAATTTTATTGAAATTGTATGAGACATGATTTAGTCCAAGATGAACACACAACATTATTATTACTGTTTCCATCCAGCTATGGCACATTTCTTTGTTTCCTCTAGTTGTCTTTTATATCGCTCAATAAAATTTGTGGCTCTGGTACATTTCCTAATAATCATACATTATATTTCATTATTTCTAATTATTATAATGGATTGCATGTACATTAACTATGTACCACATATTATGCAATATATTCATTATCTCAATTCATAAAACAATCATGTGATTTAGTTGGTGTTATTACTAGATTATTACCATTGTACAAGTAAAGAAAATAAAGACAAAAGAAAAAAGAAAAGAGACTCGGCAAAATCAAACCAATAAAGACTTAATTAGAATTGTTGGGTATATAATAAAAATTTAATACAACTCAATGAAAGCAAAAAAACATTTTAAAAAATGACCAGGCAGATTTGAGAAGGAGCCAAACAGAAATTCCAGAAATAAAAACATAATTGTTGAAATTGAAGACAGATTTGACAGCAGATTACATATAATTGAAAAGGAAAATGCAAACTGGAAGACAGGCTGAAGAAATTGCTCAGAAGGAAGCCCAAAGAAGTAAAAAATAAGAAACAAACAAGAGACATGGAAGACAAGAGTGATATTACAACTAACAGGATTTCATAAGTAGAACAATAAACTGTTAGAAAGGTTTTGTAAAAAAGATAATGGCTTGGAATTTCCCCAAAGTGATGAAAAACTCCACCCTTCATATTCAGGAAGCTCAAGTTGGACAGATTTAAAAGGGAAAAAAAAAACCACCTAAATGTATCATCATAAAAATAACGGAACCCTGAAGAAAAGAATATATTGAAAATAAGCAGAGAGAAAATTCACTTTATCCATGAAAGAATATGGACTTAGACCAAGAGCTAATGTCTTAAAAATGGAAGCAAGAAGACAATGTACTAAGAAAAAATAATCACATATGAAATTAATATATCTTTTAATAAACAGCCCAAATATAAGACAATATTTAAGTCATAAAAACCAAACAAATACTGACTTTGCTAACTAAGAGACCTTCACTAAAGGA
Organism: Homo sapiens; assembly: GCF_000001405.40. Lineage (NCBI taxonomy): Eukaryota > Metazoa > Chordata > Mammalia > Primates > Hominidae > Homo > Homo sapiens. The sequence continues at coordinate 21,643,548 of NC_000017.11, read as the reverse complement.
AATTCTAAGAGATGTTCTTCAGTAGAAGAGTGTTCCCCTAGATGAAAGACTTAAGTTGTGAGAAGAAATGGTGAGCACTTAAGAAGACAAATATCTGAGTAAATATAAATGAACACTGACTATACAATATGTAGTTTCCAGTGGATTAAGAATAAGATGAGAAGCAAAACTATAAAACTTCTACAAATAATACAGTAAAACTACCTTAATAACCCCAGTGGGTTTTCATATAAAACCTAAACAAATTCTGTTCACCAGAAAAACACTATCAGGATCAAAGACCCAAATATAAGGGGTAAAACTATAAAATTTGTAGAAGAAAACATAGGTATAAATCTGTGACCGTGAATTAGGCAATGGGTCTTAGATACAACACCAAATGCAAGAGTGACAAAAGGAAAAAACAAACTGGACTTCAACAAAATTCAAAACTTTGTACATCAAAGGATACTATCAGGAAAGTGAAAAGAACCCACAGAATGAGAGAAAATACCTATTAAGTCATACATCTGATGAAGAACTAATGTCCAGAATATATAAAGAATTCTTAGAGTAACAAAAAGACAACCCAATTAAATGAGCAAACAATCTAAATGAACATTTCTCTAAAAAGATATACAAATGGCCAATCAGCACATGAAAAGATGCTCAACATCATTAGTCATTAAGGATATGCAAATGAAAACTACAACTAGATACCACTTCACATCTACAAGAATAGCTATTTTTTTTAAAAAAAAGGAAAATAACAGATGTTGGCAAGGAGGTAGGAAAAAATGGAACCTCCATACACTGCTGGTAAGAATATAAAATGGTACAGAGACTTTGGAAAACAGTTTTGAAGTTTTTCAAAAAATTTAAACATAGATTTACCATATGCCCACTCCTAGACATATAAAGAAAATTGTAAAAATACGTCCTCACAAAAACGAGTACATGAATCTCATCACAGTACATTATTAATCATAGTCAAAAAATGAACACAACTCCAATATCCATGAACTAATGAATGGATAAACAAAACATAGTATACTCACGCAATGGGATTCAGGCATATAAAGTAATGAGGTGCTGAGACAAGATACGACATGGATGAATCAGGACAACATGCTAAACAAATGAAGCCAAACACCAAAGGTCACATATGATTCTGTTTTTTCTGATATTTGGCACATGCTAGTCCATAGAGACAGAGAATAGTCTAGTGGTTGCCAGGGGCTGGGGAAAGGGGGAAATGGGGAGTAACTGCTAGTAAGTATGGAGTTTCTTTTTGAAACGATAAAAATCTTCTAGAGTTAGAGAGTGGTGATAGCTGTACAACTTTATGAATACATTAAAAGCACTTATAGCACCTATAGTCCCAGATACTCAGGAGGCTGTTGCAGGAGAATCGCTTGAACCTGGGAGGCAGAGGTTGCAGTGAGCCAAGATCGCACCACTGCACTCCAGCCTGGGTGACAGAGTGAGACTCGAAATGTGGAAAAAAAAATGCACTTAGTGTACACTTAGAGTGGATACTGGGCTAAAAGTGAAGTGACAGGCCACAAACTAGGCAAATCTTCTATACACATACCTGACAAGGGACTTCAGGGAATCCTAAAAATTTCAATGACAAAATAGGAGACTATAGACAAAAGACATGAACAATGCACATAAGGAACCCAAATAACCCATAAACAAATGAAAATAAGCTCAGCCTCCTTCCAAACCACAGAGAAGACTATTTCATATCCAAATGAAAAAATGATATCAAGTAAAGGCAAGAATGTGCACAAACCAGTACCCACGTAAGTTGCCAGTGGGAATGTAAAATGGTGTTACTTCTTAGCAAATTTGGTGTCATCTATTAAATAGTTCACTGTGCATAATCTTGGGCCAAGCACTGCCATTCCTGGGCACATGCCCTAGAAAATCTCTACATGTGAACCAAAAACCAGCACCAGTGTATGGAATAGAAAAAAAAATCAAAAATAGAATGGACAAATTTCACTCTCTACAATCATATGATCAGACAGTGCAGCAAGGAAAATGAATGAATGAAAGAAAACCACAATAGCAGCAAAAAACAGCAAGCCAGAATATATAAGGCATGATTCCTTTTATGTACAGTTTCATAATATGGAAAACTCAAAAATATCTTCTGTAGGGAGAAAAACACACATTCTTAGAATATTATAAGCAAAGACTTTTACTTGTTTCTTCTTCAGTTTAAGGATCTGCTGTTCTACTTTTGCAATTTCTCGATTTATACGATCCATACTCTGTATTAACTCTTCCTTTGAAAGTTTTGAAGGTGAAGCATTTTGATCATCTCCACACGGTTGCCTCGAAATTGGAGAGGATGGAGCTTCATGTTTGCCTCCAAATGTTGGATCCTTTAGAGAATAAAACCAGGAAAAACAATTTATTTCTCACTAATAGAGTCCAGATTGCCTTAAATGAAAAAGCCAGTTTTAAACCACAGCAGAACCATGTGTACTATGTGTCTAATGTTTAGTAGTAACTTTCATATTTATATATATGCAAATTCTCACCTCACTTTTGTAGTTTAGATATACCATGTACTATTTTGAAGAGCCTAAAAGCTATACAAAGTCAGGTGAGTTAGTGTTGATCAGCCTCTAGTGTAACAATACTGAAATTATAGAGAATTTATAGGTAAATAATGCAATCATGACAAAGGAAGATACCAACTTCTCAGCCATTTCCTTGCAATGGCTCTTCAAATGGTCTGAACAACTGGCTGGGAAATAGTATTATTCCAGGTAAAACCTGTGTGTCCACCCAACTTAACAACTATAACATGGCCAAGTGTTCCTATCAAAAGTTTTCAGGCTTTCCAAACCAAAACTGAGGTACACGAGTCAGAGAAGTGACCTAGGAACTTCAGTTGCTACTATCTCTGGGCCTACTTTCATAAAGCCCACACTACAGCATACGTAACATTTCCTTAGCCAAAAACATCCCATTGCGCCTCCAAATCAGCAGAGCTGTAGCAGAATGAAAGCCCTTTCACCCAAAATCCACTACCCTCCAACACACATCCACACACACCCTATTAATTTCCAGTCTGCTGTAAAGACATAAGCAATATTATAAAACAGATAAATTTTAGAGTACTAATTTTACTTAGACTATGAGAAACCTACAATGAGGGTAGTTCACGGGATTACAGAACCCTAAAATATATTAAATAATGATTAAGGAACTGTGAAAAGTCAATAGTTCTGAGCCAAGAATGCATACAGGAGATAACTGGACAGTTGCTTCAAAACACCTTAGTACAGATATTTCAGCTAATATACATTGGTGAAAAGCCTCATATTCTGTAATAGTATGCACTGAATCTAAGAGGCCTTCTGGGAAAATAAGATAATGGCTATACCCTAAAACCTGTACAATTCTGTAAGGAAAGCACCAATAAAAGCAATAACAATTCTAATAGACTTAATAAAGTTAAAGCTCCAGTATCCTTTGCATCTGGCATACAGTCAATCTTTGGCAGCTTTAAGCCCTACAGTTTATGATTCCTCTCTTAAGATATAAATCCGTGAGGTCACTGGCTTCCAAAATAAACCACTATGTTTCATCTAAATAAAATATCAGTGGCTGGGCATGGTGGCTCATGCCTGTAATCCCAGCACTTTGGGATGCCAAGATGGGCAGATCACAAGTTCAGGAGTTCGAGACCAGCCTGACCAACATGGTGAAACCCTGTCTCTACTAAAAAATACAAAAATTAGCTGGGCGTGGTGGCGGGCACCTGTAGTCCCAGTTACTCGGGAGGCTGAGGCAGGAGAACGGCTTGAACCCAAGAGGGAGAGGTTGCAGTGAGCTGAGATTGCACTATTGCACTCCAGCACGGGTGACAGAGCGAGAGTCCATCTCAAAAAAAAGAAAAAAAAAGTCAGATTTGGCATATAACCATCTGTATCAACCTCTTTTTCTCCCCCTCCCTCCTTTATCATCGTTAAAAAACACACAAGAAAATTTGTCTTCACGTTGTCTTTTCAATGCTCGAATCTTCAGTAACACCGTGAAAAGCACAACAGTTCTTAAATTCACTAAACCAGTTACTACTTGCACTAAATGAAAACTAAATGCAGAATGTTCAAATATTTTTAAGTCTTCATGTGTTCTGAAGCCTTTTTCTTCATTATGAGACGCGTACTCCTGAGAACTTAGAAATGTTAACGCATAAAGAAAGATCTTTGATGAACCACCAGGACTTTCATGATACATTAATATCATTCTCCCACTATATGCATATGAGTAAGTTTGTGTTACAGAAACATATATAATAGCAAAAGAGATTACATTTTGATTCAGCAGACTTCAAAAGTGCTCCTCTGGTGATTCTGATGCATGCCCAAAGAATTAATATTACAAATAAATATTTTCCACTGACTTCCTTTCTAAATATTAAATATTTAATAAGAAACCAAATCCTCAAGTGCCTACTTGTATAACAGGAATAGGGTGGTGGATCAAAACAGACAAGATATCTGCCTTCATGAAGCTTACAATCTTGGGTTGAAACAGCCAGATACCAATCCTGAAGAAAAAGAATTAGATTCTTACCTCATATCTTACATTAAAAAAAGCCAAGTAATAGCAAACACTTACAAGAGGCTTATTAGCAAATCACAAAAAGCCTCAAGTTAAAAAAAAAAGATTCACATTATCTTGGGTTCAGGAAAGCCAAAAGCAAAAGATATAAAAGACATTAGTTTTTAAAAAAGAAAAATTGATGGATAAAATAAAAAACAATCTTCTGCTGGGCACGATGGCTCACACCTGTAATCCCACCATTTTGGGAGGCCGAGGCAGGCAGATCACTTGAGGTGAGGAGTTCAAGACCAGTCTGGCCAACATGGTAAAACCCATCTCTACTAAAAATACAAAAATCAGCCAGGTGTGATGGTGCGAGCCTGTAATCCCAGCTACTCGGGAGGCTGAGGCAGGAGAATGGCTTGAACCCGGGAGGCGGAGGTTGCGGTGAGCAGAGATGGCACCACTGCACTCCAACCTGGGTGACAGAGGAAGACTCCGTCTCAAAAAAAAAAAAAAAAAAAAAAACAAAAACAAAAAAAAACTACACATGCAAAAACACAATCTTCTGCTTATCAAAACAGTAATAACAAATTAAAAAGGCAAATGATTAAATAGGGAAACCATTTGCAAAACATGCACTCTAATAACTCAATATAAAATAAACCAACAGAAAAATGGGCAACATATATGAAAAAACAATTTACAAAACAGGAAAAATAACCAATAAACAAATAAAAAAGTTACATTTTACTAACAAATAATAAGTATAAGTTAAAAACAATCATTCATCAAATTAACAATCTTTTTGTTAAACAATAAACGTGGTGTCAGCAAGGATACAGGAGGAGTGGGTACCTTTATTTTTATTTATTTTTTTTTTTTGAGACAAAGTCTCACTCTTGTCACCCAGGCTGGAGTGCAATGGCGCAATCTCAGCTCACTGCAACCTCTGCCTCCCAGGTTCAAATGATTCTCTTGCCTCAGCCTCCTGAGTAGCTGGGATTACAGGTGCCTGCCACCACACCCAGCTAATTTTTGTATTTTTAGTAGAGACGGGGTTTCACCATGCTGGCTAGGCTGGTCTCGAACTCCTGACCTCTGGTGATCTGCCTGCCCCAGCCTCCCAAAGTGCTGGAATTATAGGTGTGAACCACTGGGCCCGGTCAAGAAGTGGGTACCTTTATACATTGTTGCCAGGAGTTAAGAACTGGCCCTAGTCTTTTGCAGGACAATCTGGAAATACCCACTGAACCTTAAAAATCAACCTGGTCTGTAATTAATTATACTAAAAGAAATCTACCTTAAGGAAATAAGTAAGAATGCATACAAAAAAAAACCTAAATAATGTATGGGCCAGCTGCAGTGGCTTATGCCTATAATCCCAGCACTTTGGGGGACCAAGGTGTGCAGATCACCTGAGGTCAGAAGTTCGAGACCAGCCTGGCCAACATGGTGAAACCTCATCTCCACTAAAAATACAAAAATTATCTGAACTTGGTGGCATGCGCCTGTAGTCCCAGCTAATCGGGAGCCTGAGGCAGGAGAATCGCTGGGAGATATAGGTTGCAGTGAGCCAAGATCGTGCCACTGCACTCCAGCCTGGGCAACAAAAGTGAGACTCTGTCTCAAAAAAAAAAAAAAAAAATGCACGTCACAACACCGTACTTCTGAACAAACAGGCAAGCTAAATGTATGACAACTGATTAAATAAATAACTTTATTTAATCAGTGAACTTTATTTATTCATATGTGGAATACTAAGTAGCCACTAACAATACAGTTGTAAACTTATTGGCACGAAAAGAAGCTAAGCACATATTTAAACAAAAGTAAAGTTAAACAGAATGTACAAAGTGAGCACATTAAAATACTCGTAAGGGCTGACTCTGGACACACTGCCTATGGGTTAGCCCTGTTCCACAAGGAGCAGCAGCAAAAAGAAAAAAAAAAGAAAAAAGAACCTATAAAATTAAATTAAATTAAATTAAATTAAATTAAAATTAAAATAATACACACACAAATAGGGAAGACTCAACATGAAAATGTTAATAACTTTTAACTGGTAAAACTGTAGGTAATTTTTTCTTTCAAGCTTACTTAATTCTTCTATAAATGATATACCTAGGCTTAACATTTAAAAAAAAATCTAACAAATGTTAGTTCTTTTTAAATCCTTACTTCTGGAGGTGGGCAGTTGGGAGAGAATGGGGAGAGGGAGATGGAAAGAGAAGTATTAGTTAGTAGTAGTAGTCATGGTTTACACTTTAGAGGAGAAAAAGCAGGACTAGAGTCAGGGGTCCTAGGTTAATTCCAACTCAGGAGGTACTACCTAGGTCACTTAATTCTTCTGAACATCCAGTTTCTCAACTATGACATGGAAATGGGTCACACTACAACACAACACACTCATTTTAATGAATGAGTTTTTAAGACACTTTTCTGCTAAAAAACGAAATTCTATAAACTACATTTGTGGTAATGTATTCAGCCATGGAAGATGACCTTTATTCACTATAGTTTTAAATTTCATTTTTTTAATGCAGCAGAACATTTCTTATAAACCCCACAGATTACTGTATGATAAAGATATTTTACATGATAAGGTGGGTCACAAAACACCTAGAAGCTTAGCTAATTTCTAGCTTACAGCAAAGAATTTTTCCCCATCGAACTTACTATTTTGAAAAATTTCAAATTCACTTAAAAGTTGAAGGAACAGTGTAATGGACACTCATTTATCCTTCATCTGGATTCACCAGTAGTTAACATTTTAACATATTTGCTTTCTGTGTTTGTCTGTGTATGTGTATAAAACTTCATTTTGGCTGAACTATTTGAAAATAAATTGTAGATACATTTATTATCTTTTAAATTACTCTTCATTGCATGAAAACTCAAAGAAAATGTGTGGGTACTTATTTATCTGATATCAGGGAAGAAAGGGCAATTAGGCATAAAGGTTAATAAACACTATAGGAAAAAGATTTGATGGCAGTAAAAACATTTTAAACTTCAGTATGCTTTAAAAAAAAGAAAAATTGAAACAAAAAGACACTGGGAAAAATATTAGAATATGTTAGGCAGGCAGATCGCTTGAGGCCAGGAGTTCGAGACCAGTCTGGCCAACATAGTGAAAACTTGGCCCTACTAAAAATACAAAAAATTAGCTGGGGCCGGGCACAGTGGCTCACGCCTGTAATCCCAGCACTTTGGGAGGCTGAGGCAGATGGATCACCTGAGGTCAGGAATTTGAGACCAGCCTGACCAACATGGAGAAACCCCGTCTCTACTAAAAATACAAAATTAGCTGAGCATGGTGGCGCATGCCTGTAATCCCAGCTACTCGGGAGGCTGAGGCAGTAGAATCGCTTGAACCCGGGAGATGGAGGTTGCAGTGAGCCGAGATCGCACCACTGCACTCCAGCCTGGATGACAAAGCAAGACTCCATCTCAAAGAAAAGTACCAATCCTACACAAACCCCTTAAGAAAACAGGAGTAAAGAGCACTCCCCAAGCTAACATCATTCTTAATGCAGAAAGACTGAAACTCAATGCTTACTACACCACATATAAAACTTTAATTCAAAATAGGTAATTTACCTAAATGAAAGACCTATAATTATAAAACTTAGAGAAGAAAACATAAGTGAAAATTGGTCAGGCGTGATGGCTCACACCTGATATCCCAGCACTTTGGGAGGCCAAGGTGGGTGGATCACGAGGTCAGGAGATTGAGACCATCCTGGCTAACAGGGTGAAACCTCATCTCTACTAAAGATACAAAAAAAATTAGCTGGGCGTGGTGGTGGGTGCCTGTAGTCCCAGCTACTCAGGAGGCTGAGGCAGGAGAATGGTGTGAACCCGGGAGGCAGAGCTTGCAGTGAGCCGAGATTGCACCACTACACTCCAGCCTGGGCAACAGAGTAAGACTTCATCTCAAAAAAAAAAAAAAAAACCCAAAAGCAAAACAAAACAAAAATAGAAAAAAAGAAAACGTAAGTGAAAATCTTAGTGACCTTGAATTTCGCAAAAACGTCTTAGGTTTGACACAAAAAGCACAAAAAATGAACAGTAAAAATAATACATCAGGGCTGGGTACAGTGGCTAACACCTGTAATCCCAGCATTTTGGAAGGCCAAGGAGGGCAGATCACCTGAGGTCAGGAGTTCGAGGCCAGCCTGGCCAACATGATGAAACTCCATCTCTACTAAAAATACAAAAATTACCTGGGCGTGGTGGCACATGCCTGTAATTCCAGCTACTCAGGAGGCTGAGGCAGGAGAATTGCTTGAACCTGGGAGGCAGAGGTTGCAGTGAGCTGAGTTGGCACCATAGCACTCCAGCCTAGGCAACAGAGCAAGACTCTGTCTCAAAAAAAAAAGTACATCGGGCTTGATAAAAATAAAAAATGTACGCTCCCCAAAGGATACTGTTAAGAAAATGAGGCAATACTTCTTTTAATAATCTAGATACAACAGATATATAGATATATGTTTTCTAAGTAATTTTACCTATAATAATCAAAAACTGGAATAGGTGACTGGATAAACAAATTGTGTTATACCCATCTCAACAATAAAAAGGAATGAACTGAGACATGCCAGACATGGATAGATCACAGAAGTATTATGGGAAGCCAAAGGTCACAGACAAAAGAGTTCCCATGAAGCTCAGAAAGTATACAATGTTTGATGATAGATAGCAGATCAGTGGTTTCCTAGGAGCTGAGGTTAGTAGGAAGTGGGGGAGGAGGACTGACACGGGTGGGTGCCAAGGAGGATGGGGTGCCAAGGAACGTGCTGGAGTGTTAGAAATGTTGTTCATCTTCATTTTGGTGATGGTTCTGTGAGTTTATGACTTTGTCAAAATTTGTTACAATGTACACATATACTGAGTGCATTCTAATATAGATATATGTGTATATATATAAACTAAACTGCAAAGTTAATTTTGTTTTTTTTAAGACGGGGTTTCACTCTTGTTGCCCAGGCTGGAGTCCACCTGCACGATTTTGGCTCACTGCAACCTCTGCCTCCTGGGTTCAAACGATTCTCCAACCTCAGCCTCCCAAGTAGCTGGGATTACAGGTGCCTGGCTACTTTTTTCATATTTTTAGTAGAGATGGGGTTTCACCATGTTGGCCAGGCTGGTCTCAAACTCCTGACCTCAAGTGATCCACCCGCCTCAGCCTCCCAAAGTGCTGGGATTACAGGCGTCAGCCACTGCGCCCGGCCTGATTTTATGAAAAAAACAGCAGCAACAATAATCCGGAAAATTGGTAATCAGACGAATAACACTGGTGTAGGAGGGGGACAACACAAGCAAAATTCAACATCCAGTCGTGACAGAAATTCTCAAACTAGGAACAGAAAGCAACCTCTTCAACCAAAAAAAGAATCAACAAAAACGTGCAACTAACATTACACGTAATGGTAAAAGACTAAATGCCTCCCTACACAGGAACAACGTAAGAATGTCCATTCTAACTCTGTAATCATGACTACACTTCAAAGGAGTCCTCAGGAGGACCCCGTAGTACATTCTGATGACAAATCTGCTTTCTGAGTCTCTGAGAGGACCGTTTTATCCCATCCTTTCCTATTTTTCTTTAAACCTCTTACACCCATATCCTTGGTCTACTCTGAGATGATTATTTCACCTCATACTTTATTTTTCACAAGGTAAATCAATCTCTTACAAACTCTTCCTATGATAAAGTCTTCCTTCCTATCTACCATCCCTTCCTTCCTTCCTACCTACTATACAAATCTTCGTACCATCAATCTCTCAAGAAGACAGAGGTCTTTATCCTGGCCATCACTCAAGACATGCCAAGTTATCTGGCCAGCTTAAAACTCAACCACAACTTGGGAGTATAAATATAGGTCTTACCCTAGAAATTCTAGAGAATTGATAAGTTTTCTATTTATCATCAACTCCTGTCATCAAAAGCAAAGACAAGTTCAACTCCTGAAATTGGCATAAAGCCACAGTAAGAAGACAGAAATAATTAATTCCCAACCTTTGGTTCCTCGTCTTTGTAAATAGCTCTTGCCACTTAAAAAAAAAGGTAAATTTGGTGGTTTCTACCAACATGTGTATTAAATAGGAAAAGTAAAGAAAAACACAAAAAACACGTGCAATTTGCATAGTATTTGTTCCTTACCTGCTGGTGGCGGGTGCTGGGAAACGTATACTTTACAGAGTGAGGAGGATAACGACTTTGTTCTGTGCTGAATGCTCCTTGGTTGGGAGGGTAACCTGAACTTGACATTATCAGTAAAGAAGTCCTCACCAGACTGAGATCAACGCCAATAAACAATCATGTTTCTAGGAAACCACCTGAACAGGATGGGAAAAAAATAGAATTAATAAGAACTAAAACACCAAGTGTACTTCTAATAAATTATAACTATAGCTACATAAATAAAACCACAATTACCAGTAAAAGCTTCCTCTCAAGTATTTACTTAATAAAAGTTACCAAGGTTTGAAAACATTAATGCGTCATTTCTTTTTATATTTAAAATAGGTTAATATGTGACAAATAATATAATTAGCTATATAAAGTAAAAACAGTATATAAAAACAGCATAATATCTGGCACATAGTAACTGCTCAGTAAATAACTTTCTATAAATGTCTGAGGAATATAAAGACAAAAATACATGGTTTTAAATTTGGGAGTTGATAAGTCAATCGTGAAAATAATTCAAGAGTAGTTTTAAGGTAAGCATTTGTGCAGAGGAAGTATTGTCTTTATTAAATAATTCTGAAGCAAGGATGATAAAATACTAAGTTTTGTAATCACAGATGGTAGGTAGATGGACATTTGTTATGTTACTCTTCGCATGCTTCTATGGAACTGAAATAGCAAATAAAGAAAAAGAAGGTCATAAGTAGTGGCTCCTCCTGTAATCCCAGCACTCTGGGAGGCTGAGGCGGGCAGATCACTTGAGGTCAGGAGTTCGAGACCAGCCTGGCCAACATGGTGAAACTTCTTTTCTACTAAAAATACAAAAATTAGCCGGGCATGGTGACATGCGCCTGTAATCCCAGCTACTTGGGAGGCTGAGGCAAGAGAATCGCTTGAGCCTGGGAGGCAGAGGTTCAGTGAGCCGAGATCACGCCATTGCACACCAGCCAGGGCAACAGAGTAAGACTCCATCTCAAAAAAAAAAAAAGAAAGAAAAACAAAGCCATCTTCATTATAAAGTATATTCCTACTTGTCCACAATTCTAGACTAATTTGGTTTGTCTGTCTTTTCTTGTGCCAATGCCACACTTTTCAAATTACTCTAGTATTATGAGGTTTCATATCCAGCAGGGCAAGTTTCACCTCACTGTGCTTTGTTGTTGCTGCTACTTTCACCACCTTCCCAGCTATTCTAGCACATTTCCTCTTACACACAAGCATCACAGTCAGCTTGTCAGGTCCCAGAGAAATTCTGGATGAGAACACATAAATATTGAATTCACAGACTGACTAATGGGAGAACAGGTACCCTTATACTCCTGAGTATTCCCATCCTAAAACATGATTATCTATGTTTATGTTTCAGGATAACACAAATATTTATGTTATACATAATTAATATGGGAGTATTTTACATACATATGGTAGAGAATATTACATATGTATAAAAATGTGTGCCATAATATATAATTTTTATCTTAATTATATATAAAACTCCCATGACAAAAATTTTATATACACATATGTACATGTGCATGTGTGTACATACACTCTTACTTTAAGACCGGAGTTCTATTATTACCTAATTCGGTGGTTTTAAAAAAATAGAATTTAAATATAAGATGAAAATTACATAATTGTATACATAAAAATATAACAGATATAATTTTATGTATATAAAATCTCCACCCATTTAATACTTTATTATGAAAGTTTTAATTTTCTTTCCATCATTTCAATGTATTTGGGAAGAGGGCAAATTCAAAAAATAATTCAGTATGACAAATTGATCAATTTCCCAGTTTTTATTAATATATTTTTTATCTAGTTAGGTTTAGAAAATAAAATTTTCTAGGGAATTATCATTCAATCTAACTTTAAAACAAAACTTATAGGCTGGCCACAGTGGCTCACATCTGTAATCCCAGCACTTTGGGAAGTCAAGATCGGAGGATCTCCTAAGGCCAGGTGTTCAAGACCAGCCTGGGCAATGAAGCCAGACCTATCTCTACAAGAAAATTAAAATAATAATAATAATAATTAGTTAGGCGGCCAGGTGTGGTGGCTCATGCCTATAATCCCAGCACTTTGGGAGGCCGAGGCGGGCGGATCACGAGGTCAGGAGATCAAGACCATCCTGGCTAACACGGTGAAACCCCCTCTCTATTAAAAATACAAAAAAGTAGCTGGGCGTGGTGGTGGGTGCCTGTAGTCCCAGCTATTCGGGAAACTGAGGCAGGAGAATGGCATGAACCCAGGAGTTGGAGCTTGCAGTGAGCCGAGGACGGGCCACTGCACTCCAGCCTGGGCGACAGAGCAAGCCTCTGTCTCAAAAAAAAAAAAAAAGAAAAAAATAATTAGGCATGGCGGTACACACCCATGGTCCCAGCTACCTGGAAGGCTGAGGCAGGAGGATCACTTGAGCCCAGGAGGTCAAGACTGCAGTGAGCCATGATTGTGCCACTGCACTCCAGCCTGGGTGACACAATGAAACTCTGACTCAAAAAATAAAAGAAAAAATGTATAGAAAGAACTTTAAGGCCAGGTGTGGTGGCTCACGCACTTTAGGAGGCCAACGCGGGCAGATCACAAGGTCAGGAGTTCCAAGGCCAGCCTGGCCAACATGGTGAAACCCAGTCTCTACTAAAGATACAAAAAATTAGCCAGGCATGGTGGCACATGCCTGTAAACCCAGCTACTCGGGAGACTGAGGCAGGAGAATCACTTGAAGCTGGGAGGCGGAGGTTGCAGTGAGCTGAGATGGTGCCACTGCACTCCAGCCTGGGTGAGGGGTCCAGACTCCATCTCAAAAAAAAAAAAAAAGAACTTTAAAAACTGCATGTGGTACCATGTAATATATAAATATTTTAAATAAATATATCATCCTTTCTCCTGATGTCACGTTTCCTGCTGTTGTGAAAGCTGACCAGGAGAAGAGTCAGAAGACTGACCAGCTGTCCCTCAGTCTATTTTCTCCCTGCTCCCTTCCAAGGCCCGAGGCATGGAGGTCAGCAAATCTTAAGGATTGGAAGGTTGAGATTACCCAACTAACACTGACTTGACAGGTGAGAAACGTGAAGATCAGAGAAAGTCAATAATTCCTCCAGTATCACAAAATTGTCTGTGGCAAAATGGGAAAAACTAATGTTTTCTGCAATGTTTTGCGGCTTTCTCAGCAAGTAGTGAACTAGGAGGAGCTGAGATGTTCCGTGAGACCAGACATTAAAACCACCTGAGGAGCTTTCGCCTCATCTATACATCTGCAACTGCTCCAGGTGGAAAGGGAAAAGCCAACATGTGGCATTGTGGGGAGGGTTGATCTTTTTAGAAATAAACATTATATGCAGGACTTAAGAGTTTTTAAAAGTACCACAGAATACAAAGTGAAAAATCTCCTCGCCCTTCTCCTCCAGCTGTTACCCAGTTACCCTCCCAGAAGGCAACCAAAGTTACTAGTTTCTAGAGTGTCCTTTAGAAATATCCTACACATACATACACTCACACTTTTTCCCCTATGTAAATGGTGGCATACTAGAAACACACTGTTCTGTATCTTGCTTTTATTACTTAATACATCTTGGTTGGCCTGGCGCGGTGGCTCACACCTGTAATCCCAGCACTTTGGGAGGCTGAGGCGGGTGGATCATGAGGTCAGGAGATCAAGATCATCCTGGCTAACACAGTGAAACCCCGTCTCTATTAAAAATACAAAAAAGTTAGCCAAGCATGGTTGCGGGTGCCTGTAGTCCCAGCTACTCAGGAGGCTGAGGTGGGGAGAATGGCGTGAACCCAGGAGGCAGAGCTTGCAGTGAGCCGAGATCACATCACCAACCTCCAGCCTGGGCGACAGAGCAAGACTCCGTCCCCCCCACAAAAAAAAATACATCTTGGCAATTATTCTCATGCATCTATGGTTCTTTCTATTGCTAAAGAGTATTTCACTATATGGGCCAGGCGCGGTGGCTCACGCCTGTAATCCCAGCACTTTGGTCGGCTAAGGCGGGTGGATCACCTGAGGTCGAGAGTTCGAGACCAGCCTGACCAACAAGCTGAAACCCCGTCTCTACTGAAAATACAAAAATTAGTCAGGCATGGTGGCACATGCCTGTAATCCCAGCTACTCGAGAGGCTGAGGAAGGAGAATCATTTGAACCTGGGAGGCAGAGGTTGCGGTGAGCCGAAATCATGCCATTGCACTCCAGCCTGGGCAACAAGAATGAAACTCTGTCCAAAAACAAGAGTATTTCACTATATGAACGTTCATGCATTTTGTAGAAGTTTTCCAACTAATTCTGATCTGCTGTCCTAAAACATGCTTTAAGTGATCTATCTCTGCGCTCTCCTCCCAACTCAGACATCCCAAATAAATAAAGCTATAAATGGAATGCAGAGGCAAAAAAAAAAAAAAAGATTTTAACCCATTTTTTTCTAACAGTGGCCTAAATGATTAGAAACCCATGAGGTACAATTTTTTAATGCACATTGTTTAACTTTCAGCTATGGTGAGTCCTGAGTTCAACAATTACACTCAATGTCACTCAAAGTCACAAGTTAAGTGACTTCTCCATTTTTTCCCTCATCTCAGTAATCCTTCCTGTTGCCCTAGTTTTGTGGTATGACTTTAATGAAGTTTAACTTTATTATCTCAAAAAAAAAACAAAAAAGTCAGTTTTATTTAAAAGTACTATTCGCCCAATACAGAAGGGGGAAAAAAAAAAAACACTAGCAAGTTCAGGAATTAGCCCCTACTGGCATACAAATTTACAGGTCAAAGCAAGCCCTTCCTTTCCTCACATGAACTGCAGCCTGGAGACCACTACAACCACCTTCCTCAAAACTTATCCATGAGATACAGGGCAACAGTGCTCAGATCTTGTTTATTAACCAGAAGGTTTTCCTCGAAAGTCTTAAATGAAAGCTAAATGTACAAAAGGTACAATGGAGAAACATTCTGATCTAGTGAGAATGGGAGACCTAGGATTCATCTTTTCAGTCTCCCCCTGCCCTTCCCCATCCCTCCCTCCACCCTTCACTTCAGTCCTGGCTCACTAAGATACCTCGGCAGAATACTTTACATTTGAAACCCACTGAAATGAAAGAATCTAAAGTTCAGACTGAAGGGGAAGGGAGCACCTTAAGTGGCAGTATCAAATTATAATTTCAGTTCTTAGCACCAAAGCTCGTTAACTCAGGGTAGTTACATGGTTGACTCATGAACTAAAAAAATTCTATGAATTGTTTAAGAAATCTGATCAAGATTTTATAAGCAACTTCCTCATCTCTTAAATATCAACACATAATGTTTTAGGATGAGAATAATATAGTAATAATTATATGTCACTGTCATAAAAGACAATAGCACTTCTAACTGAATTATACAGATAAACCCAGAACTAGCCTCTTACATATTGCAAACAGGTAATACAATATTGCAAAATGAAATTGATCTATTTAAGTTCCTTTTTAAATCTTCTCATATTAAATAAACACACACATATTTACTCAACAGGAAAATCTTGCAACAACAGAATTTCAAATACTATCCTGCCAAAAAACAAGCAATTTTTCCTCCCAGCAGGAACTCCTGGCTTTTGGCCCACAACCTTTGCATAACCAAAATGTGTTATGCAAAGGTGTTCAAGGTGGCCTAAGCCATCTTGGGAAAAAACCTAAAAATGGCCGGGCACAGTGGCTCACGCCTGTTATCCCAGCACTTTGGGAGGCCAAGGCCGGCAGATCACAAGGTCAGGAAATCAAGACCATCCTGGCCAACATGGTGAAACTCCATCTCTACTAAAATACAAAAAAAAATTAGCCGGACATGGTGGTGCACACCTGTAGTCCCAGCTACTCGGGAGGCTGAGGCAGGGGAATCGCTTGAATCCGGGAAGCGGAGGTTGTAGTGAGCTGGCATCGTGCCACCGCACTCCAGCTTGACAACAGAGAGAGACTCCATCTCAAAAAAAAAAAAAAAAAAAAAAAAGCTAAAAATATACTTCACTGTGGCAGGACCGCAGATGCCACTTCAGATGAGCAAGAATGAATCCACCAAGCGTCACAATAGAGGTGAAGCCTACATTTCACCAAAGCAGAAAAAGGATCCTACAAAACATGCAATTTTTAACTGACAAAATAATAAAACCTCCTGATACAAAAGTATGTGATAGGGCAATGCCTCTATGACATTCAAATGCTAAAATATTAGTTATTAAACTGAAGCAAATTAGGTCACACCAGTTCCCACAAAGCTGTCCAGCTCTAGACCAATTTTAAAAGTATGTTAGGCAAGACAAGGCTAAGAAGGACCACCACCCTGGGCATCCCGACACCTAAAATCCTCCAACCTGGGGATAATTTAAAGAAAGCTGACCTCCTAAACTTATTACAGAGTCCAGCATCCAGGAGAGGAAAGACTAGAAATTATCTAAGTGAATTCTGTAATTTGTACAAGACCAGAGTGGTGCTATACTGGAATAAATTTTCTCCTGTAAAATAAACTAAAGCATTCTTCCCTTTGAGGGGAAAAAAAGCTACTGCTTCTCAGACTTTTGGTTAAGATCTAATCTGGGGGAATGCCATTGACAAGGTATTTTATTTGCAGCCTCTTCTGACATCATGACATCTTACTTAAAGACAGAGAAACAAATGGAAGCTAAAGAAAAAGCTTTTTAGTTAACCTATCCTACCTCTTATAAAGTATGATATTGAAAGAAAAATTTTAATAAGGATACAATTATTTGATAAATCTATGGGTACACATATTCAATAAGTAATTCTGGCCAGGCACAGTGGCTTATGCCTGTAATCCCAACACTTTGGGAGGCCGAGGCAAGTGGATCACTAGAAGCCAGGAGTTTGAGACCAGCCTGGCCAAAAAGGCGAAACCCCTTCTACGCTAAAAATACAAAAACTAACCGGGCGTGGTGGCACATGTCTGTAATCCCAGCTACTCAGGAGACTGAGCATGAGAATCACTTGAACTCAGGAGGTAGAGGTTGCAGTGAGACAAGATCGTGCCACTGCACTCCAGCCTGAGCAACAGAACAAGACTCTATCTCAAAAAATAATAAATACATAATTCTTAAATGAAAGAAAAATGATGCTACTTTACCTCTACATAAAGTGCTGTCCCAAGACAGGAGTACAATGTAACAATATCCAACTGAGAACTCTGTGGTATGTCGGCACTACACTGAACTAATTCTCTGAACTGAACAACACTCACTCACTCAACTTATAAGAACAAATATATTTCAAAACCAGCCAAGCACAGTGGCTCACGTCTCTAATCCCAGCACTTTGGGAAGCAGAAGAAGGTGGATCACTTGAGGTCAGGAGTTCAAGACCAGTCTGGCCAACCTGGTGAAACCTTGTCTCTACTAAAAATACAAAAAATATGGCTGGGCATGGTGGCTCACACCTGTCATCCCAGCACTTTGGGAGGCTGAGGCGGGAGGATCATGAGGTCAAGAGTTCAAGACCAGCCTGACCAACATGTGAAACCCCATCTCTACTAAAAATACAAAAATTAGCCGGGCATAGTGGCGTGCACCTGTAATCCCAGCTACTTGGGAGGCTGGGGCAAGAGATTCACTTGGACCTGGGAGGCAGAGGTTGCAGTGAGCAGAGATCACACCACTGCATTCCAGCCTGGGTGACAGGGTGAGACTCCATCTCAAAAAAAAAAAAAATACAAAAAATTAGCCAGGCGTGGTGGTGCACACCTGTAATCCCACCTACTCAGGAAGCTGAGGCATGAGAATCACTTGAACCTGGGAGGCAGAGGTTGCAGTGATCCAAAATCACACCCCTGCACTCCAGGCTGACCGACAGAGCAAGACTTCATCTCAAAACAAACAAAAAAAGAACAAATAAATTTCACAAGCAAAATGGATGACTACATGCCAATTCCCTCCTTGATTAACACAAAAGAAGAACAAAGAAATTAAGATAAAAATTTTAATGTAGATATTTGGCCTGAGTTAATAGATATAACAATATCTGAGTGGATATTACTAAAAGAGTTACCGTTTATTGAGCTCTAAATATATATTAGGCAGTGTGCTAAGACTTGGTGTGTGCATGAGCTCACCTAAAAGTCTGGTTCCACTATTAGCTCTAAGGCTGTAGGGAAGCTGCATAACTTCCTCAAGCTATGTTTTTCTAACTCAGAGACAGATACCTTAAAGATCATCTGCTGCTGCCTCCCCTTTGACCCACTAACAGAGACTACAGGTTATTAAGCAATATAAATCAAGGGTTATTCACAGACTCTGCTTTTTGCTGCACCCCCCTCAACACCCCCGAGCTCCACAAATCTTAAAGTCAAATGCTCTTAGCCTACTTTATTTTGGTACACACCTTAGAAACAAACAGAACTATCAAACACCTGTGAAGGCAAATATCAGCTCTGTTCTGCTCTACACGGCCTCTGCAGCAGCTAGCAGTACTTAGCTCTCAGTAGCACCCACTCCAACAGCAAGTTGTTTGGCTGTTCCTTACACACGAACACACACACACACACACACACACACACACGCACAGACTCTGAAGCTTCCCAGGCCTCTCCATCTAACTACCACCCTCCTTACCTCTTGCTGGAAAAACTCCTAACTGGGCTTCCCACTTCAATACTTTCTCAACTCAAAAAGCCAAGTGTTCTTTTTAAACCTTAAATCAGAACATGTCACTCTCCTGCTTCAGATTCCCCAAGGATTTCCTACGCACTGCAAATAAAGTCTCAACTACTTACGATGACCCAAGGCCCTACTTGATTTGGCCTCCTTACTTTCTAGATTGCTCACTAGGCCCCAGCAACATGAGTTTCCTTTCAGTTTCTTTAGGAGCCCTTCTCTGCCAGGTCTTTCCTAGCTGGGCCTTCGTCCTTCTTTACTCTCTACCAGGAACGCTGTTCCTGGCTCATTCAGGTGGCTAGCTCCTCCTCAAACTTAAGGTCCCAGTTCAAATGTCATCTCAGAAGAGTCTTTCCAACCATCCTACATATAAGGTAAGTTCCCACTAGTTACTCTCAATCACATCACCCTTTTGGTTCCTTTACAGGTTTATCATAATCTGAAATGGATTACGTACTTCATTTTATTTGAGTATATTCTGTCTTCTCTCACTAGAATAAAAACTACCTGTTTGATTCTCTATAATATTTGTTGAATAAAATAAACAAACTCCCATTCATGGGTCTGATGTTTTTTAAAATAAATAAACAAGAAATATACAAGACTTATTTGTACAGGACTTATTTGAAGCAAAGTTTGAAAATCTACAGAGAGACATAAAAATCTATTAGAACACAGGACAGTAAGTACATAAAGATGTCAATTTCCCCAAACTTCACCTACAATTTCAGTACTCCCAATCAATATTCAGTATTCAATAAAAATCTCTATGATTTCTTTTTGAATGTCACAGAATGATTCTAAAGTTCATCTAGAAGAACACATAGACCAGAAATGTCAAAGTCTGAAAAAAAAGAGTAATGAACAGGTAACTAACCCCATCTGTATTAAAATTATAAAATGATAGTAATTTAAAGTGTATGGTAATACACAAGAGACCAAAATAACAAGACCAATCAGAAATAGTCCCAAACACATTTAGTAAATGACAAAAGCTGCAATTCTAATAGTGGGGCAAAAAACAGATTATTCACTAAATGGTGCTGACACAACTAGCTAGTTGGGGTAGAATTCACACACAATTTTATCCCCCAAAATATGTCTCACTTCTTATACCAGAAGTAAATTCCAGATGGATCAAAGAATTAGAAGTTTTAAAAAGAGAAGGAAAAGGAAAAAAAGAAACCATTGAAGTATTAAATACAATCTGGGGACTTCTTTGTTTTAAAAATACAAAAACGCATGCAGTTAAAAAGTCTTCCTCTCACTCATTCTTCTTACTATGACAACCAATGTTTCCAAGTATCATATATCCTGTGATATACAAGCAAAAATGTATACGTTTTCATCTTTAAAGCAAAGACACATAGAGGCATATAATGTTCCTCACTTTGTTTTTCTAGTTTAGTAGATAGATGAATATTTTACATTTTGGAGCAAGGAAAGTCTACTTTGAGCACAAAACACAAAAGTCACATCAATAAATTAATGAGTCACAGCTAACATTTATTATTTACTTACTTTGTGCCATCCACTATGCCTAATGCTATTTATATTATCTCCATTTTACAAACAAGGAAATGAAGGTGTACAGAGGTTAAATAATGTGCCCAAGTTCCCACAGCAGCACAGTGCTGGGTTTGGATTTATCTGACTACATAACATTACAAAAGAATAGCTAGGGGGATATGTGCACACGTATGAAAAAAGTGAATAAAGCCAGGGCACGTTGGCTCACGCCTGTAATCCCAACACTTTGGGAGGCCCAGGCGGGCGGATCACCTGAAGTCGGGAGTTTCAGACCAGCCTGACCAACATGGAGAAACCCCACGTCTAGTAAAAATACAAAATTAGCCAGGCATGGTGGCGCAGGCCTGTAACCCCAGCTACTCAGGAGGCTGAGGCAGGAGAATCATTTGAACCCGGGAGGCGGAGGTTGAGGTGAGCTGAAATCATGCCATTGCACTCTAGCCTGGGCAACAAGAGCAAAACTCTGTCTCAAAAAAAAAAAAAAAAGAAAAGAAAAAGAAAGAAAAAAAGTGAATATGTAGAGAACTTTTAACCTGTTAAAAACCAGTAGCCCCATCAGAAAATAAACAAACAGCAAAAATAGACAATTTATAAAAGACATATGGCCAAGCGCAGTTGACGCACACCTGTAATCCCAGCACTTCGGGAGGCTGAGGTGGGTGGATCACCTGAGGTCAGGAGTACAAGACCAGCCTGACTAACATGGTGAAATCCCATCTCTACTAAATACATAAATTAGCTGGGAGTGGTGGCAGATGCCTGTAATCCCAGCTACTTGGGAGGCTGAGGCAGGAGAATCGCTTGAACATGGGAGGCGGAGTTTGCAGTCAGCCGAGATCCTGCCACTGCACTCCAGCCTGGGTAACAAGAGCGAGTCTCTGTCTAAAAAAAAAAAAAAAAAAAAAAAAGCCAGGCGCGGTGGCTTATGTCTGTAATCCCAGCACTTTGGGAGGCCAAGGTGGGTAGATCACCTGAGGTTGAGAGTTTGAGACCAGCCTGGCCAACATGGAGAAACCCCATCTCTACTAAAAATATAAAATTAGCCAGGAGTGGTGGTGCATGCCTATAATCCCAGCTACTATGGAGGATGAGGCAGGAGAATTGCTTGAACCCAGGATTCAGAGGTTGCAGTGAGCTGAGATCAAGCCATTGCACTCTAGCCTGGACAACAAGAGCAACACTCCGTTTCAAAAAAAAAAAAAAAGAAAGAAAGAAATACAACTCTCTCCATATTAAAAACAGTTCATCATCAACAGTGATTGATAAAACACCAATCAGAATCACATTTTTTCAGTTCCTAAATTGTCAAAATGTTTTGAACTGTAATATCTAGTATTGGCCAGGGTATGGGGCATACCTGAATACTACTGGTAGCTTTACAAATTGGTACAACAATCTTTTGGAAGGAAAATGTATAAATATCTATCCATATCTACATTATTCACATCTTTTGATTTGAATTCAAATCAAAAGTGGAGTTGGTTTCAGCAACTCCACTTCTAGGAATCTATCCTACAAAGCTGTTTGTACAAGTACACAAAATACATATACATATGTACATGTGCATAAATATTCATACACACACACACAATTGTTTACAGCTTTGTTTTTCTGGCAAAAAAAAAAAAATCCAGTGACCATAAGTTGATTAAGCAAATTATGGTATTTTCTCTTTTTTTGTTTGAAACAGAGTCTCACTCTGTCACCCAGGCTGGAGTTCAGAGGCATGGCTCACTGCAATCTCCTCCTCCCAGTTTCAAGTGATTCTCCTGCCTCAGCCTCCCAAGTAGCTGCGATTACAGGCACATGCCACCATGCCTTGCTAATTTTTGTATTTTTAGTAGAAATGGGGTTTCACCATGTTGGCCAGGCTGGTCTTGAACTCCTGACCTCCGGTGATCCAGCCACCTCAGCCTCCCAAAGTACTGGGACAACAGGAGTGAGTCACCGTGCCGCTGGCAAATTATGGTATTTTCATGTACTAGAAATGGGGTATTAAGTTGCTGTTAATGATTGATAGAGGTAACTCTGAAATAAATAGACAAACTTGGAACAGTAGTATACAAAAGAATAGTACATTATGATTCCATAATACAGAAAATTATACAAACAGAAAAAAAAACTGGAAGAATATGCAACAAACTCAGTAGATTACATCCAGGAAGCGGTTCTTTCAATTTCAGTATATATAAAAAATAATGTATTACTTATACTTAGTGAAAGATAAGATTTTAAAATAGCATATCCTCCTTCATGCATTAAAATGATTTTATGTGAATATAAAGTAACTTCTTTCTACCCCCTCAACAGGATGTATATACTCCTACATCAGGTATATTAACGTTCTGCATATTTTAGGTTATAACTCCTAGATAGCATAAGTTTTGATTTCATTCCAAATACCTCCAAATACATAAAAGTTATTCTAATTAAAAATGAATTTAAAAATCTTAAAAGTAATGCAAAGTTAAACATCTTTGAACAGAAACTCAAAGTCATGATGATGACTACTTAAACATTTTCAAAATTACATAAATCTCTGTTATTGCCAAGGGAAATGAATTGCCTAAAACAAATTACTCTGAATGTGAACAGTGTATGACAGTGATAATGGCAAGAAGAATGTCTGTCAGTTCAACCAAGTATGGGGTAAAGGGGCAATCTATAAGCATAAAGGTGACTCTCATCATAAATCTGAGTCGAATTTTCCTAGAAAAATGTAACCTTCGCCGGGCGTGGTGGCTCACTCCTGTAATCCCAGCACTTTGGGAGGCCAAGGCAGGCAGATCACAAGGTCAGGAGATCAAGACCATCCTGGCTAACATGGTGAAACCCTGTCTCTACTACAAGTAGGAAAAATTAGCCGGGCATGGTGGCGGGCACCTGTAGTCCCAGCTACTCTGGAGGCTGAGGCAGGAGAATGGCGTGAACCTGGGAGGTGGAGCTTGCAGTGAGCCGAGACCATGCCACTGCACTCCAGCCTGGGTGAGAGCGAGACTCCGTCTCAAAAAAAAATAAGAAAGGAAAGAAAAATATAACCTCAATATGTTTGGTTTTGATATCAGTTTATTTCTGTATAACAAAGAATAAAAACAGCCAAACAGCCCAAATTTTGTTCCTCGAGTACGCTGTAATGGGGGAAAGAAATCCAAATAAGTTGGGAATCTTGACTTTTCCTTTACTCCTGACTAATCTACTTAAGAATTTAATTTTTTATATAAACTAGTCGATATTATTCTTTCAAAGGGAATCCTAAATTCTATTATAATCAACCAACTATTCCATATTTCTTTCTTTTTTTTTTTTTTTTTTGAGATGGGAGTCTCGCTCTGTCGCCAGGCTGGAGTGCAGTGGCACAATCTCGGTTCACTGCAACCTCTGCCTCCCAGGTTTAAGCAATTCTCCTGCCTCAGCCTCCCGAGTAGCTGGGACTATAGGCGCGTGCCACCATGCACAGCTAGTTTTGTTTTGTTTTTTTTTTTTTATATTTTTACTAGAGACGGGGTTTCACCATGTTGGCCAGAATGGTCTCGATCTCTTGACCTCGTGATCCGCCTGCCTCGGCCTCCCAAAGTGCTGGGATTACAGGCATGAGCCACCGTGCCGGCCAATCTTCCCATATTTCTAACTCCCAGTTTTTTCCTAGGATTGAAACTACTCCAAAATTTCCTGCATATATAAATTAAAACATTATTGCATTCTAATATTATCTAGAACCATGAGTGCTGTCTAGGATGAACCAATCCCATATTTACTTTCTCTTCCTCCCCCAAATCCCAATAAACAGAATTTTTTTTCTTTTTTAAAGAAATGCTTTTAACTGGGCTCAGTGGCCCACACCTATAATCCCAGCACTTCAGGAGGCCAAGGTGGGAGGATCACTTGAGCCCAGCAATTTGAGGTCAGCCTGGGCAACATAATGAGACTCTGTTTCTACAAAATAAAAGAAATTGACCAGGTGTGGTGGCACACACCTGTAGTCCCAGCTACTCAGGAGGACAGTGTGAACCCAGGACTCGGAGGCTGCACTGAACTATGATCACACCACTACTCTCCAGCCTGGGCAACAGAGAGAGACTTTCTCTGTAAAAAAGAAAAAAAAAGAAATATTTTGATAATTTACTAATTACAGCTATGTTAGTCACTGACATTGGTGAAATTTCTACCTGTTTTTTAATTTCCAAAAACTATTCAGCATCAAACTGCCATATGTGTATCAGACATCTTCTACAGCATCCACACTAACTCTAGCTGCAAAGCTCTTTTATGCATTCAACAAGTATCTGCTACTCCCGGGCACAAGGTGTTATTCTGGGAGTGGGAAAAGAGGAAATGAAATTTAAAAACTCAGATACAGACATGCCTACAAAGGGCTTATGGTCTAGAGGCAAAGGATCAAGAGTTTCTAGAAAAAAAATATACATTTTGGAGAAGAGGGAACAGGAGAGACACTTCCTGGATGATGTAATATGTGATCAAACCCTTGAAAAATAGGATAAATTTAGATGTAGCAGAGTTTGGAAGATAAGGGAGGAAAGGAGTATTCCAGAAACAAGCATAGTAAAAAGAAAAAACAAAAAATTCTTCTTAATGCAACATAAAATAGCCCAAGTAAAATAAAGAAATATGCCATGCTTCAGTATTTATGTAAAGATTATCAGCTTAATAAAAATGTGCCTTTTCCTTTACAATACATTTTATAGGCCGGGCATGGTGGCTCATGCCTGTAATCCCAGCACTTTGGGAGGCCACGGTGGGAGAATTACTTGAGCCCAGAATTCAAGACCAGGCTGGGCAAAACAATCAGACCCTATCTCTATTTTTAAAAAGTTAAAATAAAACAAAATAAATTTTATAGCATGAATACATACAGAAAATATTACAAATGAGCTTTTTGATGTAAAAAAAATTCATAAAGAATACAGTCAGCCAAGTGCGATGGCTCACGCCTGTAATCCCAACACTTTGGGAGACCAAGGCGGGCAGATCACTTGAGGCCAGTTCGAGATCAGCCTGGACAACATGACGAAACTCTGTCTCTAAAAATACAAAAATTAGCCAGGCATGGTGTCATATGCCTGTAATCCCAGCTGCTTGGGAGGCTGAGCACGAGAATAGCTTGAACCTGGGAAGTGGAGGTTGCAGTGAGCTGAGATTGTGCCACTGCACTCCAGCTTGGGCAACAGAGCAAGACTCTGTCAAAAAAAAAAATTCATGTTTGTGCTATTTATCTAAGCTTTTATATTAATATAACAATTGAAATTCCTCATACTTAAAAAAAAATCCGGAAGTCTGAAAGTAGGCAAAACAAACAACAGCTAATTTATAAAATAATTTAACCTATTTGTAGGCCGGGTGCAGTGGCTCATGCCTGTAATCCCACCACTCTGGGAGGCCGAGGCGGGAGGATCACCTGAGGTCAGGAGTTCGAGACCAGCCTGACCAATACAGAGAAACGCTGTTTCTACTAAAAAATGATTTTAACACTGTCTTCATTTCCCAAAGATTACTGAAGTCATGTGAAATAAAAGGCATTAGAGATTCTATTTTTCTGACAAAATATTTAAGAGCCTTCCTTTTCTTCTAAGCCAAGTAATTAGGGCTCCTTTATATATACATCATATACACAACACTTCTAGACAGGAAAAGATCTAGCAGTGGTAAGTTTTTCTTTCTCATTTTATGAACCCTAACACAAATTCCACAGACCATCTATGACATGAACTTTCTGACTTTTCCTGTATTTCCCTCTTTCATAATTAGTCATTCTACTTTAGGACAAAAATTTGCCATACAAGATCCTCTCTCATATAACATTTCTTTCCATCATAACTTTTCTTACCATAAATACATCTTCATATCCACAACTTTCTTTAGATCTCTCTCCCCGACTGATTTCTGATGCCCACCCAAACCTAAAAGGTCAGATAACACAAAACAAAACAGAGGAGAGCCTCAGATTTTGAGAGAGACCTGTCTGCCTGAAGTTCTTGGGGTTCCATGAGGACAATAGAGGTTTCTCCTAAAATGGGTTTTGTAGCACCTTCTGTTTTTCTTTAAGGAGTCCCAGGCTGTCAGAAATTACCTTAGATCCTCTCATGTGGGCACTGAGTGGCAACAAGACAGACTAGGGAACAGTGGCAACAAGGCAGACTAGGGAACAGTGGCAACAAGACAGACAACTGAGCAGAAAAAGAAAAACTTACTACAGTCCCCACTGTAAAGATGGATAAACTGAGGCACCATGCAGTTTAAAAATTCATGTTACATAGAGTTGGGCTCCACAACTCACTCTCTTAACCATCCTGTAATTTTGCTGAATCTATGCCCAGTCACTGATGCACCTGTATGGTACCTCATGGCCCCCTTAGAGCTTAGAACCTGGGTTTCATTCCTGCTCTACAGCTATATAATTTAACAATTTTCCTCCGAATTTGTTGGATTCTAACCCTATATTTCTAAAATTTTATTAACATTACTGAATCTTAAAGGGAGCTGTGATGTCTTTAGTCTTTAGAAATATTAAATCTATAAACAACTATACGCAGTTAAACTGTATTCAAATTTCTACATGCTTTAAAACATTGAGGCAAAGCATTAAGAAACACACCTAAGAAACTGCAACCAATCTACTCTGGACAAAAATTTAGATACTATCTCTTCAAAATAAGCTACCTAGTGATATTTATACATATTCTTCCATATACCAACAGTATCTTACATGTTCATAGCCTTAAAAATAACTAAAGTGTCAGAATTATAGGCATTACACATTTCTGTTGGCTTGAAAAATGGTACAAAACGCATAAACTTCTAGAGTGATCCGTTTAATAAAAGAGTTCATACCAAAGGTAATAATACTAGGAATCAAAGAGGGCTAAACACTGCAGGTTCTTAAAGGCGAAACTTAATGAAACCTTGTTTTTGGTTGTGAATGTTTGCCTTACAACATTATACACGATTCTCCCCTCTTCTTTTTCCTCTTGCAAAGATGTGGTGATGAACCCTTTGCCATGCAGATGACAATACTCTTGAAAATGGTGGCAGAAAAAAAAAATGAAGGGAATATGGTTCACTTAATCATCTCATAAATTAGAACTTATTACCCCTGTGACTCTTGGATAGCTCCAGAAAAAAATATGTGACAGAGATGAAATGGCTGTTTTGCTACCAATATTTTATGTGATGTTTCATTTTTTGATTCCTTGAATGACACAACACATTAGCCCATTTATGCCAGAGGTTGCAATTTTTGAATTTTTGCGTAAGTGAAAAATCAGACCTTGTCGATGACATTTAACAGTAAGATATAAATAATTTCCACATGCTTAGCGTGGAACACTAGGCATAAGTGGGCTAACACAATTATGAAAGCATAGCTATTCAAGTAACTAATTATACAACTGATTTCTTTTTCCTCATCTCTAAAACATAGTAAGGGATCAGTTATTTAAAAAACACAACAGTGACAAGTATTTTATTTTTAACTCAGTTTTGGTTTGTTAAGGCTATTGCTTGGCATAAAAATACAAAAACAGGAGGAGAAACAAGAATACAAACATGAAATAGTAGTAGCAAAAGAAAATGAAGAGGAACAAGAAAATGAGAAGAAAATACACAATGGAAGAAAGGAAAAAGAACAGGTGTGGGAATTAGAAGGCCTATCATATGACACTTTTTATCCCCTCCTCGATTCATAAAATTTGAGTAACTCCAAGAGTATCACAACAAAAAACAAGCAAAAGGATACACAAATAGTCACCCTCTAAATTTTGTTAAGAATGAGATAATGCTGCCACTCACGCCTAGCTCAGGCACCAGCAGGAGGAGGGCACACTCCAGAGATTGCAGGAGAAGGGGGAGGACTCCTCTTTGTCCTAGGTGTACCACCACCACTGCCACCGAGGCCTTCGTTACAGCACCCACAGGTTCCTCCCCACCCCAGAACGGGGTGGGCCCTGCAGTGCTCCTACTCCCCCTTCCCGGCCCCCAGACTTCCTACTGCTACCACCACTAGCGCCGATGCCAATACAAGCAGTTATCCTCAACGTACCAGCCCACCCTACCAGGATCCTACCACCAGGCCCCCGTGGGTGCCCTCCTACCGCTCCAGTCGAGCTGTGGTCTCCATCTCCAACACCAACTGCATGAGGCAAGCTGCAGAGCCACGTCATCTGCTCGACCGTACCACAGGCGGCAACTCCTTCTCCTCCTTCAGCCTGGCTTGGAGCAGCTGGGCAGGCAAAGCAAGAAAAGCCGAAAACAGGACTCAGGGATTGGAACCATTAGAGCCTCACCTCGTTATGCTGGTGACTGGGTGTCAGGGATCAGTTTCATTGAAGGCACTCACACCCACCTTCCAAAGTCCAACCTCTCCTTCTGGCAAAAGCTGGCCAGGAACTGGGGCCTGGGGTGGGATCGAGTGCCTTCACTGAAACCGGCCCCTGGCCAAGTCCAGCTGGCCAGGAATTGCTGGGCCCACCAAGGCTGCCCTCCTCCAGGAGCCTGAGTAGGAGAAACTCAGACCCAGCCAGCCCTCCCCACCCAAGGGCTGATTCCCATTCCTGACACCTCCACCCACAGTGCCCTGTCTCCCACTTCCCCCATGGTGCATACTACTCCCTGCCCGGTAGTCCCAGGTGGTCTTCGCAACACAAAGCATGAGGGCAGACCAAGAAACCACAGTGGGTGTGGAGGCCCTACCGTGCAATCCAGCTCGAGCAGAGAAAATCGCCTTCTAGAGTCTGGAGTCTGAGAAGAGGAAAACGATCCCTTACTTGGAAGCTACGAGAAGAAGGAGGCCACTGCTGTCGCTGCCGCTGCCACCTCCTCAGCTCGCCAATGCCGCTGGCAGTGTAGCCCCCATGGCACCCCTAATCTGCCCCCTGCCACTAGCAGTGTAGCCCCCGGATAGCACATCCAACACTCCCTACAGTTTCAGGCAATGTAACCCCAATCCCCCCCACAAAAGCCCCCCCACACACACTTCAGGGAGCATACCACCCAATAGTGCCCACAATCTGACCCAGCCACAGGCAGTTCAGCTCCTAATGGTGCACCCCCCAGTCACAGACAGTGCAGCACCCAACAACGCCCCTAAACCACCCCCCACTGCCAGCATTGTAGCCCCGGATAACTCCACCCAACCCACTCCCTGCCGCAGGCAGTGCAGCATTAGATAGCACCCCTAATCCTATCCCAGCCACCAGCAATACAAGCTAGTGTACACAATCTGCCTCCCCCGACCACCCCTGCCACCACGGGCAGTATAACCCCAGATAGCCAGGCAACCTGCCCCACCACCAGCAATGCAAACCCAGAGAGTGCCCCAAACCAGACCACTGCCACAGGCAGGGTAGCCTCTAGCGGTGAACCCCAATAGGACACCCAACCCTTGCCCCCAGAGACATACAGGGCAGGCCCAGAAAACTCACCTACCCCATCACATGTCTACCACCGTGGCTGAGCTGCAGTCTCCGACGTTACCACCAACCACAGCGAGGCGAGCCATGGTGGCACAGGTTCCAGCCTCCAGCATGTGGCAGTACCTCTTCCTTCTAGTCCTCCTGCTGCTGACCGCTCTCCTACTGCTCTATCGCCACCACCAACCACAGCAAGGTAGTGACCTAGGCTCCAGGCTCCATCCATCCTCCACCCTCCAGCAGGCGGAAGGTTGCGGCCTCTTCCAGTCCCCTAAGCTTGACACAGAGCTACTCCTCCGCTCGACACAGAAGAGCCTGAAATGACCTGACGCCACCTCAGCATGCTTTATATGTGAGGTTATGCAAATGCAGTTCCTGGACTACATGTTCTGATTGGATGAGAGAAAAACCTCTAGGCCTACTCTGATTGGACTTTATTTTCATGCTGTGATTGGTTGTGTTAAGACTTGCTCTCATCCAATCAGAACATGATCATAAAGTCCAATCAGAGTAAGCCTGGAGGCTTTTTTCTCATCCAATCAAGACATGCAGTCCAGGAACCTCCGTGGGCATTACCGCAGTATATAAATGATGCTGAAGCAGGACCACGTTTTTTCAAGTTCCTGTATCTTCATGTTGAGTTCTTGCTGCCCAACGTAGAGGACTAGGAATCAGGAGTCGGTGGCCGTATACTGGTGGCTGGAGCCGCGGGAGCGCGGCTCGCCTCACTGCGGTTGTTGGCAGTGACGGAGAGAGCAGCGCGGCTGGAGCGGGCAGGAGAAGGAAAACACTTTTGGGATAGATAGAGGGGAGTAAAGAGGGTAGTTAGGGCCAAAGGGAAAAAAGGATAGCTTAGCCAGAGAAGACGTTGCAAAAAGATGGCAGCGAAAAGATGGTGGGGAAAAAAGTTTTTGGGTAGATGGAGGTGTAAAAACAGGGTGGGGAGCGGGAGGGAAGGAAAGTTTTGCAGAAAGAGGGTGGGTAAAAAGTTTAAGGGTAGATGGAGGGGGAAAAGAGGGTGGCAAGTGGGCGGAGGAAAGAGGGAGGTGATGGGGGAAAATGGGGCGAGCAGCAGGGAGAGAAGGTTTTGTGAAAAGATAGTGGGGAGAAAATACAGTGAGGGGGGAAAGTTTTTGGGTTGAGCAAAAGAGGGTAGCAAGTGGGAGAAGGAAAAAGAGGGTAGCCAACAGGAGGAAGACAAGGTTTTGTGAAAAGACGGTGGGTGAAAAGTGTTTTGATAGATGGAGGGGGGAAAGAGGGTGATGCATAGGAGGAAAGAGGGTGGCGAGAGGTAGCAGGGATGGGGGTTGGGAAAACAACGGAAAAATAGTTTGGGGTAGAGGGAGGGGAAAAAAGAGCACTAGTGGTAAAGGGGGGAGACTTTGAAAAGATGGTGGGGAAAGTTTTGGGGTGTAGATGGAGGGGGAAAGAGGGAGGTGAATAGGCGTGGGGAGGCGGCTTTGTGAAAAGACGGAGGGAAATGTTTTTGGGTAGATGGAGAAGGGAAAGAGAATGGCGAGGAACGGGGAAAGACGAAGAAAACAGTTTTTGGTTGGATGAAGCAGGGAAAGAGGGTAGTGAGCAGCAGGAGTGGAGAGTGTTTTGGGAAAAGACTGGGGAAAATGTTTTTGCTTAGATAAAGGAGCAAAAGAGGGTGATGAGAGCGGGACGGGGAAAAAGGGTGGCCAGGGATAAGGGGAAAAGAGGGTGGGAAGAAACTGGGGAAAGGGTTTGGGTAGATGGATGGGGAAAAGGGTGTTGAGCAGGAGAGTAGAGGCGGCTTTGTGAAATGAGGGTGGGCAAAAAATGATGAAGTTTGGGGGCAGATGGTGAAAGAAAAAGGGTGGTGAGAGGGAGGGGGCCAAAGGCCGTTTGGAAAAGAAAGTAGGGAAATAATGGTGGGGGACAAAGGTTTGGGGTAGATTTTTTTAATAAGATCATTTGTATGTTTGCTTTTCAGTAGTTTGAGTTCTTTATGTATTTTGTGTATGAACCCCTTGTGTGATGCATGGTTTGCAAATACTTGCTTCCATTATCTGGGTGGTTTCGTTTTTATTAAATTTTAATTCAATTTAATTTTTTTTAGACGCAGTCTCGGTCTGTCGCCGAGGTTGGAGTGCAGTGGCACGATCTCTGCTCACTGCAAGCTTTGCCTCCTGGGTTCACGCCATTTTCCTGCCTTGGCCTCCCGAGTAGCTGGGACTACAGGCGCCTGCCACCACGCCAGGACACTTTTTTTGTATTTTTAGTAGAGACGGGGTTTCACTATGTTAACCCAGGATGGTCTTGATCTCCTGGCCTCATGATCGGCACGCCTCAGCCTCCCAAAGTGCTGGGTGTACAGGCGTGAGCCACCGCGCCCGGCCTGTTTTTTCATTCTACTGATTGCTTCCTCTGCTTTGCAGAAGCTTTTTTTTTTTTTTTTTTTTTTTTGAGACGGAGTCTCGCTTTGTTGCCCAGGCTGGAATGCAGTGGCATGGTCTCAGCTCACTGCAAGCTCCGACTCCCGGGTTCACGCCATTCTCCTGCCTCAGCCTCCCGAGTATGGGACTGCAGGCGCAGGCTACCAAGCCCCGCTAATTTTTTGTATTTTTAGTGGAGATGGGGTTTCACCGTGTTAGCCAGGATGGTCTCAATCTCGTGAACTCGTGATCCGCCTGCCTCGGCCTCAAAAAGTGCTGGGATTACAGGCGTGAGCCACTGAGCCCGGCCTGGAAACCTAACTTTATTTTTTAGTGTTGTATTTGTATATATACTTTTAACAGCCCTGAGTTTTAATAAAGTTCTTTTAAAAAATGTATCTTATATTTCAGAAATATACCCTAAGGAATGTGATTAGTTGGGTGGCATGTTGTTTAGTTTTTACAATTGAAGGATTGTCATTCCTTTGTACAAAAAAAAAAAAAGTGAATTTTTATCATATACTAGAGGAAAGAAGGCAGATACTAAATAATAAATATTGTATGCTTCCACGTAAATAAAATTTGAAATTATATAAAGACAAAATGCATTGAACTTTTCTGGGGTTGAAGGGAATTCATTGGCAAAGGTCGTGCAATAAATGTGTAGGTGAAGGGAATATTCTATATTTGATTGTGTAGGTGGTTAGCTTTATAAATTTGTAAAACTGAACTGGACTAAAATGTGTGCCTTATACGCAGATTATTCTATAAAATTGCTTAAAACTAGTTAGGAGAGAATCAGTCAAGGGGAAAAGAAAGAAAAGGCACGTGAAAAAATAATGCCAATGCACTAGAATTATCTTTGATGACATTAAATATAGCCTGGTCTTCTTTTAATTCTTTTTAAAATTTACGTAGATTTCTCAATCCTTTGATACTTTTTCCTCAACACATCTTATATTCTCATATGTTAATGTATGGCTACATAGGAGAGGGCTCTCTTACAGTTGGACTGGAACAGCTTGATATTTATATTGATATTTACATCTAGAGATGCATCGGAAGTGTAACACTGACCCGTGAGCAAGATGAAAATGGCATGTGCTAGTTAGTGATTCATAATGTTGCTTTAAGTTTAGTGCCAACTGGTCTACATCGTTGAGAATGTTTAGTTTGATGGTTTACACAACTTGGCTTAAGAAGTATATGACCAACAATGTATGAGGGAGCCTGCTGTAAAGACTTTTCTGCACTTACCTTTAATTATTATAGTAAGCTCAAATCTTGAAGGTTCATAATATATACAGATAAACTGTGTCCGTGAGACTGAGAAAGGATCTTTAGGGAGAAAGGCTCTGTTCCTGAAAGACAGACATTCAATGATTTCCTGCATTTTATTTCTGTTGTACTTTATCTTTATTAAACACTAATAAGGTGGTTCTTATAGGGCCTCATAGGCCTTTTTAGTTTTCCAACCTATTCATACTTGGTGCAAACCTAGTAATTTTTTGCGTGATAGTATTGGGATTTTACTCTGAGGCTAGGCTTCACACTGTAAAAACAGCTTTTTGGAATTGTATCATTTTCAGTCTTTCCATCGTGTTCCACTGTCCCAGCCACACACACACACACACCAGATATGAAGACTACAAGCAACCTCAAAAGGTGTAACACGTCTATAGTAGATGTTTTTACCTCTTGTGAAATCTAAGGAAAATATACTAAAAGTGAAGGCATCAGTAAAACAGTATCATTTTAGGTTGACCTCGAGTATTTCAACATCAGTCTAGCTTCAGAACAATACATTTGCAAGGGGAAATGGGGTACTTTTGTGGTTTTTTACACCTGTTATTTCAATTGAAATTGAAAAAAACTAATTTGAACTAACTATAACCATGAAAAGAAGGTTTTATCAGTATTGAAATAAAATAGCAAAATGCATTTGTGGGTCTGACCTCAGGACACATTTTAAATAGTCAATACTACCTCTAACTCATTCCCCTTTCTCTGAGCATCAGCTTTTATTCTTATTCCATCTTACTTAATTTGGCACTGACAGATACAGACTCATTCTTACAACATATACCATCAGAAGTGAAACCTTCACACTCTCCAACTCTTGAAAAATCTGAGATGCACTTTGACTATTCTCAGATCATGGATCTATTACTTGGATCAAAAAGTACTGCACAGGGAAGTAGATACTATGATCTCTGACATTACAGTTTGAAGGCTGGAGTGAGAAAGGGATAGCTCCCTAATGAGGGAGTATCATAGAAATGATATTTTCGTGGTCATACTTTTGTGAACTAGGCAGACATCCCTTCATGTCAACTACATCTCTACTTTGAACAGATAAATATCCATGCATATACAAAATTATATAGTAATATAAGCATGACTTTTCATTAAAATTTTAACCAAAACAGTCTATTTAGGTGAATAAATACTGATACAGGAGATAGTTTTGCTTGAATGATCTTTACCCTTGGGGAGACATTTAGGTCATACTTTGTTATGAAATGACTGTCCACCATATTTATGAGTAAACTTTCATAATTTCTTTATTGTCTAAAGTAAGCACAAAAACCCTTTCAGTTAATTAATATCCCTTTTTAATATACAGAATAAATATAAGAAAATAGCACAAATGGTATTATGCCAGCACACAGAAACAGTTTCTGTTAAAAGTCAATCCTGTATTTTGAGAACTTGACAAAATCATAATTGAAAATAGTGTGTTGTCTTACATGCAGATGTTGTGTAATCAGGGACATCCAAATCAACTTACATCCAAATATTTCACAATTAGTCTTATTCTGTGAAGTATTATAAAACTACGCTCTCAGGAATATAAAAGCACAAAGGGAGCCAGGACTCCAAATAGCCATTTATTCATTTCCTAAGGTTAGGTACAATGAGGACTGCATTTTCAACATTATCAGGGCCATACAGACATTGGAGCTTAAGGATAAGATCCAATTTCATAGCAATCTGTTAAAGGATAATCCAGTGTAATGACCCAAGTGTTCACCATAATAATTACCATCTTGAGTGATGATGCTATGAATAGAAAGGAACACTGCATCTCTAAAATAAACTATGTTTATATGACATGAGACCAATTTGATGGAAAGAAGGCAAACTGAATGGTAATTTTGTTTTTTTAATTGTTTTCATTGTGTGTACTCATCTGAAAATACAATACCATATAATTAGAAAAGTTATAACAAAATAAGACTGGAAGCCTTAACTTTTTATATCAAATGTTCTGCACACAAATATAGCCTTTTACTGAAGATCTATGGCTCCAAAATATTGGTAGCTATAATTATGCTTTGTAAAACAGAAGCTATGAATGCCTTACTACAGAAAGACACAAAGAACCATTTCCTTACTCACTCGCTGCTAGTAGACCCCGAGGCACAGCATTTCCTGCCCAGATACCTGATTATTAATCCAGTTTTTGTTAGGGGTATACTAACAAACACAGATTGGTGTTTAAACCAGTTAATGTAAAGAAATGCTGTAGGAACTGAAATATTCCTTTTAAATTAACAAAAGTGTTCTTTCTAGATAGTTACATGAGGACCCAAATGTATACCAGAAAATCATTTGATGAATAAGGAATTAATAAAAGAATGTTTTGTTATATGGTTTTAGTACTTTGTTGGTGCCAGGTTAAAGACATGTGGCCCTAGATAGGATAACTCTACAGAAGAGAATTTAATTTGTTTACCTGCTTCACTAGAAATCCAACAATTAAGGCAGTGACTCTATTTTCCAATATTCATTTCCTCCATTTTCTCATCTCTTTTTGATTGATGGTATCATTTCGTTATTTCATTTTCATTGACATGGAATTCATTTTGGCTAAAATGACTTTTTGACTATTTGTGTGTATGTATATATATATGATTTTAAAATCAATGAACAATATTGTTTCTCTATTTCCAAGATTATCCCTCTATATTCTCTAAAGTAGATACTGTGAAACAGTCCAGA
The DNA here is from genome assembly GCF_000001405.40 of Homo sapiens. Classification (NCBI taxonomy): domain Eukaryota; kingdom Metazoa; phylum Chordata; class Mammalia; order Primates; family Hominidae; genus Homo; species Homo sapiens. The sequence goes on along the minus strand of NC_000017.11, from coordinate 21,606,806 downwards.
TATGAGTCTAGGAATGGCAGTACGAAATACTGTAAAACTGGAAGCAACTTAGGAGGTAATCAATAGGGAAAATGAAAATATAATTGACTCTAGTTAATGTAATGATGCATTTATTTTACATTTTTCTTGCCTTCCTGAGATAAGTCCTGCCTGATTATAGTATATGTTTTATGTATTGCTGAATTTTGATCATTAGCATTTTGCTGAGGATTTTTTCCATCTATTTTTGTTGAAGATATTGTTCTGTGTTTTTGTTTTGTTTTTTTTTTTTTTTGATGCTATTGTCTGGTTTTGTTACTAGGGTAATACCAGCTTCATAGAATAAACTGGGAAGTGTATTCTCTTTTTTTTTTGCAAGAGTTTTTAAATAATTGTATTAATTCAACTTTGAAAGTTTGGTAGAGGCATTCTTGGCTCGAATTTGTTGCTGTTGTCATTGTTTCCTGAGGTGGTAGTTTTGATTACTAACTTTATCTCTTTACTTGATAAGATTTTATATTTCTCCTTGACTCATTTTTGCTAATTTGAACCTTTCTTAGAATTTGTCCAGTTCTTTAAAAATTTCTAAATTTTAGATATAATTGTTCATAGGTACTTTTATAATAATTTTTTATTTAAGTTTAGTGTCCTTTTAAAAATTTCATTAATACTTGAATAGTTTCTCTTTCTTGTTGGTCGGTCTATCTAAATTGTGGCCACTGTTGATGTGTTCAAAGAAACAATTTTTGGCTTTGTTGAGGTTCTCAATTGTTTTTCTATTTTGTATTTCACTAATTTGTATATCCCTAATACTTCCTTGTGGTTGCTGTAGTTTTAATTTGCTCTTCTTTTTTCAGTGCCTTATGGTGGCAGGTTAGAGAATGTTATTTTTGAGTATGAGAACTACTTTTATTGCATGACATAAGAGATATTATGCATTCTTAAAGTATTTTATCTTTAATTTTTAAAGTATTTTCTAATTTATCTTATTTCTTTTTGGACCCATTGGTTATTTAATAGCATGTTGTTTAATTGCCACATAATTCTGAGTTTCCCAAATTTTCCTATTGCTGATTTATTATTTTACTCAATTGTTGTCTGAAAATATACTTTGTATGATTCCAATGTTTAAATTCATTGAGGTCTATTTTATGGCCTGGGATACGGTATTCCTGGATAATGTTGCGTGTGCACTTGCGAATCTACTGTTGTTACAGTGTTAAATGTCTAATCACTCTAGTTATTTTATAGCATTGTTCAAGTGTTCTATTTCTTTGTTGATCTTTTGCCTAGTCATTTTATCCATTTGTGAAAGTATTAAAGGCTGCAAGAAGTATGTTAAATTGTCTAACCTTCATTTTTGGAGGTTTCTATGTCAATGGATTTTGAAGTCTTTTCATCACACATATGTATGCTCGTAATTATTTATTTTTGAGATATTGGCCCTTTTATTTTTATGAAATATCTCTCTTTACCTCTGTAACCCCTTTTGTTTTAAAGACTGTTTTTTTCTGATATTAATGTAACAATTCCAGCTTTCTTGTGGTTACTGCCTGCATCATATAACTTTTCTATCCTTTTTTTTCTATGAATTTTCATCTTTGGATCTGAAGTGTGTCTTCTGCAGACAACATGTAGATGGATCTTGTTTATTTAATTTGTTTTTCCTCCAGTCTGACAATCTTTTATTTGAATATTTAAATTCATTTTCACTTGAGGTTACTAGTATAGATTTACATCCATCATTTTACTTCAGTTTTCTGTATACCTTATGTCTTTTCATTCCTCTATTCCTCCTTTACTGCTTTCTTTTGAATTAGGTATTTTTTATAAAACATTTAATTTAAATTTAATAATATTTTATCTATATTTTTTCAATGTTTCCCCTAATTGTTACTTTAGGGTTTACTGCAGACATCTTATCACAATCGATTTTAGGTGCATAACAATTCTAGTGGCATATATGTATATATAAATTTTACTTTTGTTCACTGTTGTGTACTTTGGCTGTCCTTTTTGTGCTATTATGGCTGTACACATTACATCTATATATGCTATATACCCAATAATTTATTGTTATAACTGTTACTTGATGATATGTTTTGTTGTTTTGTCCTCTCCAAAGTTCATGTTGAAACTTAATTTTAATGTGACAGCATTAAGAGCTGGAACCTTGAGGATATGATTAGGGTATTAGGGCTCTGTCCTTATGGATGGTATGAGTGTGTTATACCATCCATAGTGTATAGAAGGGCTGGAGGGAATTAGGACATTAGGACCCTTTGCCTTTTCATCCTTTTCACTGTATGAAAATACAGCATGCACCCCCTCTGGAGGATGGAGTATTCAAGGCACCTCAGCAGACACCAAAACTGCCAGCAAATTGATCTTAAAATTCCAGCCTGCAGAACTATGAGAAATAAATTTCTTTACAAATTTCTCAGTCTCTGGTATATATATGTATCAGCATGAACAGACTAACACACTTGACATAATTTTATGTCTTAAAAAGATAAAAAGAAATGTACTATGTATTTACGGCTTTTGTTATATTAGCAGTCTTATTTATTATTTCAGGTCTTTTCATTTGTTCAGCATTTGGAACTTCTTCCTGACACCAGAAGGGCTCTTCTTAGCTGTCTTTTTCCTGGGTTATTCCTGGTAAACTAGCTGACCTTTGTTTCAAAGCATATGTCTCTAATAAAGTGCCAGTCTCTCTTATTTGCTTTTTACCATCACTTCATCGTTTTTCAAAGTACCCTTATGGTTGAATTTCCCCAAACTCTTCTTTTGGGAAAAGCTTTACACTCTCTGCTGTATGTTCTGCCCCTTCCTTTGGGCAAAACTTCTGAGCTTTGGCTCTGGTGATTGCAGCAAAGAGAGCAGCATTCTCCTCTCAGAGTGACAGCCCTACTTTGAGACTGGGTCACTGGGATGAGAAGTAGCCTTTGGTAATCTCAGCTTTGCCACTCCTGGAATGAGAACTTTGCCTTACAGACAAACCAGAAAGAAGGCAATCAGGGCTCAGTGTTCTCAGTGTGTTGCACCTAAACAGTCCTCATTCCATGAATTAGAGCTGGTAGGAAGAAGTGACATCCTACTTCTTGGCCACATTCAACAAAAGCTTAACCTCAAGAAAAGGTAGTGGCAGCAGGTGGGGGTTGAAATGAAAAATTCTGATGCACTGCTACTCCCAGAAAGATACTATAGCCCCCCAATGGGGTCTAGTAAAAATCCTGTGTTCTTGGCTACATTGCCTTGAGTAGAGTTTGTATCAAGATAGGCTGTGAGAAAAAGAGGTAAGAATGGGTTGTGGATCAAACGCAAAAAACTCTCACTGTTCTTAGTGAGTTTCAGTAGATTTTCTTGAATAAATACTTCATCATTTTCTATGTACCATTATGACTTTTCAAGTGACATAGGTGATGGTTGTTTTATAATTTTCAACAATTTTATAAAAGATCCATGGAACTCTTCACATTGCCATTCTAGAGGTGGAACTTCTGCATTTATTTCTTATGCAAGGAAATTAAGGTTTTCTTTCAGTTAATTTCTCTTCTTTCTTCTGAAATATGCTTTGGAATCTCACTCTCTGCAGCAAATTGGGTCTCAGTGTATTTCTTTCTCCAAGAGAAGTCTGCTAGATACTCAAATAATTTTTGTTTTATATTGTTATGTTTGAAAGATTGTTTTGTTGTTAAAAGACAATAGGAAGATCAACAGGAAACCCTCACATTCATCGTATGAATATTATCTTTTCATTCGGAAAGTTAAAATATATATGAGTGCTCATAAAGCTTTAAAAAGAAGTGGATTAAGTAATCAGTCTCCCTAGGCAGATAAAAAAGCACATGATATTTTGGTATTCCCCAACTTTTATTATTTAACTTTCATGTTCTAGCAAATAACATTCAACAATTTGTCAACTTATTTGCAGTCATTTATATTTTATATTATTAATTCCATTATTTATGCATGTGTTGAATAGACTTAAATATATAGAGTAGATGGCTTTCTGTTTTCCTGGCTTTCACTCCCTTTCTCAAGGCCTTGGCTTGTTCTTTAGCCCAAAGGGAGTGGGGTGGACAGACTACCTCCGAACCTTGGGTGCCTTTGATTTCTTTCTTTGTATTTGATGTCATTACAATGAACATTGATGCCTGCCATGTGCCAGGACTGAGTCCCGGATGCCCAGAGGAAGGAGGCACCATTCCCCTGAGCCTGCTAATGGGTCTTCCATCCACCCTTCTCATTATAATGCAGAGTTCAGGTTTTGAGACTAGGAAAACTTGAATTTGACTCCGCTGGGTCACCTGCCAGCTGCTGACAGCCACTTAATTCCTCTAGGCCCAACGTCCCTATGTGTAAGCACAATACACAATTAGGGTTGCTGTGAGCCTTATGCAAGGAGAGGCTTGGAAGTGCTTGGCAGCAGCAGATGGTCCACCCAGACTGTCTGGGTAGGCCTCGGTCTGCTTCCCTCCAGGTCTGTGCCACCTTCCCTCAGGCTCCTGCAGAGGCAGCCCGTCACCTTGTGACCAGGCTGGAAAACAGCACCTGGCAGGAGGGCATGGGGACTAGGAGGGTCCCTGTCTGGAGCCCCTGCCAGTCGACCAGGCAGCATCTCTGGGATGGGTGGCTGGATGCCAGTGCTCTTGTCCTGGCACCCCTCTGTTTCGTGCACAGGCTCGTGGTGGCAAACTTCCAGACCTCTCCACATTCTCTGTCCTGGTGATGGTGGGAGTGTCTGCCCCTCTGAAAGGTGCCCCTGGAGGTTGGGAAATGGCCATGCCCTTTGAACCTCACTTCTGGCCCAGGGTCTGGCTCAGACAGAGTGCACAGAGTGTGTGTTGAGGAGGGTGGAGGAGTGGCAGCCCTTTACCTATGAGCCAGTGCTCTGCAGGTCTGCCCAAGGGCCAACATCCCAGGTCCCAGCATCTTCTGAGAAGACATCCCAGTACCAGGGTCCCTGTTGGATAGTGCCTCTGCCCATCTCTCCTCTGGCTCCCAGCAGGTTCATGGTTGCAGTGGCCTGTGCGGGAGGGGTGCAGGTGATGGGGCCAGGGACTTTTGCAGGAAGGAACTAGGACATTGGCCAAAGAGGCTGCTTCCTGACCCCAATTGTGTCCCTAATTTACTGTGTGACCTCCACAAGTCATTCAGCATGTCTGGTCCTGTTTCCCCTCCCCCCCACTAAGTGATGGGTACAATAATACCACAGTCCCTGTGACTGTGTTTTATTCAGGAGTCAGCTGTGGGCCTCCCTGACACTCCATCCCCAACAAGGTCCAGTGTTGGGAGTTAGTTGGACCTCCACCCCGATCTTATATTTTCCAGCAGCATTTTGGGAAGGAATATCCTGAAAGGTAAGCCTGCCTGTTATCTCCTCAGAGGGTTCAGGAAAAGCCAGCCCTCTCTATCCCCTTTCCCCACTATGATCCTCCAGGTCCGTTCACCCAATCATTAGGCATGAACTAATTGAACACCTGCCAAGACCCAGGTAAGCTTTTGCATCTAGAGAGAACTAAGACACAGCCATGGTCCTGGGGGTCTCACCCTCTTAGATGAGAGGCCAGCAGGAGAGGACATGTGGGTCGGGTTCAAGAGTGGAGTAGGGAGTTGCAAGTAGCTAGTGCCCACCTGGGCATGGTCTCATGGGCCCTTGCCAGGAATGTGCATGCCTTCCTGTGGCCATTGTAAGGCTTTTAGCAGAGAAGGGAATGAGATTGAGAAAAAAAATCTCCATGGCCAGGGCTGCAAGAATGGCTAAGGTCCTTGGTGGTACCATGGGCACGTGGCAATGACCGGAGGTTTGAGAAGTAGAGTAGGCAGGGTCTGGTGGTCGAGGGGCATCTAAGGGAAATCAGACCGAGTTCTAGCTTCCCAGTTTGCACTCATGGGCAGACAGTGGTGCTATTTACTGAGGGGAGATGAATTGAGGAAGAGTAGGATGGAGGAAACACCGGGCCTGCCTGAAGGTAGATGCCAGACAAAGGGAGGAAAAGAGAAGCCTGAGAGGAAGAAGCAGGCACAGATCAAGGAAGAGAAGCACAAGAGTGCTGGCCCAAAGGGCAAGAAGTGTCCAGAAGAAGGGGGCTACAGAAAGGTCAAGTTAGATAAAGGCCATAGTACACTTATCCAATGTGGCCACCAGAAGGCCAGCTGGTCAAGGGTGTTGCTGAAGGCAGAGGACAGTGGGTCAGGAGTGAAGGTGAGGATGCAGATCGAGAGTGTAGACAACAGGCAGAAGGGGAGAGAGATGGTGTGGATAGAGGGGGTGTAGGGTCATAGATGGAAATATCCCCAAATTTAGGTGGATGGGCAGGAGATCATTGCTGAGAAGGGATCTCTTAAGAAAGGAGAGGTGGAGCAGAACAGAGGGGGCAACGATGTGAGGGTGGCAGTGACACAGGGTCATTGGAGAGTGGGGACACCTGTCTGTTGGGCATCGGCTCATGGCTTAGGGCAGGTTACTGGGCAAGCCCACAGACCCCTAGAAGAGAGGAGCTCCTGCCATGTATGGCGCAGTCTTGTCATTCACCATGCACTCTAATTTCACATATTGAGTACTTGGTATGTACTGGTCACTGTGTTGGACACAGGGGACATAAAATATGGTAAGACACATTCCCAAAGGGGCTAACAGTACTGTGGCCTCTTACTCAAAGGCTTGCACCCAGGGTTAAGCTTCTAACAAGTTGGAAGGCAGACATAGACACCTCCATTTGCCTTGAGTACAAACAGATGTTCAGAGAGGTTTAGTGACTGGCCGAAGGTCATGCTGCCAGGAAATGGCTGTGTCTAGGACAGTTCCAGGTCTCCTGCCCATAAAACCCACCCAGGCCACCACGTTCAGTTTCAGCCAGGTGGCCATCAGGGTTGACCACCCTGTTAGACTCGGCAAGAAGAATACAAGCCAAAGGCAAGCACATGCTCATTCTTCTGATCATCCTCTGTGTGCCCAGCCCTGTTGTGGGCATGGGCAGCAGGGAAGGAGACATGAATTCCAAATCGTGACCTTGCCATCTGCAGCTGAGGGTGTAGTTGGAGAATTTGATGTCCCAGGAGAGGGATGTCTCCTGTTTCCTGGCTCCCTAGGAGAGGGCAGAAAGCAAGCCCTCTTGAAGGAGAGAGAGGGTGGCAAGGGGAAGGTAAGCAGGGACAACTCTTCCCCTCCCTCAAAGGAGGCCACTCAGGAATCCCAGGGAAGCCAGGCAAAAGCCCGGAGAATAAAGGGGCCTCTGAGCCTCCTCTCCACTGCTGCAGTCCTGACTCGGGGATTTCAGGGTGCAGTCATCAATCCCGCCTCAAAAGGAGAAAGCCCAGGCCAGTGGAGCCTGGCTGCTGCAACTTCTTATACGAACAGCTCTGGAGGCCCCACATCTGAGCTGGCAGCCTGGACTGGAAGGAGCTGGGACCCCTTGTTCCTCCTCCTCTTCTGGGAACTGTGAGTGAGCCCTCACCCATGAAGGACCAGGAGAGGGCCACAGCAGTTTCCTCACTCTCTCCCCTCCCTCCTGAACTTCCACCTGGTCCTCCCCTTCCCCCATCCTATAATCCATCCAGTGACCCTTCCTCTCTGGATCCAGGCCCTGCACCCACTTCCTAGGTCAAACTCCAAGGGCAGCCCAAAGTCACTGTGATTGAGAGAAAGAAACTGACTTCAGGACAGACCCATCTGTTCTACTCCGGGGCCAGCTGGGGGCCTTTGGAAAGGGAAGCTGGTATCAGCAGGAAGCTGAAGCCAAGTTGAGGGGACTCCAGTGAGTCCCCTTGCCTGTGCTCCCTCCTACAACAACTCCCCCACCCCCAAGCTGGAGAAGCCACCCTGGGTGGTTCAGCTGGATTACGCCTGGCCCAACCTTTCCCTCCCCTGACTCACCTGCAGACCCAGGCTGACCCAGAAGCCCTGCTGCCTGTCTAGTGTCTGACCTCTGAGAGAGCAGGTTCTTGGGTCTCCCTCCATCTTCACTTCACATTCCTGTCCACCAAGAGCTCTCTCCATCCACCCCTCCCTTCCCTTCAGCCCCCATGGTCCTCTGGGGATCTCCCTGAAGGCTGCACCTGTTATTCACCTCTTAGTCCCTGGCTCCCTGCAGCCTGCAGGGGCCTGAGATGGGCACCAGGACAAGCTCATCTGCCCTGTCGCATCTTTCCCCAGCCACAGCAGTTGCCCTCATTCTAGATGGATTTTCTCTCCCCTTCCTAGAGCTGACTGTGTCCAGTAGAGGGAGGGGTGGGCATTAGTATGGAATGCCAGCCTAGATGGATGGTCAGTGCCAGGCTCCGGGACATAGGAAAGTCCATGGTCATGACCAGGAGTAGCTGATCACCAGGAATGCAGTTGGGGCTCCATGCCCGAAAGCTAGGGAGACTCAGAGCTGGATCTGGGCCACAGAGTGAGGGGACAGTGGCTGTTGGTTTATATTGAGGGGGAAATGGGGCTGACAGGACTAAGGCCCTGGGGCTGAAGGGCATAGGAGCTCTTGCTAAAATTTAGGAGGCTCTGTTTGGAGGAATCTAGTGTTGATAGAATTTCCAGAGCTGCTGCCTGGGCCAGGTAAGACCCACGGGACCCTTCTGTCCAGCTTAGGCTCCTGGTGGGTGCCTACCCTGTCTCATCACCTTCCTCCTAGCTAGAGGTCCCCTATGAGGCATGAAGGTGGTGGGGCAGAGGCCCCTGTCAGGGCCTTCATGTCTGCCTGGCGGCTGGACCACCTGGCCGGAGAAAGGAAGCCGAGGTAGCAGAAGGGCCTGCCTGAAGATCCTCTGAGCCTTCCTCCTCCTCTTCTACTCCTTGGCCCAGGTGGTTGTATAAATTACTATTCACCCTATAAAAATTGTTTAACTACATCATAAATATTTGGATAATGGGGGAAATCTCAATCTGATTACTGTTAGCATTTTGGTTTCTTTTCATTTATTCTCCTTCCTATGTGTGTGTCTTGGGGATTTCCCATAAGGGCATCGCAGAGTACTGATGATTGTGCATTCTGCTTTTTCACTTACCGTATTCACCTAGTCAGCCAGTGTCAGCTGCTGTACTGTACCAGGCACTAGAAACCAATAAAAAAGTGTGATTCCTACACTCAGGTAGCTTATTTTCCAGGACATATTGGCCATCAAATCCAGTTAGGATGTGGTATGCAGATATGATATCATATGGTTATGATATGATATGGTACATCTTCAAGAAGCTGTGTCAGGGACATGATGGAGAAGCCACTCTCCCAGGATCTTGTCAGCAAGAGGGAAATCCAGGAGTGCTTCCCAGAGGAGGAAGGTGTTGACGGAGGTGAATTCTAAAGGATTCTACAGTTCCTTCTCATGAAACCGTCTGGACCTGGTGCTTTTTTCAGTGGCAGATTTTTTTCTCGTCAGTGGTAATTAAGTTTCTACTCATTATCTAGTTCATTAGGGGCACTTTATATTTTACTAGGAAAGCATTCATTTTCTCCAAATTTGTAAACTCTCCACTTTTAAAATTTATTATGAATTTCTTTGTGGCCAAATGATTTTTCTAAGATTTTCATAGACATAGAAAAAATATATATTTTCTATTTAAGGGATATAAGGTCCCATATATACCAAATCAAGTTTTTGGTTATTCAAACTGTCACTTCTTTTGTATCCTTTGGGGGAGGAGGCTTTTACTGTAGTTCTAACAGAGATTTAGCCTTCCACTCAAATTTTGTCTATAAATCTCTTCTTTTACTAGTTTTTGCTTTTTGTATTTACTATGATGCTGTGGGGAGCATGCAGATTTTGAGTGTTCTCTATAATTTTCTCTATAAATTTTCTCTATAAATCTCATCTTTTACTAGATTTTGCTTTTTGTATTTACTGTGATGCTGTTGGGAGCATGCAGATTTCGAGTGTTCTCTCATTACGAATTGTGCCTATCATTACATGGTGTCCCTCTTTATCCCATTTCAGTGCTTAACCTTAAATTTCACCCTTCTATTATTATTATGGCCACTCTTTATTTTACTTTAGCTTTTGCACTTTCCTGGTATCTCTTGGCATTCTTTTATTTTCCACCATTATCATTGTTTAAGTGTTTTTCTTGTATATATACATCACTGGGTTTTTTTGTTGGTGGTGGTGTTGATTGAGACAGGGTCTTGTTCTGTTGCCCTGGCTGGAGTGCAGTGGCAACATCACAGCTTGCTTCAGCATTGACCTTCTAGTTTGAGGTGATCCCCCCACCTCAGCCTCTACAGTAGCTGGGACTACAGGCATGCACCATTACACCCAGCTAATTTTTTGTATTTTTTTTTCTTTTGGAGAGACGGGGATCTCACCATATTGCCCAGTTATCACTGTATTTTTAAACCCAAGCTGACCTTTGTCTTTTAATGGGAATTCATCTGTTTACATTTCATTATACAATTGATCTACTGTAGTTGATTTTATTTCTTCTGGCTTATTTTACATTTATTGGTTTACCTTGTGGGTTTTTTCCTCTGGTTATTGATCACTCTAGTTATTAATTTCCTTTTTCTAACCTTGTTACTCTTTCCATTTCATTATTGGCATCTACCCCTTCTCTGGAGTTCCTAATCAAACACATATTCTTTAGCATGTGATTCCATGGGGATTTTTTTTCTCAGCACTGTCATCTGGAGCTCCAACCTGTTGGTCTATAGACTCAGGTCTTTCTTTCTGCTTCAGTAAATCTATGTGTTGTTTGATTTGATTGTTGTTTTTGTTGTTGTTGTTTATTTTCTCTCTTCCCCTTTCTCCTTTCTTTTCTCTTCCATTTTCCTTTTTCTTTCCCTTCTCTTCTCTCTCTTCTCTTCGTTCTCTTCTCTTCCTCTCTCTTCTCTCCCTCCCCTCTCCTCCCCTTTTCTCCCTTCTCTCATCTTCTTTTCTTTTCTTTCCCAGGATCTCAGTCTGTCACCCAGGCTGGAGTGCAATAGTACAATCATAACTCATTGCTGCCTCAACCTCCCAGACTCAAGCATCTCTCCCAACTCAGCCTCCTCAGTAGCTGGGACTACAAGTGCATGCAAAAACACTTGGCTAATTTTTGTATTTTTTGTAGAGACAGGGTCTCACTATGTTACGCAGGTTGGTCTCAAACTCCTGGGGTCAAGCGATCCACCCACCTCAGCCTCCCAAAATGTTGGGATTACAGGCATGAGTCACAATGCCCAGCTCATTTAATCTTAGTTTGTGTGTTAATCATTTAACCTTCATCATTCCCCAAATCTCTCTTTAAAACTACCTTATAAAGATGTAAATCACTATAACTCTTATGTCTCTTCAACTTTTTTATATAAAGTGACAACTCAAAATACACTTTTCCATTTAATGTTATTTAATAAAAACCATTCTATTTTTTATGCTAGTATCTCCATTTGGCCATAAAACAATATATCTAGAAACAAAGTGTGAGCTTCAACAGAAACAATGATCTACTGTTTCTATCAACTTTTTACTATCCATAACCCTTCGCTTCCCATCTATCTTCCTCAAACAAATTGAAGTTAATTATCAACTTGAAATTTCTAGAGCTTATGCAACTTCAATTCATTTGTCTTTCCCTTGCTTTATTCAGCTCTACTGCCAAAATTACAACCTTGGTTAAATGCAACTGTCTGTGTGTCTAATCCTTGCCAGCACCCATGCAGCTGAACATGCCCAAAAGAACAATATAGCAATGATTTTCAACATTTTATATCCAGGCCAGAACTCTCCCCTGAGTTTCAGATTTATATGTTTAAATGCTTACTTAACATCTCCAATTAACTATTTAATGGAAATCCCAAAATTAATATATCCACAACTGTCAAATTCTTCACCTACATCATCTCCCATTTTACAAAAATTCCATTTTTTCCTAATGAATATTTACCATAGTCATCATTTTGCTCGAATATTTCCTCAAAGTGGTGCTTACCTTAATCGTATTACTAAAACTTTTTCTAAGCACTTCATTTTTCTGCCCTGCTTTGTTTTCCTCCTTAGAACCACCTGATGCACTGTATATTCTACTAATACACAGTTTGTTTCTCTTACCTGCTAGAATATAAATTATATAAGACCAGCGATTTTTTACATCATGTTTACTTTCCAATGCCGTACCAAGATCAGTAACCGACACTGAAACAAAGGTAGATTATTCAATTTTTTAAATGTGTCCTGTGGATTACTAGAACTGCAAAACTCACTTCAATAAGTCTACGACAGTTAAAAAATACATTCATGACACCTTATCTTCTTGGGGAATTACAGTGATTTCTAGTTTTTAAAAGTAAGAAGACATAAACTTCAGTTTGAAACCAGGACTCATCATCCCATAGTTAGAGTTGGACTTCTTTGTGTGCTCAGGGACTACAGAGAGGTCAGGGGTGTTGGCCTCAGCCTCTTTGACAAGGGAAGCGGGCACTCTGTGAGCTCAGGACCCCTGTCCCTAGCTAGCCTGGATGATGGCAGAGTCTGGCTCAGCCAGGTCCCTGGCCTGCACAAAGCCAGTGGCACCAGGTGAACATGCCCAGCTCAGTGACTGCCTGGAGCAGGTGTGGGGCAGCCAGACCCAGTGGGTATGGGCTTGGGAGCCTAGCCGCAGAGGATGAGCAGGACAGGGGCAGTCAGACAGCCCTTAGAAGGCCGCCATCCCTGAGCTGCAGGAAGAGATCCCCTCATCCAGCTCCTCCCCAGGGTCCCACTCTGGATCAACAGGAAAATGTAGCCCCTCAAGTGGTTGTGCATAACTGGACAGATGGGAAACACGCAGCTGAAGGCCATGTGGATAACCGCCTGCTGGTATCCCAGTTGACATCCCAGTACCACATATCGCTGAAACCCAGGTCACCACATCACCAACTGTCAAGTCGATGTGAACTGTTGATTGTTGACGAGTCCCAGGATCTTTTCTGCTCTTGAGCCTGACCATGAGGTAGTAGATGCCAAAGTCAGGCAAGGATTGCCAGGCCTGATGGAGGCACAGATGGGCCTGGTCGGTAAGAGCCAGGCCACATTCTGAGGGCTTCCAGGATCCGTGGGATGAGCTGCTTGGCCTTGAACTTTTGTGGAAGTGCAGGGTTGGGGGTGTGGAGGGAGTACCAAGACCACAGAGGCTGAGGCCCCTGACAACGGCGCCACTGCCCTGGGGGTGGTTGCCGAACCCGGTGCCTGTCTGCTGGAAGGCCTGCACCTCGCTGGCGGCTGTTCCCTGCACGGTGCAGCCCCTCCTGGGAAGCCAGCGGCAGCCCCTGCAGCATGCACCCGGCTGCTTCTGCCCCGCAGGTGGGGGTCGCTTGCCTCCGGTGAGTTGGATGCAGAACTCACAGCCAGAGACACTAACACCAGAAATGCCGTCACAGCCCTTGAGGTTGAGCTGCCTAGGGTGTGGGGCAGGTGTGCACTGGAGCGTGGCCTGGCTCTCATGGCAGGATTGCATGGGTTCCTTGAACAGCTCCCAATGCTGGCCTTAGCCCTTCAGGGTCAGCTTCTGGGGCTGGGAGATTTGGGGACACTCCTTGACTTATGTGACAGTGGCCAGGCTTCCAGCCCTTCTGTGGGTACCTAGCCCTCCAGCTTCTCCTCCAAGCTGTTGAGGGCTGCGTCCAGGCCATCCAGCCGAGTATCCACAGCTGGCTTGCCCATCTCCCCTCTCTGAGACAGCCTCTTTCCATAGGACTGCAGGGATGAGACACCATCAACCCCTCCTAGATGCAGCCCAGCCCTCCAGCAGCAGATCTCACTGAACAGCTCGCACAGCGGGGTCCAAGCCTTAGAAGTCTTGGGGCTGAAAGCGCAGCCAGAGGCGCCTGGCCCTGGCGCCCCGTTAAATGAGGCACGGCAGGTACCAGAGCCCTCTGTGTAGCAGGGATTCGTCCAGCGGGCGTTGGACCCTGGCGGGCGAGGGAGGGTCAGGCGGCGTCGGTCACCGGCTCAGCAGGTGGTCGCAGGCCTGGGTTGGCCACTGTCCCAGAAGTGAGCCAGCCTCCCCGGAAGAGCGCTGGAGCGAAGCTCCCCGCTAGGACCACCTTGGTCAGGTTGCACACCTCCTCGTCCGGTTCCTTCTAGTCTCAGGGGCTGGAGTGGGGCTGGAGGCAAATGAGCCCCACCTGCGGGGCAGGAGCAGCTGAGTGCATGCTGCAGGGGCTGTCACTGGCTTCCCAGGAGGGGCTGAACAGTGCAGGGAACAGCTGTCAGCGAGGTGCAGGCCACCCTTGGCCTTTCAGGAGACAGGCTCGGGACTCAAGCAACCACCCCCAGGGCCTTGGCGCCTCCGTCAGGGGCCTCAGCTTCTGCAGCCTTGGTGCTCAGGAACTGGAGTGGAGCCAGCTCCGGGACGCCGGGCACTGTGGAGGCTGTAGGTGGCGGCCGCGGCCCAGAAGCACTGACGAAAGCGCCTTGACAGATCAAGTCAAAATGTTACCGAGGGCCGGGCGCGGTGGCTCGTGCCAGTAATCCCAGCACTTTGGGAGGCCGAGGCGGGCGGATCACGAGGTCAGGAGATCGAGACCATCCTGGCTAACACGGTGAAACCCCGTCTCCACTAAAAATACGAAAAAAATTAGACGGGCGCCATGGCGGGCGCCTGTAGTCCCAGCTACTGGGGAGGCTGAGGCAGGAGAATGGCGTGAACCCGGGAGGCAGAGCTTGCAGTGAGCCGAGATTGTGCCACTGCAGTCCGGCCTGGGCGAAAGAGCAAGACTCCGCCCCCCAAAAAAAAATGTTATTGAGAAGGCCAGTTCATTCTCTAGGATGCCAGTGGCAAACAAACATGAGGATGACCAGGGAGACGAGGATTTTGAGTGCTTACTTTATAAAGTGTCTATAATATCTGCAGCAGAAGAATTTAATGGCAAGTTGTTCAGAAGATAAGCCTGGAAATCTTAAATGTCCTATACTCCTTTTTAATTATATTGTATGTTACATACTCTTTGGGGCAAGAATGATGGAGATTATGGAAGTGGAATAAGGGCTTTCCCTCTCTGTTTGCTTCAGACCACTTCTTTGTTACCATTATCACAATTGGTACAGTTAGCTGGATGTTGTGCTAAACACATTAAAGACATGTTATTGGATGCGCATTTTAACCATATGGGATAGGTTTTATTAACAGGGTGTGAATATGGTTCAAACAATTTCCCCAGAGTATGTAATGGATTAGCCAACACTAGTCTGTTTTCCTCCCAAGCCCTCTTGACTATTATTATATATTCTTCCCATGAGAGACCAGGAGATGCCTAAAGAAAGGGATCGAGGGAGCAGAAGACGTTTTGTGAGGAGGAGATATCTGAATGGTACTTCAGTATAAGTTGCTACACGGTTGTGTGCTATGACGTCTATCCACAAATAACCCAGTTTACCCCATAAAACCTTCAACCAACTTTCATGTCTCAATTTTTCTTTGAAGTATTCCTCTGAGTGTTGAAGAGAAGTATGAAAATTTGCTCCACAGTAAACTGCAGAGATAAACAGATGGCTATGAAAATACTACAACTATTATTAAGGAAGACGGCTATTTGCCTTTTAGTATAAATTGAGTCAATGAGATGCATAAATATTATTTCCAATATCAGTGAATATTTGCCTGACATAATTTATTATTATTATTTTCATTTTTAATTTGTAGATACCGTTGCACATATTGTGTACAATATGATGTTTATTTTTTTATTTTTTTTTATTTTTTTATTTTTATTTATTTTATTGATCATTCTTGGGTGTTTCTCGCAGAGGGGGATTTGGCAGGGTCATAGGACAATAGTGGAGGGAAGGTCGGCAGATAAACAAGTGAACAAAGGTCTCTGGTTTTCCTAGGCAGAGGACCCTGCGGCCTTCCTCAGTGTTTGTGTCCCTGGGTACTTGAGATTAGGGAGTGGTGATGACTCTTAACGAGCATGCTGCCTTCAAGCATCTGTTTAACAAAGCGCATCTTGCACCGCCCTTAATCTGTTTAACCCTGAGTGGACACAGCACATGTTTCAGAGAGCACAGGGTTGGGGGTAAGGTCACAGATCAACAGGATCCCAAGGCAGAAGAATTTTTCTTAGTACAGAACAAAATGAAAAGTCTCCCATGTATACTTCTTTCTACACAGACACGGCAACCATCCGATTTCTCAATCTTTTCCCCACCTTTCCCCCCTTTCTATTCCACAAAACTGCCATTGTCATCACGGCCCATTCTCAATGAGCTGTTGGGTACACCTCCCAGACAGGGTGGTGGCCTGGCAGAGGGGCTCCTCACTTCCCAGTAGGGGCGGCCAGGCAGAGGCGCCCTATTTTTTTATTTTTTATTTTTTTATTATTATACTTTAAGTTTTAGGGTACATGTGCACAATGTGCAGGTTAGTTACATATGTATACATGTGCCATGCTGGTGTGCTGCACCCATTAACTTGTCATTTAGCATTAGGTATATCTCCTAAAACTATCCCTCCCCCCTCCCCCCACCCCACAACAGTCCCCAGAGTGTGATGTTCCCCTTCCTGTGTCCATGTGTTCTCATTGTTCAATTCCCACCTATGAGTTAGAATATGCGGTGTTTGGTTTTTTTTTCTTGTGATAGTTTACTGAGAATGATGATTTCCAATTCATCCATGTCCCTACAAAGGACATGAACTCATTTTTTATGGCTGCATAGTATTCCATGGTGTATATGTGCCACATTTTCTTAATCCAGTCTATCATTGTTGGACATTTGGGTTGGTTCCAAGTCTTTGCTATTGTGAATAGTGCCACAATAAACATACATGTGCATGTGTCTTTATAGCAGCATGATTTATAGCTCTTTGGGTATATACCCAGTAATGGAATGGCTGGGTCAAATGGTATTTCTAGTTCTAGATCCCTGAGGAATCACCACACTGACTTCCACAATGGTTGAACTCTAGTTTACAGTCCCACCAACAGTGTAAAAGTGTTCCTATTTCTCCACATCCTCTCCAGCACCTGTTGTTTCCTAACTTTTAATGATTGCCATTCTAACTGGTGTGAGATGGTATCTTATTGTGGTTTTGATTTGTATTTCTCTGATGGCCAGTGATGGTGAGCATTTTTTCATGTGTTTTTTGGCTGCATAAATGTCTTCTTTTGAGAAGTGTCTGTTCATGTCCTTCGCCCACTTTTTGATGGGGTTGTTTGTTTTTTTCTTGTAAATTTGTTTGAGTTCATTGTAGATTCTGGATATTAGCCCTTCGTCAGATGAGTAGGTTGCAAAAATTTTCTCCCATTTTGTAGGTTTCCTGTTCACTCTGATGGTAGTTTCTTTTGCTGTGCAGAAGCTCTTTAGTTTAATTAGATCCCATTTGTCAATTTTGTCTTTTGTTGCCATTGCTTTTGGTGTTTTAGACATGAAGTCCTTGCCCATGCCTATGTCCTGAATGGTAATGCCTAGGTTTTCCTCTAGGGTTTTTATGGTTTTAGGTCTAACGTTTAAGTCTTTAATCCATCTTGAATTAATTTTTGTATAAGGTGTAAGGAAGGGATCCAGTTTCAGCTTTCTACATATGGCTAGCCAGTTTTCCCAGCATCATTTATTAAATAGGGAATCCTTTCCCCATTGCTTGTTTTTCTCAGGTTTGTCAAAGATCAGATAGTTGTAGATATGCGGCGTTATTTCTGAGGGCTCTGTTCTGTTCCATTGATGTATATCTCTGTTTTGGTACCAGTACCATGCTGTTTTGGTTACTGTAGCCTTGTAGTATAGTTTGAAATCAGGTAGCATGATGCCTCCAGCTTCGTTCTTTTGACTTAGGATTGACTTGGCAATGCGGGCTCTTTTTTGGTTCCATATGAACTTTAAAGTAGTTTTTTCCAATTCTGTGAAGAAAGTCATTGGTAGCTTGATGGGGATGGCATTGAATCTATAAATTACCTTGGGCAGTATGGTCATTTTCATGATATTGATTCTTCCTACCCATGAGCATGGACTGTTCTTCCATTTGTTTGTATCCTCTTTTATTTCATTGAGCAGTGGTTTGTATTTCTCCTTGAAGAGGTCCTTCACGTCCCTTGTAAGTTGGATTCCTAGGTATTTTATTCTCTTTGAAGCAATTGTGAATGGGAGTTCACTCATGATTATGTTTTGAAGTATATATATTGTGGAATGATTAAATCTAGCTAATGAACATATGCATTGCCTTACATACCATTTTTGTGGTGAGAATACAACAATTTTAAATATTTGTCCAATTCACATTTGGAAAATACAATTAAAATAAGTTTTAAATGCCTATAATTCACAATGCAGTCATAAAAATTAAACTGATGAAACACTAAAGTCATTTAAATGTATCCTTACTCATTGTTCTTGATCATATAGTAAAGCATCATCAAAATATAGTCTACTGTTTTAGAATTTGATTTTTTACATCTTGTCATAATTATGCTGTATAGATAAAACTGTGTGGTCTAAACGGATTTGAAGTCAGAAACTTGCACTGCCAAAACAACACTGTGTCTTATCAGCTCTGCCTCAATTTGCAAATCACGTAAGCTTTCTGAACTCCATTTCATTCATTTGGGAAGTGGGATCAATACACTAAATATTTCAGTTAATGCAAAGTAGAATACAAAAAGAACCACACTCTAGTTCCATTCCACATGAGCACTTCGGCTATTTTTCTCCAGAAATCACCTGTACACCATAGGAAAGTAAATTCATACCCACCTAGTTAACAGTGTGAGAATGTAAGTTTAAAGCATGTTTGACTAAGGAAACTTAATCATAATAAAATGGTTTAATTTCCCTGAGCATGAAATATTCTCCACAAGAAATGGCATGCTATGTTTAATTGGTTCTGGGAATGATTATCCAATATTAGTCACTTTCATATTAGTGTCCCCTAGAGTGGAAAATAAATAAGATAGTGATTGCACTTCTGCATGTCCATCTTCTGCCAAGACATTTTGCTAATGTGCAGTGTCTGCAACTTCCCATTTCTTGGCTAAGTTCAAGCTTTGTTAGTTTAGTGCTTAGGAAAGCCTCATGTTCTTACAGAAATTCTTTTGCTCTCATTACTTTTTGTGATATTATGGACAATAATTTGCCTTGGGAGCATGACAACTGATTCCAACAGTTGCCAATGTGGGGGAGGGGGGCGTCAAAAGGTAGGCTTTTTCAATGTCAATTTTAACCCAGCAGCAATTTCTGCAGTTGCAAATAATTCTATTTTCTTTCTGGTCACTTAAGTTCTGTCAAATTAAATTGGTGTTCAAAACTCATAGCACAGTTTTGCTTTTTTTTACTGCATCTGCAATTTGATTAGTGTGATATATTTTCATATATGAATGAATATCAATTAAAGGCAATGAACATTTATAGGTAACTTTTTCAGCCACAGAGGTTAGTAATTTTAACATGTAAACCATCTGAATTCATATTACAACCATATTTTTGTAATATAAGAAAATGTAGATTAAATAAGTTTTATTAGTATTTTAAATGTAATAAAATTATTTTCGGCTGGCTGCAGTGGCTCATGCCTGTATTCCCAACACTTTGAGATGCCAAGGTGGGTGGATCACCTGAGGTCACTAGTTCAAAACCAGCCTGGCCAACATGGCAAAATGCCATCTCTACTAAAAATACAAAATTAGCCATGCGTGGTGGCGCATGCCTGTAATCCCAGCTACCCGGGAGGCTGAGGCAGGAGAATAGCTTGAACCCAGGAGACAGAGGTTGCAGTGAGCCAAGATCGTGCCATCGCACTCCAGCCTGGTCAACAAGAATGAAACTCCTTTATAAAAGTATTTTCTTAAAATATTAAAATATAGTTTAATGTTTCATCAATATCATATGCCCATTAAAATGTTGTATTAAATAACTATAAGATTACTGAGAATAACTTATGTTTCAGACATTTCACTTACATTATTTAAATCAGACTTCCTAATAACCCACGTATAAACCTTGGTATGAAGTAACTGATCCTGAGACATGTAAATTATCTTCCGAAATTCAAGCATTTATTAAGTTTATCATCTCAGTTTTCTGACACCATGTGTAACATTTTTTTCTCCATGCCACATTGGTTCCTTACATTCCAAAGCTCTTAAAGAACATTGAAAGAAGCCAATGGCCTTCATCTGCATTTCAACCAACAATGCTACAATCACCCTTGTTCACAGTCCTGTCTTCATACAAAAAGAAATGTTTCCATTAGTTTCCAGCATCATCTCCCATAGTTATTATTTTGGTTTAGAACACTAACCCACTCTCAGAATTTCTCAAAAATACATTAAGTTGCTAACAATAGCACGTTGCACAATAGATCTCTTGAACTTTTACTCCTTCTCTCTGACTGTAGTTGTGTATCCTTTGACCAACATCTACCAAACTCCATTCCCAACCACGTTAGCTGCTGGCAAAAAAAAACATTTTACTCTACTTATTAACTTTTTTAGATTCCACATATGAATGAGACTATGTGATAATTGTCTTTCTGGCCTAGCTCATAATGTTATCCAGGTTCATCCATGTTTTCACAAACGACAGGATTTCCTTCTTTTCTGTGGCTGAATGTATTTCATTGTATGTATATGCCACATTTTCTCTACCCATTCCCCCGTCGATGGACACAAGTTGATTCCATACCATGACTACTGTGAATAATACTGCAATAAACATGGGAGTGCAGATATCTGTTCCATATACTGATTTTATATCCTTTGGATAGGTAGATACCCAGCAGTGGGATCACTGGATCATATAGTAGTTCAATTTTAAAATTTCTGGAGAACCATAATACTTAGCGGCCTAATACTTAATATTTAATACATAGCGGCTGTACTAATTTATTAGGTTAGTGCAAAAGTAATTGAAGTTTTTGCCATTGATTGTAATGGCAAAACTGCAATTACTTTTACATGAACTGAATATATTCCCACCAAGAGTGTTCAAGGGTTCCCTTATCTCCATACCCTGATCAACACGTTTAATTCTTGTATTTTTGATAATAACCATTATAATAGGTGTGAGATGACAGCAGAGTGGAGCTTTAGTTTGCATTTCCATAATAATTAGTGATGTTGAACATTTTTTGCATAAGCCTACTTGGCCATTTGTATGACTTCTTTTGAGAAATGTCTGCTCAGATCTTTTGCTTATATTTTAATCAGTTCATTTGCTTTCTTGCTATTGAGTTGTTTGAATTTCTGATATATTTTGGATGTTAATTACCACAAAATTCATAACAATATAAGGTAATATGTATGCTAATAAGCTAGATTCAGTCACCTCACGATGTAAATACACCTCAAAATATCATGTTGTACAAAATAAATACATAAAATTTTATCCTTCAATTAAGAAATTAAAATAAAATGAAATTTTCAGCATGATAGTCATTCAACTATATGAATCATGTCACTCCAACCTCTCTTTATTATTTTCAGTAGTTACGGGTGAAATATGAGTCAGGGCTGATGTTCCTAGTTCCCTATTACATTCTTAATACACTGCAGTTTCTCAATCATCCTTATTCAAGCAGTTACCAAAATTTAAAAATTAATTTTGAGTGTACTATGATCATCTCTGAAAATTATAATTTGAAGAAGTGCTTCTATGAATGGGATAAAATATTTCATTTTTTTTCAGCATTCCACATTTTTGACTCATTGACTCAGCTAAACCACATAAATCTTCACTTTTTTCTATTTTATATATCATAATGGCTATCTTTCAGCTGTGAAAAATTATCAACTATATTTGTTTATTAACTCTGGGAATATGAAATTCAGATCATGATCTTCTATAAATAAAATTTAGAAGTTTTTTTTCTAACCAAATCATTCAGACTTGAGCAAATGACAAATGCAGAATATTTTAAGGATCGAGACCATCCTGGCTAATACGGTGAAACCCCGTCTCTACTAAAAATACAAAAAAAATTAGCCGGGCGAGGTGGCGGGCACCTGTAGTCCCAGCTACTTGGGAGGCTCAGGTAGGAGAATGATGTGAACCTGGGAGGTGGAGCTTGCAGTGAGCCAAGATAGCGCCACTGCAGTCCGGCCTGGGCGAAAGAGCGAGACTCCGTCTCCAAAAAAAAAAAAAAGAGAGAGAGAAAGAAACACCACATAACTACATGTTCTCACTTACGTATGGAAGCTTAGATAGTAGAGTATTGGTTACCATATACGGGAAAGAGAAAGGGGAGTATAAGAAAAATTTGGTTAACACATATAAAATTACAGCTGGAGAGAAGGAGTAAGTTATAGTTCTCTACAGCACTGCAGGGTGACTGTAGTTAAAGGGAATTTATTGTGTGTTTTCAAATAACTAGAAGAAAAGATTTTTAATATTCTGCAAAGAAATAATAAATGATTTTGGTAATGGATATGCTAATGACTCTGACTTGATCATTACACATTGCATAAATATATCAAAATATCACTCTGTAACCCATAAACCTATACAATTATTACATGCCAATTAAAAATAATTTTAAAAGAGAAAAAATGAAATAAAAGTAAAGGTACAGAATTTAACTACTTTTTCTTCTATGAAACCCAAGGGTCAGTACCAAGAAGAGTGAATTTATTAGTTTTCTAAAATAAAAAAAAATCAAAATGACCAAAAAAGAGCAATATCCGAGAAAAACAACAGTTAGTAAGAATACTTAGAAAACTTGGGCACTATATCACCCTGTTCCTAGATAGCAATTTACAGATGACCACTTAAATAGAAGTTTATTCCAGTTAATTCATTTATAATCCCAGAGTTCAAAATTATGTTTTACTAACTACAATAAATGAGATAACACGTTTAAATTATATGGTACTCTGCCTAACACATGTTAATAACTCAATACAGGTTAGCAATAAGCTTTTAGTATAGTAGTCATAGTACTATTTCTCACATTGCAATTTCCTTCATTCAGAGACATGAATACAACTTTCCTCATGACTCCTTTTTCATCAAGATACCTCTTCAAATTATTCTTTCTTTCATTCAGTATATTAGCTGTGTATATCGATACTACTTTTTTTTTTTCTGAGATGGAATCTTATTCTGTCACCCAGGCTGGAGTGCAGTGGCATGATCTCGGTTCACTGCAACCTCCAACTCCGAGGTTCAAGCAATTCTCCTGCCTCAGCTCCCCAGCCAGCTAGGACCACAGGTGCACACCACCATGCCTCGCTAATTTTTGTATTTTTAGTAGAGTCAGGGTTTCACCATGTTGTCCAGGCTGGTCTCAAACTCCTGATCTCAGGTGATCCACCCACCTTGGCCTCCCGAAGTGCTGGGATTACAGGTGTAAGCCACCGCGCCCAGCCTGATATTGCATTCTTGGATTTTGAACACTGAATATCTTTTTGAAAGATTACACCTCTTTACCAATTTGTGCTTTGGAAATTATTTTCCTTCAAGTGTTCTAAGAGTCTAATGAAGAATGAAGGTAATGTTTTAGCACTTTTGTCCTTAAAGATTTCAGACATGCTGAGGCCGAGCTTGGTGGCTCATGCCTGTAATTCCAGCACTTTGGGAGGCCGAGGTGGGCAGATCACGAGGTCAGGAGATGGAGACCATCCTAGCTAACACGGTGAAACCCCGTCTCTACTAAAAATACAAAAAAAGTAGCCAGGCGTTGGGGCGGGCGCCTGTAATCCAGCTGCTTGGGAGGCTGAGGTAGGAGAATGGCTGAACCCAGGAGGCAGAACTTGCAGTGAGCTGAGATCGCGCCACTGCACTCCAGCCTGGGTGACAGAGCCAGACTCCGTCTCAAAAAAAAAAAAAAGATTTCAGACATGCTGAAACTGAATGAAGTATCATTTGCTACCAGATAGATTAGTTCTTTCTAGTTGTAGGAGTGGATACATCTTTAATGGTATATTTTGGGTTATTGCCTTATTTTTGATGCCATATTCTGTAAATAATTTTTTAAACCTGGCAAAACTCGGTGAGCATAGATTTGTCAACTTTGGTGTTATATTGTTTGCTTTTAAAAACTGCTTTTGAGTCCGGGCATGGTGGCTCTTGCCTGTAATCCCAGCACTTTGGGAGGCCAAGGTGGGCGGATTACCTGAGGTCAGGAGTTCGAGACTAGCTTGGCCAACATGGCGAAACCCCATTTCTACTAAAAACACAAAATTAGCCAGGCATGTTGGTGCATGCTTGTAGTCCTAGCTACTCAGGAGGCTGAAGCAAGAGAATCGCCTGAATCAGGGAGGCAAAGGTTGCTGTGAGCCAAGATGGCACCATTGCACTCCATCCTAGGTGATAAGAGCAAAACTCTGTCTCAAAAAAAAAAAAAAAAAAACTGCTTTTGAATAGAGTTGTAAATACAATTTTTTATGAAAAAAGAAATTATCAAGTGCATAAGTTCATAATACAAAAACAAATAAAATTCGGGGCACAAGTTAGTACTAAAAAAATTATGTTGAATATTCCCTAATACAACATGTTTTTTCCCTTCATGAACAATTTGTGTTTTACTGAGAAGACTCATTATTTATGGCAGAAGTTAGACTACAGATGAATATGTACTTTAAACACTCTCAGTAGCTTTCTTAATTTTACACATGCTGCTTTATGCTTCTGTTTATTTTCATTTTTCCAATGTGCATATTCTAGTAAATTTGAATATTTTAATTCAAGTTTATTGAATTTAATATTTAATATTGCTTGTATAATTTAGTATTTTTAAGACTCAAAAAGGTTTACGAAAAAAAGAAAAAGAGATCAACGTGTTGCTAATCATTTAAAGATTATTTTAAAATCTTTGACCTTTATATGTTAATGAATAAAATGTTAGTAGCTATTAGTGTAAAATAATTTATGTCTTTTGGACTTAGCATCCAGCATTTCTTTTTTAATAAATAAATAATTATTCTCCTGCAATATATTATGTTTATCTGGGTTTTGAAAAATGATGTTTCCTAATATGAGAAAGCCATTTACATGTTTAAATCTACAAAGGCAAATGAAATGGTACTAAATTATTTACAAATTTAGATGGTGGCCCTTATAACATTATTTGTATACTTCATACAGAGTTGGGGATATGCAATCCTAGAATATTTCTGGGGGCAAACCCTTCAGCTTGATGAACAAAACAAAACTTTTAAATAAAATTAAACTTTTAAATTACCCAGGTTATGGGGCCTTTTAATTCAATGGATATGGAGCATAATGAATTATCCCCTTTTCATTGGGTAATAAGTTCTCATTCTTAACTTATAATACTCAAAATATCCTTTAATTTTTAATTTGTGATTAACCATATCATTATCCCTAGGTATTTTAGCTTCTATCTTGAATTCTATAATAATTTTGAAACAGGAGAAAATATTCTTTATTACCATATGTGTTAAACATCATGGTTTTCAAATTTAACTGCAAATGTGTCTTTTTCATTGCTTCCTGATGACGCCCTTCACCCTATCCATATTGTCACTACCAAGTGGTAATTACTTTTCAGGTTCACATATTTGTTTTTTTGGAAAATCTTCTCTGTGCCTTGTAAAGTATATGATTGTAGGCATTCAAAAACCAGTGAAATACACATAATTAGCCTGTGACCTAACCCATTTCTTTAAGAAACTACACTAATTTTACCTACATACTGATATTTTTATTGCCGCATTATTTCTGGAGAAAATAAATACTGCTAACATGATGTTGGTAAGAGAGTAAAAAAGTCTTTTCTCGAAAAGTGCTCATTGTAGTATTAACATATAGTGTCAATTTCTTTATAAATTCCTCATACACATTTTATTCTTAGAGAAATAAAAATGCTAAAAGTGAAATGACTTTGTTTACTCTGCATATTATAAGCCACCCATCTTGGTAATTTAGGATCTTTATAGTTAGGGTAAGTTGTGTCATACCGAGGTAACAAAACAAAAGGTATTTTGTCTCTTTTGGGCTTTTCCTTATTCAGTTATACTGTCACTTTGGCTTTTTTTGTAGGTCAACTTATTGACCTCAGTATTCTGAAATAATATGTTTACTATCTTTTGATTGGCATTTAAAATATTAGATTTATTGTTACTCTTCTGCCTTTATTGGGCTGGATGAATAATTGTTTCTCTCACTCCAGAGAAAGTTGCAGAGAAAAACACATAGACATTCAATTGCAAAGCAAAGAAATGACTATTTTCTGCAATTTTAAAGTGTACATTGAATGAATTAAACCATCTTTTTATTTTCTTTTTTGCTCACTTGCAAATATTAACAACATCAAGTGTATTATTGTAACGTTGTCTAGGTAAAAATCTCAACAAGTTTTCATAATTACCATTTTTAAATATATAAATAGGGGACCTAACTTTAATTTTTAATGTCTGAGGCCATGTCTGTTATTTCACTCCTTAAACTCAGTTCGTAATGCAGACACTTAGTAAATACTCAAAAATTATGTGCTGAATAAAAAAGGTTAAATATGTAATATGTACAAAATCTACTGGAAAAAATGCACCAACAATTTTATTTGGTATACCAGTTTATTGTAGAATCTTTATTGCCTTTAAATAATAATATACTTTTCCAGTGTCTACAATGACTTGTAATATTTGTACACATATAAAATATTATTTCCAAAAATGTAATCCAGTAAGGAAATATACCTTCTAAATTCTAGATTTATAATTTAGGGGTTAAATTATAAAATCATTAAATAAAATACAAATGACATATAGTCAAAGATCCCCTTGGAAAAAAATTAAGTGGCCTCTAAAGTGAGGTATTCATATATATAATTTTACAATCACCCTCAGTTTGCTGTTCCTCTGGCATTAGAACAGATTGTTGTTGTTTATTTGCTTTAACATCAAAGGTAAATGTTTTTGTTCCTTTAAGGACATATGTAAAAATAAACGCATATGGTTTACAATAGCATCATATTTAGTGATAAGCACATAGGACATGAGACCATCCGAAATAAATGCAGAACCAAATCTCATGCATATGCACTCAACCACTCATGTTTATTGATAAAATGCTAAGTGGAAAAACCTGAATTATGTAAATTTATCTCCTTTGCCTTTTTAAATATACACACAATCAAACTCTTTGTGACTTAGTAATGAATAAGTAATACTCCATTGCATATGTAATGAAATGTGTGGCATAAAATCAATATTAGGTATAAAAAATCTATGGCAATAAGGTTAGAAGGAATGTGCCATAGCAGCGATTATCTCATAGCCAAAAATATAGGTATTTTTAGTCTCTGATTTTTTCATTGTCTACATTTTCTACGAATAACACAGATAACTTTTGTAACATTTTATTCTAAATCCTTTAACATGAAAGATACATTTAAAAATACTCATTCCATATACACGCTGATTTTTAAAATATTATGATTTCTCATGGAGTTTAGGAATATTCAAAATCTACTAAAAGTTATCATGTTTTATGATAGCTCTCACTTGCTTTAAAAAAAAAAAACAGTCTTGACAATTTACAAGTACGCAGTGGGTATCCACCTGGGGCCTAGATATCCTATTGGGGACTGATGTCAACCTGGAGCCTGATGTCCACCTGGGACTGGCTATCCACCAGTGGCCAGATATCTACCTACGGCCAAATTTCCATTTGGGACCTGAAGTCTACCTCTGGCTGGGCTGTCCATCTGGGGCGTGATGTCCATCCGACACCTAGGTATCAACTTGGGGCTTGATGTCTACCTGTCCTCAGACTGTGAACCCCTGAGGGTCAGGGACCACGTGGACATTTTCAGTACCATATGCTGGGCCCACCAGGGCACCTGGCACACAAGACTAATGCTAAGGGCAGAGTTGCTGAGTGAATAAATGGGAGGATGTCAAATGCCCCTTCCTGCTTCTGGCCACCTCATAATGTGGAGATCATTCATAAGAACAGGAACTGCATGACCTCAGCATGACTCTCCCCTGGATCCAGATGCATGAGAACAGCTCAGTGGGCACCAGGAACACAGAACACTGTCCTCCCACCCACCCCATAGCCAGCATCAGCACTGCAGCCTGAGGCAGGAGCATCACAGAACAAAACAGGGACCTGCATTTAAGATTCCTCAAGTCAGTGGCTCTCCAGGTTCCCAGGAGGCAGAGGAGCAGGATCTGCAGGCTCCAAGGGCAGTAAGAAGGACCTCAGCAGTCTCTCTTGTCCCCTCTTTGCCTCCAGTTCCTGGGGTGTAAAGTTCACTCTCGAGGTGTCCTCACCACAGCCAGGGCAGCAATTTACCCCAACTTCCAAATGAGGTTTGATCATGTTCCGAGACTTTTGACACAGGGTCCAGTGCCTGGGCACATTCTGTCCTATCCCAAATCCTCATCCACCCAAACCACCAAGCCTCTGTCTGCTCTGAAGGACCCCCAGAGTGAATAGCTTTTTCCAAGTGTCTCAGTACACACAGGGTCATTCATAAAAAACCAAGGTCAACAAACACTATCCGAGCATGTGGAACCCTGTGGTTTCATGCTCTAAGCACCTCACATTATATACAGGAGAAAACGGAGGCTTCATCTCCTGTAGGCCCTGTCTACACTAGGGCAGGTGGGATGGTCATAGTTCCAGGTGCCCACAGAGGTGGGCTGCAGGACCCCAGTTCTGTCCTTTCAAGGCTGTGCTGGGCAAGGCCCTGGCCCAGGCAGAACCCTGGGAAGCTTGCGGATTCTCCTGCCCATCCTCTAGGCCCTTGTCTGAGCCTTTCTCTAAACTCAGCACATTGAATAGGGCTTGCTGGCTACACGTAGGTCAAGGGCGTAACCCCCATATCTAATTCCTCACAGAGTTCTCGCTATATTCTCCCACCCACCCTGTTCTCAGACCTCCAGACTCAGAGAGGTGATGGACTACTGCCTGGTAACTCTATCTGGATATCTAAGAGCAAACCATACATAGCAAATTGTGCCAACAGTCTGTATATCCACCACCCACAAACCCATTCTGATCATAATGCCCAAACGGAAACTAAATACTTGAATTAGTCCCATATGCAGAAAAAGGCAAATTATAAACAAAAGATTGTTATTGGGTTGGTGGAAAATTATTGCTGTTTTTGACATTACTTTTAATGGCAAAAACCGCAATAACTTTTACACCAACCTAATAGGAGAGTGTGAAATGAACAGGTCTAGTTTGTTGTGCTTTTCTATTTTCTGTTTGTTCATATTTGTTGCTTTCTGTGTATCTTTGAGAGTTTGGAGGAATTTGTGAAAGGAACCAGGATAAAAATTTTTTCCTGCTATTTGAAGACCACATTTTTTATCTGTTACATCTCTATTAATAGCTTTTTCAAAATTCTGTTTCATCTGCATACCTTATGTTCTTAATTAGTGTTGCTACTAATATCAAAAATTATTTTAATATTTTGTCTTCTGTTGTTTCTTAGTTTGTTTCTTAAATTTGTTATGCTTTTTGTTTACTTGTATGCTTTTTCTAGGTTTTCAGATGGATGATTTAGTTGTTTTATTAGATTTTCAGTTTTTTCTAAAAAATGTACTTAAAGTTAGAAATATACCTCCAATTTCTGTTTTAAATGCATTCTCAAAAACTTGCATATCTAAAGGTATTTATCATTATACTACATTGTTTTCATAATTCACCTATTGTTTTCTTTCTAACTTCAAGATTACTTAATAATGGGCTTAGTGATTTCCAAATATCTGAAAATTTTAATTGTTGCTGGCTTTGAGGAATACAATATGATATTGATGGTTTAGAATACATTGATTACTCCTTTGTTGTCTAATTCATGACCTACATTTGAAAACATGACAAAATCTATATTTCTTTGTTGAATGTACATTTGTATACTTTTAGATAAAGTTATTGACCATGTTATTTATATCCTTTTCAGCTTTTTTACTTTTGATTTTCAATATTATTGTACTGGCTTACCAAAGAACTAGTCAAAATTAATTTTCTACCTATTTCCCTATCCCATTTGTTTAAATTAAAATTTCAAAATTATACTTTTAATTATACTTATGTTACAGATTTTCATATTTTTTGATTAATGTTTCTTTACCACTGTTTCTTAAAAGTCGTTTTTGGTATCCTGTGATTGGCCCTTTAAGTGGTGATGAATAGAAATAATAAAGCAACTGAAGCAAGGTGATACGAAAAAATGAGAAGACAGAATCAAATCAGTGTGTCCATTTATGTGAAATTTAACTGTATAAGAGCAATAATTTAAAAAAAACCCAGAAAGTTATTTTTCAAAATTATTCATAGAAACTGAGATTACACAGAGAGAGAGAGAGAGAGAGAGAGAGAGAGAGAGAGAGACAGCCCCCAGGTAAAGACCAGGCTCCTCATAGAACTCTGGCCCCAGGTGGACACTGAACTCCAGGTGTACATTAGGCCCCCAGTTGATGCTCAGGTCCCAGGAAGGTAACCAGGCTTGTGATGGATATATGGCTCCAGGTGGATACCCAGGATCCAGGGAGAAATCAGGGACAAGTGGGCACCAGGCCTCAGAGGGATACCTACGACCCTAGTGACCTCAGGCCCCAGTTGGACAGTAGGCCACAGGTGAACTCCAGTCTTCAGGTGGACATCAGGCCCCAGGGGAAATACAGGTCTTAGGTTTACTCCTAAGACACAGGTGGACACAGGTCTTAGGTTTACCCCTAGGACCCAGGTGGACAACAGGCCCTGGGTGGCCACTGGCCCCAAGTATCCAGTTTCCTAAGAGCTAGGGTGGGCAACCCCACTGGGCACTGTGGCCAGGCCTGCCATGTCTCCTTGTTCAGCTGCCACATTCTGATGGGGAGGGCGGGAGGTGTCGAGAGACCACAGTCTAAGTTCTTATTACCTGATTTTATTTCACCTCCAGTGAGTGCTCACTCTCCTCTCACCTGACGGATTTACTCTCATCTGCAGGTGGTTTAAATGTGAAGGTTTACTGAAGATTTAAAGAGTGTTATCACAGTTGGGATGATTTAAACTAACAGTACACACTGCATTTTAAGAAAATAATTAATCCCCAGAGGAGATATGGGTTATGGAGCCATGACAAATTTTCAACATTGCTTCCCTTACTTGTTTCCAAATAAAGGATTTTTGATTCCCCATTGATGTTGGATGAGAACGCTGAGTGTGCAAGCAAAATATTTTTTAACTAAGGGCCCAATAGTGTCTTAAATATGCATAGCTGAGTCTGCAGGTGGAGAGTGACGGGTTTGTTCAAAATGTGGTATAGAGTGGCCTTGGGTCTCACCTGCCTGCCCTTCCATCCTGTGGCCTCCCAGTGAGGCACCCAAGCCCCGCCTTAGGGCACACCCCTTCACAGGGCCACATAGGCCCCAGTCCTCACCTATGGGGTCATCTCCAAATGGCACAGCAACACCTTCTGTCCAGGCCCAGGCCAGGGTCCCAGTATCTCCAGGGGGGCCTGGCATCCAGGCATCTGTTGAGAACTGGCCCAATGTTGGGGTCTGGACTAGCCTGTGGGACCTGGACATGGTGGGGCAACTGCACGAGGACTCATGCCTGGCTTTATGTGTAGCACCAGGAAAGGCACATTAATCGTATTCATTTATTGCTCACAAAACCTCTGAGGTGGGTGCCTTCTCCATGTCACAGATGGGAATGACAAGAAATAATAAGGTTAAAGAGCATGCTCATGGTTGAAACCTGGTCAGGAACTCAGAACTGGAGTCTATAGACCCCTACCTGTGACCTCTGTGGCCGGAAGACCCTCTCTCACCGGGTTTGTGTTTGCAGCATGTCCTGTCCTTCCCTAAGGGTCTCAGGTTCTGAGGCATGGTGAGGGCTGCTGGAGCCCATCACTGAGCTGCAGAAGGAGATACTAACGCTGGCCATGCCACCCTCCAGGCAGACACAACTGGAGTTGAAAATCGAGATGGGGCAAGGCTGCCAGGAACAGAGGGAGGCAGGTGGAGAATAACTCACCAGGGAGGGGTTTCCCTGCTACAGCTTTCCAGGGCCATTTCCACTTTCTGGGTGGCATTTTGGGGCAGCTCACACAGTACACCCACATAGCCAGTCCCCAGGGTCACAATCCCCAGATGTTGTTCATCTTGGTGACAGGCCCTGTGCTTCTCCAGGAGCCTTTGTGTATGGGCCCTTCCCAGGTAAGCGTGATATGTCCTGGCTGTCGTCAGTCCAGGGCACTGCCAGCATTTTCCTTTCTGGTCAGGGTCAAAGTTTTGTTGACCATCTCCAGGATACGATGGCCAGCTGGCCCTTGGAGAGCCAGTCACTCCAGGTGACACGGTTTGGTACTGGACGTCCGCGGTCCCCTCTCCCACGCCGCCCCATACTGGGCCCCGTATCCAGCCGCCACCGCTGCTGCAGCAAGAACCGCCCCACTGCCTCCGCGCAGCTGCCATTGTTTAAAGGGACCTCAGCCTGACTTCCAGGAGCTACGCAAGACTTGGCCAAGTCAATGCGCATGCGCGAGGAGCGAGCCGCTTCTCCCCATCACAGCGATTCCCAGGGTTGTCATAGAAACCACTCCCTGGGGCTTGGCAAAGCAGGAGCCCTCCGTGGCAGGGCTTCGGTGTCGGGGCTCCGAGGCTCCGGCCTGACTTCTCCACGGGGTCCACAGGAGCGTCTCCGGATGCCAGGACCTGAAATGGGCCGACCAGGATGAGGAAACCACAGGCAGAGGCCGGGGAAGCAGCGCGGCATCCCATCCTCAGGCCTGCCCGGACGGTGTTCGGGTGAGTCTCCCCAAAAGTCGTGCCCCCGTGATCTGGAGGACAGGTCTGCTTGTGTGTCCGTGGGCTTCTCTCTCACCCGAGGGTCGTTCGCGTGGAGAGCAGAACCCTGCAGCCTCAAGGATTGCCTGCTGCCTGAGGTGGGGGTGCTTCCATGACACCGCTGTATGACCGTGTGCGTGTGTGTGTGTGCGCCATTCTCTTCTCTCTCGCTGTCTGTCACTCTCTATTTCTTTCCCTCTCTGTGTCGGTTTCTATGTGTGTGTGTGTGCCCTTGTGCGTGTGTGTTTGGACGAATGTGCCCTGTGCGTCAGAAAGCGATTTCTTGCATGTCGGTCGGTCTTTGGTGAGCCTCTTTCTGCGTCTTTCCCTGGGTCCTGTGGCCGGCTGTCGATCGTTTTCGCGGCGGTTCCGCTTTGGGTCTGTGAAGGCCTCGATCACCTGAGGGGATGCGTCTGGCCGGAGCAATGGAAGTCTCATCCCCATCCTGAGCGGCCTCTTTTCTAGGATCAAGAGGACCACACTCCAGCCCAGGACAAAAGCCCCACGGTAGCACATTGTCCGGCAGGAGAGGAGCAGACCCACGTCCAAGAAGATGGTTGTACCTTTCCACGCCTCTTCTCTGCGAAATGAAGCCACACCATGACACAATCTTGAAGAGGAAGCCGGGAATGGGAGACGGCAACAATCCCTGTCCCTGGAACGCTGGCCTCTATGGACAAGCCACCCGCTTCGCACCCCTCCCCTTATGCCCGTGGCGGTGGCACGGCGCCGTATCCTGCCTGGGCTCTGGCCTCTGCTCTGTCCTCCCTCTTCCACTGTCTCCCCTGTTTCTCAGCGGCCTAGATGCCTCTTGGTCTGGCTGAATATCTTCTATGAAGATCACTTCCCCGTCCATCAGGGAGACAATTCCTGGAGATTCGTGTCATGACTGTTTCTCTCTCCAAACCTGTTTCTGCTGGATTGCGCAGGTCTGATGACCCTGGAGCTCTTGGCTTCCATACGTGTCTCAGACAGGTAAGCTTCCTCGGTCTCCATGTTTCACCTCATGGGTGGGTGGATTGCCTAGGATGAGCGCTATGCCACCGTGACTGGCCTTGTCTTCTAGGACAAGTGCATTTCCTCTGCACTTCCTGTCTCATTCTTGAGAAACATCCTCCCCTCTGCTCGTGGGTGGACTGACTCCTTGAATCTTTTGGCTGTAAGGAACGTCAGGGATCCAATGGTACTGGGCTGGGGCTGGAGCTGGATGCAGGGGAGGTTCCGTCAGAGCTACCTGGGCATTGGAGGATTGGGGGTGGATTGAACTTTGCAGAAACTTCTTTACTCCTCCAGCAGGCTTTTCAAAATGTGGCTTGGACTCATGCAATAAGAAATTTAGGAGTTGAAAGGGCCCCTTTTTCATTGGCACTCTGGTTAACATTGCTTCAGCACAATCATATGATAGAGAAGCCTTATCAAATTTGCTGTCCCTCAGGGCTCTTAAAGATGCTTGATAAATGATTAGGGAAATAAGAAAAAAATTGAAAGGAAAAGGAAGTCCAAGGACCTGCCCCAGAAGAATCACAGATATGTTTGAATACTTAGTCGTTATTTGCCCCAGATAGAAAATGTTTTTTAATCAAAAGGCAAAAGTTATAATGAGGAAGATAATATTGCCTGGGGCAATGTTGAGACAAATAAGATGAAGATCAACCAAATGCCCTGAGTCCTTTGGCCCAAATCCCTGCTGGGGACCCAAATACTTTTGATATAGCATCTTGCTACCTGAGGAATGCAAGGAGAATAATACTCATAAGCAAAGAGCCTCTGTTTTCCCATAGGACTGACTCTAACTATGTGAAGAACTGCTACATATTCTACAGTGCTTGATAGGCGGTTCCCATCTAACAGGAGCTGTTTGGCTTGTGGATAGCAGTTCCAAGATAAACAAATGACATTGTGTTTGAAAGCCACTGCTCTTATTAAAGAAGAGTCAAGCAAATGTTTTTATTTTGAGTTATTTATAGTTTAGAAAAATTGGGTGAAGTGTGTTTTTGTGAGCAAGTTTATTTTTCTCTAGGTTATCCATAATTTGAAAGCTGTGAGTATTCTGATTAGGTGACAATATAGTTATTTGCTTAAGTACATCTTTTATTGTAAAATGGGACAAATGGAGACACTGGTTATTTTACCCAGGCTTTGACTAGAATAACTTAATTTTAGGTAAATTCCAACAAACCCAACTTAAGAGGAGCCTATATGACCAATTAATTGTTTCTGCACTTTAAGTGAATACTCAGGCTGTACTAGTCCCTTCTCACACTGCTATAAAGATATTACCTGAGACTGGGTAATTTATAAACAAAAGAGGTTTAACTGACAGTTCTGCATAGCCGGGGAGGCCTCAGAAAACTTACAGTTATGATAGAAAGGAAAGTAGGCACCTTCTTCAAAAGGTGACAGGAGAGACTGTGTGTGTGTGTGTGTGTGTCTGTGTATAAAGGATAAAATGTCAAACACTTATACAATCATCAGATTTCATAACTCACTATCATGAAAACAGCATGGGTGAAACAACTCCCATGATACAATCACCTCCCACCAGGAGGGATGACAATTTGAAATGAGATTTGGGTGAGGACACAGAGTCAAGCCATATCACAAGCCAACCATAATAAGCCTAAAACTTATTTTTCACACAAGTTGTTCTCACTATGACTTCTCTTTAATAAAAAAGGAGAGCTAGAGAGAGACAGAGAGATTGCTTCAAGGGAAAAGGGTAATGCTTGTTAATAAATGTCAGCCCTGGCTTTTATTTTATTGAGTACAAATTGAATCATAAAATTTTTCTATTTTATTTTATTTTCCTTTAAGTTCCAGGATACATGTGCAGAATGTGCAGGCTTGTTAAGTAGGTATACACGTGCCATGGTGGTTTGCTATACCTATTGACCCATCCTTTAAGTTCCCTCCCCTCACCCCTCACCCCCCAACAGGCCCTGGTGTGTGCTTTTCCACTCCCTGTGTCCATGTGTTCTCATTGTTCAACTCCCACTTATGAGTGAGAACATGTGGTGTTTGGTTTTCTGTTCCTGTTTTAGTTTGCTAAGGATGATGGCTTCCAGCTTCATCCATGTCCCTGCAAAGGACATGATCTCATTCCTTTTATGGCTGCATAGTATTCCATGATGTATATGGACTACATTTTGTTTATCCAGTCTATCATTGTTGGGCATTTGGACTAGTTCCATGACTTTGCTATTGTAAATAGTGCTGCAATAAACATATGTGTGCATGTGTCTTTATAGTAGAATAATTTATATTATTTTGGGTATATATCCAGTAATGGGATTGCTGGGTCAAATGGTATTTCTGGTTTTAGATCCTTGAGGAATCGTCATACTGTCTTCCACAATGGTTGAACTAATTTACATGCCCACCAACAGTGTAAAAGCATTCCTATTTCTCCACAGCCTGGTCAGCTTCTACTGTTTCTTGATTTTTTAATAATCGCCATCCTGACTGGTGTGAGATGGTATCTCATTGTAGTTTTGATTTGCATTTCTCAAATAATCAGTGATGTTGAGCTTTTTTAATATGTTTGTTGGCCATGTAAATATCTTCTTTGGAGAAGTGTCTGTTCATGTTCTTTGCCCATTTTTTGATTGGGTTGTTTGTTTTTTTCTTGTGAATTTGTTTAATTTCCTTGTAAATTCTGGCTATTAGACCTTTGTCAGATGGGTAGATTGCAAAATTTTTCTCCCATTCTGGTGTTTGCCTATTCACTGTGATGATAGTTTCTTTCGCTGTGCAGAAGCTCTTTAGTTTACTTAGATCTCATTTGTCAATCTTGGCTTCTGTTGCAGTTGCTTTTGGCATTTTTGTCATGAAGTCTTTGCTCATGCCTATGTCGTGAATGGTATTGCCTAGGTTTTCTTCTAGGGTTTTTATGGTTTGGGGCTTGACATTTAAGTCTTATGTTTAAGGTTTAAAGTCTTAAGTTTAAGGTTTAAGGAAGGGTTCCAGTTTCAATTTTCTGCATATGGCTAGTGAATTTTCCCAGCACTATTTGTCGAATAGGAGATTCTTTCTTCATTGCTTCTTTTTGTCAGGTTTGTTGAAGATCATATGGATGTAGATGTGTGGTGTTATTTCTGAGGTCTCTGTTCTGTTTCATTAGTCTATATGTCTGTTTTGGTACCAGTACCATGCTGTGTTGGTTAGTGTAGCATTGTAGTATAGTTTGAAGTAGTGTGATGCCTCCAACTTTGTTCTTTTTGCTATTCGGAAAAATTGAAAAGGAGTGACTTCCCCCTAACTCATTTTATGAAGCCAGCATCATCCTGATACCAAAATCAGGAAGACACATACACACACACACACACACACACACACACACACACACTTCAGGCCAATATCCCTGATGAACATCGATGCACAAATCCTCAATAAAATACTAGCAAACCGAATTCAGCAGCACATCAAAACACTTATCCACCACAATCAAGTCAGCTTCATCCCTGGGATGCAAGACTGTTCCACCATGCACAAATAAATAAACATAATCCATCAACATAAACAGAACCAAAGACAAAAACCACGTGATTATCTCAATAGGTGCAGAAAAGGCCTTTGATAAAATTCAACACAAATTCATGTTAAAAACTCTCAATAAACTAGGTATTCATGGAACATATCTCAAAATAATAAGAGCTATTTATGACAACCCTACAGCCAATATCACAGTCAATGGGCAAAAGCTGGAAGCATTGCCTTTGAAAAGTGGTACAAGACAAGGAAGCCCTCTCTCACCACTTCTATTCAACATAGTATTGGAAGTTCTGGCAAGGGCAATCAGGCAAGAGGAAGAAATAAAGGGTATTCATATAGGAAGAGAGGAAGTCAAGTTGCCTCTGATTGCAGATGATATGCTGTTATATTTAGAAAACTCCATAATCTCAGCCCCAAAACCCCTTAAACTGATAAGCAACTTCAGCAAAGTCTCATGATATAAAATCAATGTCCAAAAATCACAAGCATTCCTTTACACCAACAATAGACAAGCAGAGAGACAAATAATGAATGAACTCCCATTCACAATTGCTAAAAAAATGAATAAAATACCTAGAAATACAGCTAACAAGGGATGTGAAAGACCTCTTCAAGGAGAACTACAAACCACTGCTCAAGGAAATAAGAGGACATAAACAAATGGAAAAACATTCCATCCCCATGGATAGGAAAAATCAATACTATAAAAATGGCCATATTGCCCAAAGTAATTTATAGATTCAATGCTATTCCCATCAAACTACCACTGACATTATTCACAGAATTAGAAAAATCTACTTTAAATTTCATACAGAACCAAAGAAGACCCCGTATAGCCAAGATGATCCTGAGAATCCTGAAAGTTTTCATAGTTATAATAATCTTCTAATGAGTACAAGATTATCATTTTTCTTCATATTTTCAGTTGGTGACCTAATGAAATAGGGTATTTTTTCTCTTTTGACACACAAGTACTCTTCTGATGGTCAAAATATTAATCTTATTTATCTCTCCTTGTTTCACTTCAAAGGAAACCAGAATCATGGCATTCTGAAGATTAGAGATGCAAATCTCCATTATTTGGCATCCCCCTGGACCCGATCTGTTTTTCATTGCAAATGTCCTACTGCTAAGACGATGCAAGCACCCTCCCTCTAGGCCCAGAGACTGTTTCAGAAGAGATGGGTGCATGAGATTGTAAGGGCTGGTTTTGAGGGATACAGTTAGCTGAGACACTGCAAATCAACGAGGGTACACAAGTGCCTAAACAGCTTGTAAAACAAAGAACTTTGCTTTCTCAGCTATTACGTGGCACCTTTTTATCCACCCCAACCATGAAAAATGTCCTGCTTCCTGGAATTAAAAGAAAATAAGAGGATAAAGATACCTCATGGCCAAGCCTCCTGGGCATAATACTCCCAGTTATAAGTTTTGCAGATATATATATTTAGATATATAAAATTATTTTTTAGAAAAATGTATATGTTTTGTATAGTTAATCACTGTAAGCCTATAATTAAAACCAAGATTATAGTAGCTCAACGCATAGAAATGAAAGAAAACTCAATTTTTGTAAACTCGCCATTGGCTTTTTGTTTTTGGCTCTTTACTTTAAATAAATCTTTTAAGGGGTAATGAATGCCTGTCCGAGTCCATTCCTATCTTTCCTAGAACACTTACTTGTCTGTAAGTATTTTGACTTCAAGTCCCTCCACCACAGGGAGTCTCACTGAAGGACAGGATGGACACAGGGCAGGCAGATATGCCACCCAAGCAGTGCTAGGGGGAAAAAAAATTAATAGCCATTGATGCTGATGCTGGCAAATATTGGCCATAAAGGGAAGAATGGAAACCAAAAATAAAATTCTAAGCCCTTCAACCATCTGAATGTACCCCTCCTCTCAGCCATAGGGATTCCAGAGTGAAACTGAAAATCTTGTTCAGGCCATGATGGAAGAGAGCATTGGACATGCCTCATTATATTTCTCCAGCATTAACATCAACGCAGACCTTAAGACATCAACATCAAACCTAAGATTCTGATCAGAAATATTTAACATCTATTTTCTCTGAAGCCTGCTACCTGGAGGCTTTATCTTCCTGATAATATCTAGGTTTCTCCAACACCTTATCTTAACCCAGACATTCCTTTCTACTGATAATAACTCTTTCAACCAATTGCCAATCAGAAAATTTTAAAATCTACCTATAACCTGGAAGTCCCCACTTTGAGTTGTCCTGCCCTTCCAGAATGAAACAATATATACCTTACATGTATTGACTGATGTCTCATGTCTCCCTAAAATGTGTAAAACTAGGCTGTGCCCTGACCATCTTGTGCACATGTTCTCAGGGTCTCCT
The DNA here is from genome assembly GCF_000001405.40 of Homo sapiens. Classification (NCBI taxonomy): domain Eukaryota; kingdom Metazoa; phylum Chordata; class Mammalia; order Primates; family Hominidae; genus Homo; species Homo sapiens. The sequence goes on along the minus strand of NC_000017.11, from coordinate 21,567,348 downwards.
GAGGGCTGTGTCATGGCCCATTGGTCACTTACATTTGGCTCAGAATAAATCTCTTCAAATATTTTAGAGTTTGACTCTTTTTGTTGACCAGTCACTCCCTAGTAAGTTTAGGAGCAGGGATCTGACAGCAACCATATCATGCTCAGAAACAGCATTCTCTCATCCACTGTCCCCAGGCTCTGCAGAACCCAGGGTCCTGGTATCCATAACCCAAGGAAATGGGAAGGAGTCATGAGCTCTTGGGCTTTCTCATTCTCTGAAAATGGGCAATTGATAACTAGCCTTGATTTTGTTTAGAAGTATAAATAAATGTCACATTTCTAAGCAAAATCAAGTCTAGTTTCAAATGTGTGAAAGGAAAATAGAAACTTGGGACCCCAATTCACTCTGCCAAAAGGAGAAAGTTAAGCTGAAAGCTGAGTCATGCAAGAAGCTGACTTTCTTTTTGCTCCTAAGCACACAGCTCCAGATAGAAGGTTAAATATCCCCACAGGTAGGTGCTCTGTCCTCATCTTACCTTATGTGAAGTGCTGATTTACTGAGCATAAGATGAATACAAAATTGACTATTCCCCTGCCTTATCCTTTTCTTTTGCAATGTGTGGATTCAGTAATGTGGCCATACCCTTCCTCTTTCCCCTCCAGCATACTCTTCCCCTTTAAATATTGAAGCCTCAGCATCGTCTTTGGAGAAAGGCACAGACCACAGATTGTTTATATGATTCTGTGTTTTTTCCTTCCAACTTGTCCTTAATCTTGGCAAAATAAACTTCTAAATTGATTGAGACCTGTCTCAGATACTTACTCGTTTATGAATATTAGAAGCAGTTTGTGTTCTCATCGTGTGTGTGATTACAGCTATCCCTTGTTATCCAACCTTTTACTGTCAAGCTCAATAATTGAATAAAATCAGATAACTTTTTAGGTGAGTCCCTTTCTATATAAACTCTTGCTATTCATACTGGAGCTACATTCATTTGGATAGTGCTCTCCCTCCTGAGTCAAGCTTGGTGCTTGACTCTCCCTATCCAAATCAGAAGCCAAATAGACTTGAAAGGTTCAGGCAGTCAGTGTACACAGAACATGCACCGAACTTTTTGTTTAGCCATTGCTAGTTATCTCTAGTAGGTGTAATAATGAGAAATGTTTACTTTTCAAATACACTGCTGTGGTGTTTTAATTTTTACAAGCTAAATGTTTAACGTTTACATAACTAATTTTTATAAAATACACCTGTTGCTGGATACCTCTTGTCCCTATCTTGATAACCATCACCCAGATTTGCAAAGGAGGCCTTGCTCAAATATTTGGAAACTAATGCCCTCAGGGAGATGTCCACCAGCCTTGTTCCTCTCATTCCTATTTAAAGATTGTGATGTCATTGGGTCTTTCCCTAGGGTGGCCCCTGGTTTTCCAGGCTGGACACTCCTGTGTTGAAGATGCATCGACTCACGTACTGCATAAATGTTTTAGATTTTACTGTGAAGCAAACAATTCACTCCTCAGACCCTCAGTCACCCAAGTCCACATCTGGACTTGAGGTTTGGCTTCTCTGGTCCTAACTGGGACTTATCTGACCCTGACAGGAGATAACTTCAGTAGGGGCTTTCCCTAATAGCAAGCATGCACACTTCGACTTGGCTTGCCCTGAAGGTAACATTTACTCATTATAATGGTAAAAAAAAAACACGCCCCTGGGTGGAGATTTCAGACATTACTAAGACGTGTGATATATGTACTAGCGTGTATGACCATACAGCATGTGCACCCAGGAGACCACCCAAAACATGTTTGCTAGTAACACCCCTTCACAACCACTTTTATGAATAATCATATAAGACCCTCATAAGGGAACTTTCCCAGTGCAGATCAACGCTGTCTCTTTTTCCAAGCAGCCCGCTCTGACTTGGCTTTTAGAGGGTACTCTCTCTTTAAATAAACTCTGCAGCTGCTTCACTGTCACTGCTTACTTCTTGGCTGAATTCTTTCCTCCAAGAAGACAAGAACTGAAGACCCCACACCTCCCGGTAACATTTCCAACTCTTTCTCCTTTTTCTCTGGAGCTGGTGCTCAGATGGTGAGAGCCCTGTGCTAATGGTCCCAGGGTGGGAGCCTGTTTGCCCCTGTCTGGTCCTCAGCAATGTCCTTGGTCAGCTTCCTGGCAACAGCTGTCAATTACCAGAGGGAACAAGTGATCAGCACCAGAGTCGATCACTTCACAGAGGAGCTGAAGTGGACAGGGTCAGCTCAGGCCTCCTGGACCAGGGCGGGAATGTCCCGTGATGGCAGGCCAGTGTCTTAGCTACCTTGGAGGCACCTCTTCATAGACTGCAGGGATCATTTAGGTAAAAATATAGCCTGCTGATTTTTACACCTTTCTGAAAATCTTTGCTAATAGCAATCTGTTAGCTGTGACAATTACCGTTATTTTTTATTTTTCGTTTTGTTCCTTATTACTGAAGATATTCTATGGAGCTTTAAAGCCTCCTGCAGTAAGAAACTAGTAAAGAAACATACTGTTTGCAGGAAGGAAAATTACCCACAATTCTTGTTCTCTAAGGTGCGTGGTTATCATTCCAACAGCCATTCTCAGCAATGAACTGAGGACCCTCAGATGTGTTTCATTCCCTTAGTATTTTAATCCTCTCCTCCACTCTCAATTGCCACTTTTCCCATGAATGGGGGGAGAGGGGTTGGGAGGGACATCTCCTGTCTTGGGCCCACAGATTTTAAAGTTCAAGTCAGAAGCTCCAGTGATTTCCTGTGTGTAGTAGTCAGGGGCAAGTCAGATGTGTGGTTGGTAGTCTTTCCTTCTCTGTTGGGGCTTCATGGAGTCCCAGAACTTTGAACCTGAAGTAGTGTCAACAGCCATGTTGCAGCTGGAGTCAGGCCAAATGTTGGTCTTGCTCCCTAGTGACTGGGACACTTGGAAGAGCCAAATTGGCAGGCTTGGAGAGCGTGTACTTTTGGAACTCAAGTGTATCTTAAACCATTTCATTGCAACTACGTGTGTGTGTGTGTCTGTGTGTCTGTGTGTCGGGAGGATGCATAACAGCCTCACTGAGGGGTGACTGACATATAATAGGAGGACTTGTGCACCCGTGAAACCATCACTGTTATCAAGACAGCGAGCATGTCCATCCCCCATAGGTTTTCTTGTGCTCCTTTGTGATCTCTTCCTCCTGCCTCTCCTGCCATGCTCCACCCCAAGCAACAACTGATCTGCTTTCTGTCACAATATATAGATCGGCAAACTAATTATAATACCAGTTCTAACCTCATCAGGCAAATACTTTCTTTTTGTAAGTTGGACTTTTCATTGTGTGTTCAACATTCTTGATTCAGAAAGAGTGAGAGAGAAAGGCTGGTGTGGGCCCCTCCTGGGAGGCCTGGCCCTATCCACAGCTCCAGGGTGGCTCACATGCCCTGGAGCCCCTGCCCACAGGACAGCCTTGACTGCTCATCCACAAGCTTTGTGGTATCCTCTACCATTCCTGGGCAGGCTCTGTACAGTGCAGAACTTTCTCCCAGTCCTTGCACCAAAATAACAAATGTCAGAGATAGTACATTTGGAGCCAGTGGCTGTGCCCTCACCTCTAGATGCCTGTAATACTGAGCTGTTAAGCAAGAGGTCCCTCCCTTCTTGCCCTTTTCTTGGGGCCTCATCCCTTGTGCTCTGCTCTTCCTCACACAGGATATATCTTCTGATTGCTCCTCTCCCACCTCCTGCAGTCCCTGGACCCCCATGGCAATACAGACTCTTCTATATCCTCAGTCCATTGCAGGACCACAGCTCTGACCTGGCTGTCCTCTGTTTTCCAAGCCCTGCACCTGTGGAGTTGGGAATTAGCACCCACCTGACCCCATTGTGGCATCAGGCCCACCCTCCCCAATGCAGGAAGAGTTCCAGATGTCAGGGAGCTATGGCCTTATCCTGCACACATATCATGTCCTGGCCTGGGAAAGTGATGATGATGATATTTTCCCACAAAATAGACAATAACATCATGAAAGTGCCTAGTTCATTTTCTAGCATAAAATATATATCAAAGCAGTGCGGTTTAGTAGGCATATGTAGATTTAAAAGCTCCTCAGAAGGCAGGGAATGATTTCTTCAATAGAAAAAAAAAAACTACCCCAAAAGGAGAAGATCAATACATTGGATGATAGTAAAATTAAGAATCCCTCAAGAAATTCAATAAGAGAGGGAAAAGATTAGTCACCAATGGGAAATATATTTGTCACAATATAACAGGCAAAGGACTCATGTCCAGAGTGCATGAAGAATTTCTACAAATAAAATAAAGAATCCAACAGAAAAATGAACAAGAGAAAGGAATAGGAACTTCATTTTTTAAAAAAAGAAAAAGGAAGTAAGGAAAGACAAATGAACATCCAAATGGCCAGAAAGCATATAAAAATGTCCAACCTCATAAAACGTCAGACAAATGTGATCCACAATGAGAAGCCAATACACACCGACCAGCATGGCTAAAATTAAGAAGACTGTTAATACCAAGTGTTGGTGAGAATGTGAAGTAACTGAAACATTTATACACTGCTGGTGGAAATGTGAAATAGCACAACTACTTTGGAAAATTATTTGGGAATACTGCTAAAGGTGAGCACCCCTACAATCCTGAAATCCCACTCCGATGTGAAAACCCAAAAGAAATGCATCCTGATAGAGGCACTCTTCATAGTAGCCAATGTTAATCACGGAAGAATGGACAAATATATATTATATCATGGAATTTTTATGGTAATGAAAATAGATTAATAACTGCCATGCACAGTTGGTGAATCTCACCAACATAATATTGAGTGAAAGAAACCTGATACAAATGAATGTGTGCTACACTATTTCATTTCCGTGAAGCTCCAAAACAATCAAAACGAACCTATAGCGTTATAAGTCAGCATAGTGATTATCTTAGTGTTTGCATGGGAGCTCTGGTAATGTTTTATTTCTTGATCTAAGGGCTGGTGTCCCAGATGTGTTCACTTTGTGATAATTCATCAATCTGTTTTCTTGGGATTTGTGGCTTATCTGTACAGATATACTTCAATTAAAAAAATCATTCAACTTGACAACAACAAAAAAAACCTCGATTTTTTAACATTTTGTGGAGTGTTTATTATGATCCAGTCAGCGTACTAAATACACTATTTTATTTGATCCTTAAAATAACTTAAACAACTTGATTTAAATATGGGCAAAGGACTTGAGAAGACATTTCTCCAAAGAAGATATACAAAAAGCACATGGAAAGACCCTTGACATCATTAGTCATCAGGGAATGCAAATGTAAACCAAGGTGGGATACTACTTCACACATGTTAGAATGACTATTATCCAAAAATAAAACAAACAGAAAATAACAAGCATTGGCAAGGATGTGGAGAAATTGAAACCCCCATGCATTGTTGGTGGGAATATAAAATGGTGCAGCCGCTGTGGAAAACAGTTTGATGGCTCCTCAGAAAACCATACACAGAATTAACATATGATCCAGCATTGCCACTTTCAGGTATATACCCAAAACAATAGCATGAAACACATAAAGAGACATGTTCATAGCAGTATTATTCAGAATAACTAAAAGGTGGAAGCCATGTTAAGTGTTCATTGACAGATGAATGGATAAGCAGAATGTGGTATATCCATACAATGAAATATTATTCAGCTTTTAAAAGGAAGGAAATTTGATACATGCAACAACATGAATGAATCTTCAGGACATTGCTTTCAGTGAAATAAACCAGTCACAAAAAGACAAATGCTACAAGATTGCAATTACATGGATACCTAGAACAGTCAAGTTCATACAGACAAAGTAGAATGGTGGTTGCCAGGTCCCAAAGCCAACATAAAGCAGCGGTTATGGACAGCTTCAGTTTCAGCTGAACTTGACTGTACGTTATGCTGAAACCAGGGTAATCTGATGTCCAACACTCAGAGCCAGTTAAGACTTTTGTTTCTGGTGACCTGGGGAGCTGACGGTGCTTTTCAGGCACACCAGGGGTGACTCTTATTTCCCAAATGGGTTGGCAGATTGTTGTGGGTGCCAGGTCTCTGATGGAATGGATCTAGACACGAATAAATAGCCTGCTGGATTTTGATTGGGATTGTAGTCAATCTATATTGAATCTGTGTTTTAAGAGTATAACCTCTTAACAATATTGAGTCTTCTCACTCATGAACAACATATATCTCCCCATTTATTTATGGCTTCTTTAATTTATCATAGCAATGTTTTACAGTTTTCTGTGTACAGGCCTTTTACATTTTTTGTCAGATTTGTTCCTAAGTACTTTACATTTTTCATGCTATTGTAAATGTTGTTAATTTTTTTATTTTAATTTCTTTCTTTTTTACTTGACAAATACAAATTTTATCTATTCATAGTGTACAATATGATATTTTGCAATATGTATACATTTTGGGATGGTTAATCCAACCAATAATACATGCTTTACATTTTAATTTTGAATTAAGTTACAAAGCTCTCATTAAACAATTTTTGTACACTAATTTGTCCTAAAACCTTGATAAACACACTTATTAACTTCTTGTACATTCCACTGAATTTTCTACACAGACAATCATGTCATCTGTGAATAACGACCATTTATGTCTTTCTTTCCAAACTGAATGTCCTTTATTTCTGTTTCTTGGCTGATTGCACAGTCTACAGCCTCCAATACAGTGCTGGATAGAGGTGGTGAGGGCAGGCATCCCTAGTGTGTTCCTGATGTGAAGGGGAAAGTATTCAGTCTTCCACAATCAAGTGTGATGCTAGCTGAAGGACTTTTGGAATTGCCCTTTATCAGCGTGAGGAAGTTCCCTCTGTTCCTATTTAGCCTCAGTTTTTATCAATAATGGATGTTGGATTTTGCCAAATGTTTTTTCTGTATTGATTACGGTGATCATATAATTTTTTAGTTTGTTTATGTGGTAAATTACATTGATTTTTTTTTTATTCTTAAATCAACCTTGCATTTCTAGGATAAATACCACTTAATTATGATGTATTACCTTTCTATTATATTTAGGATTCCATTTGCTAAACTTTTGCATAGAATTCTTGCCCTATGTTCATGAGGAATATTGGTCTGTAGTTTTGTTTTCTTCTAATATCCTTGTCTGGCCAGGGTACAAGGATAATTTTGGTATCAGGGTAATGCTGACTTCATAGATTGAGTTGGGAAGTATTTCCTCCTCTTCAGTTTTCGGAAGAGTTTGTGAAGTATTGTTATTACTTCTCCCTTAAATGTTTGGTAAAATTCACTACTATCACCATCTGGGCTGGAATTTCTTTATAGGGAGGTTTTATGTTATTCTTTTTTTTTTTTTTTTTTTTTTTGAGACAGAGTCTCCCTCTGTCACCCAGGCTGGAGTGTAGTGGTGCAATCTTGGCTCACTGCAGCCTCCACCTCCTGGGTTCAAGTGATTCTCTTGCCTTGGCCTCCCAAGTAGCTGGTATTACAGGCTCATGCCACCATGCCTGGCTAATTTTTTGTATTTTTGTTAGACAAGGGGTTTCACTGTGTTAGCCAGGATGGTCTCCATCTCCTGACCTCATCCTGACCTCATGATCCACCCACCTCAGCCTCCCAAACTGCTGGGATTACAGGGATGAGCCACAGAGCCAGGTCTTTTTTTTTTTTTTTTTTTTTTTTTTTTTTGAGGGAGAGTCTCGCTCTGTCGCCCAGGCTGGAGTGCAGAGGTGTGACCTCAGCTCACTGCAACCTTGGGGGAAGCAACCCCTGATAATTCAATGTGGGTCCTTTTCTATTTTCCCTAAGTGTCGGCCAGTCTGAGAAATAAAGGGAAAGAGTACAAAAGAGAGAAATTTCAAAGCTGGGTTTCCAGGGGAGACATCATATGTCGGCAGGTTCCATGATGCCCCCCAAGCCACAAAAGCAGCAAGTTTTTATTAGTGATTTTCAAAAGGGGAGGGAGTGTACGAACAGGGTGTGGGTCACAGAGATCACATGCTTCACAAGGTAATAAAATATCACAAGGCAAATGGAGGCAGGGTGAGATCACAGGACTGGGGCGAAATTAAAATTGTTGAAGTTTTGGGCATGCATTGTCATTGATAACATCTTATCAGGAGACAGTGTTTGAGAGCAGATAACTGGGTCTAACCAAAATTTATTAGGTGGGAATTGCCTCATCCTAATAAGCCTGGGAGTGCCACGGGAGACTGGGGCTTATTTCATCCCTTATCTGTGACCATAAAAGGCAGACGTTCACAGAGCGGCCATTTCAGAGACCTCCCCTTAAGAACGCATTCTCTTTCTCAGGGCTGTTCCTTGCTGAGAAAAAGAATTCAGTGATATTTCTCCTATTTGCTTTTGAAAGAAGAGAAACATGGCTCTGTTCCGCCCGGCTCTCAGGCAGCCAGACCTAATGGATATCTCCCTTGTTCCCTGAACATCGCTGTTATCCTGTTCTTTTTTCAAGGTGCCCGGATTTCATATTGTTTAAACAATTTGTGCAGTTAACGCAATCATCACAGGGTCCTGAGGCGACATACATCCTCAGCTTATGAAGATGACAGGATTAAGAGATTAAAGTAAAGACAGGCATAGGAAATCACAAGAGTATTGACTGGGGAAGTGATAAATGTCCATGAAATCACAATTTATGTTCAGAGATTGCAGTAAAGACAGATGTAAGAAATTATAAAAGTATTAATTTGGGGAACTAATAAATGTCCATGAAATCTTCACAATTTATGTTCTTCTGCCATGGCTTCAGCCAGTCCCTCCATTCGGGGTCCCTGACTTCCCACAACACCCCCCATCCCAGGTTCAAGCAATTTTCCTGCCTCAGCCTCCCAGGTATCTGAGGTTACAGGTGCCTGCCACCATACCCAGCTAATTTTTGTATTTTTAGTAGAGATGAGGTTTCATCATGTTGGCCAAGCTGGTCTTGAACTCCTGACCTCAGGTGATCTGCCTGCATCAACCTCCCAAGGTGCTGGTGCTGGGATTAAAGGCATAAGCCACTGTGCCTAGCCTATAGGGAGGTTTTAAAACAACACTTTTCATCATTTCTAGGCCTTTTACCTAAGATCAAGTGTAAAAAACGATTTTGAGTTTCTTTAATAGATACAGGGCTATTCAGGTTATCTGTTTCTTCTTGGGTGACCTTTGGTAATTTGTCTTTGAAGAAATTTGTCAATTTTATCCGTGGTGTTGAATTTAATTGGCATAAAAGTATTCCTAGTATATTGAGAGAGGGCTATTAAAATATCTGATAGTTATGCATTTTCCTATTTCTCTTTGATGTTTTATTAGTTTTTCTTTTATTCATTTTGAAGCCTTATTAGGTACAAAAACATTTAGGATTGTTATATCTTCTTCACTGACCACATTGTCAGTATGAAATAACCTTTAATTCCTAGAAATAATTCTTTGCTCTGAAATCTATTTTGATATTAATATAGCCACTCTAAATTTCTTTTGACTAGTTTTAGCATGGTATGTCTTTTTCCATCTTTATACTTTGAACCTATTTGTGTCTTTATATTTATAGTGCCTTTCTTATAGGCAGAATATAGTTGGGTCTTAGTTTTTCAATGTAATTTGACATTCTCTGCCTTTTAGTTGGGGTATTTAGACTATTTACATTTAATATGATTACTGATATGATTAGGTTGAGCCACTCACCTTGCACATGTTCTCTATTCATGTCATCTGTTTTTTATTTCCTTTTTCCATTTTCCTTTGAATTAATCAAGTATTTTTATCGTACCATTTTATCTCATTTTATCTCTCTTGTTAAACGGCCACAATTCTTTTTTTTTTTTTTTTTTTTGAGATGGAGTCTCACTCTGTCACCCAGGCCAGAGTGCAGTGGTGCGATCTCTGCTCACTGCAAGCTCCACTTCCTGGGTTCACGCCACTCTCCTGCCTCAGCCTCCTGAGTAGCTGAGACTACAGGCACCCACCACCACACCCAGCTAATTTTTTGTATTTTTAGTAGAGACAGGGTTTCACCGTATTAGCCAGGATGGTCTCAATCTCCTGACCTCATGATCCACCCTCCTCAGCCTCCCAAAGTGCTGGGATAACAGGCGTGAGCCACTGTGCCTGGCCTACAATTCTTTTTTTTTAAATTGTAAACCTTAAGATAATACATTTTATTTGAAGAAAGGTGCTGAAGAGGTGTTATTTGTGTAGGGTGTTAAAATAATGGTAAGCTATGAGAAGGGGAAAAGGGCATTTGAGGCTAAGGAGTTAGTATGAAAAAAAAAAAAACAGACCAGTACACATGGAAATGTTGGTGTAGTTTTGTACTGGGGTGGTTAGATTTGGCAGTCGCTGAAGCTAAGTATGTAGGCAAAGACTGAATGAGAGATGAATCTGGAATGGCAAGTTCAAATTAGTCACTAGAAGACCTCAAACCATCCCCTCTACAACCCCAGTTCTGTAGATATTGAAAGAATGGTGGACCCGGGGCCCACTCTCTCTGAACTTGACTCCTCACTTCCCTATGAAAGCTGGCTTTGCTCTGTGCCCTGTGATATATATCTGTTTGTCCCCACTTCACAAAAGTATGAACCTTGTCTCTGTTTTACCTCCAATGCCTAGAAAACTATGTGGCAGAACGCATGCTTCAGTAAATAATCTTTTAATCACTGAATATTTCAAGAATTCCACATAATTCTATATGACATTATTAACTATTGTAAATTTTTAAGTGGAGAAAAAGTACTATGTTGCCTTTATTTCATGAAAGCAACCTTAAGAGTTGGCATGAACGCATCTATCCATCCACTTGTATTTGTGCTCATATACTCATATGCCACTTACTATGGATGAATGGAATGATCTATCATCTAAAGTCAATATTTCTTTTTCCTAACTTCCAATCCAAGGACATTATTCCAGAAATACTTCCTTGTATTTCCTACATTATCAATTTTGCCCTCTCTGTGGATGATTTCCATTGGCATGCAAACATGCTATTATTTTTTCTCATCTTATAGAACATTAAACACAGTGATCTTGACTCTACTTCCTCTATAATTACTTGCCTTTTCTCCATTCCTTTTTTGAGTGAAGCTTTTTGAAATTGTTGCCTGTGCTTACTGCATTCAACCCCTCTACTTTGTTCTCTCAGAAATCCCTTTCAGTCAAGCTTTCTCCTTATCACTTCACCCAAAGGACTCTTGTGAGGTCATGAGGGCTAGCCACTTTACTAAATCCAATGGCTGATTATCAAGTCTCATTTTATGTCAACTTTCAGCAGCATTTGATAAAGTTGGCCACCATTTTCTTGAAATAATGTTTTCCTTTGGCTTTGTGAACATCATACTCTCCTTTACTGGTTGCTTTTCAGTTTTTTTTTTTTTTTCTGCTTCCTCTTTACCCTTCTTTATTTTTATTTCAATAGGTTTTTGCGGGGAACAGGCAGTGTTTTGTACATGAATAAGTTTTTTAGTGGCAATGTCTGAGATTTTTGTGCATCCATCACCAGAGCAGTGTACACTGTACCTAATGTGTAGTCTTTTATCCCTCGACCCCCTCCCACCCTTTCCCCCAAGTCCCCAAAGTCCATTGTATCATTCTTATGCCTTTGCATCCTCATAGCTTAGCTCCCACTTACGAGTAACAATATACAATGTTTGGTTTTCCATTTCCGAGCTACTTCACTTGGGATAATGGTCTCCAATTCCATCCAGGTTGTTGCAAATGCCATTATTTCGTTCCTTTTTATGGCTAAGTAGTATTCCATGGTATGTATGCGTGTGTGTGTGTATATATATATACACACACACACACACATATATATACACACATACATACATATACACACATACATACATATACACATATATGCCACATTTTCTTTATTCACTCGTTGATCGATGAGCATTTGGGCTGGTTCCTTATTTTTGCAATTGTGAATGATGCTGCTATAAACATGCATGTGCAAGTATCTTTTTCATGTAATGATTTATTTTCCTCTGGGTAGATAACCAGAAGTGGGATTGCTGGATCAAGTGGTAGATCTACTTTTAGTTCTTTAAGGAATCGCCACACTGTTTTCCATAGTGGTTGTATTAGTTTACATTCCCACCAACAGTGTAAAAGTGTTCCCTTCTCACCACATCCACACCAACATCTATTTTAATTTTTTGATTCTTTTATTATGGTCATTCTTGCAGGATTAAGGTGGTATCGTGTTGTGGTTTTGATTTGCATTTCTCTGATAATTAGTGAAGTTGAGCATTTTTTTCATATGTTTGTTGGCCATTAGTATATCTTCTTTTGAGAATTGTCTATTCATGTCCTTAGTCCACTTTTTGATGAGATTGTTTGTGTTATCCTGAACAGCTACAATTCTTTGGCTTGTTATTTTAGTGGTTGCTTTAGTGTTTATAGTGCATGTCTTCAACTGATCACAGTCTACCTTCAAGTGATAATATATCATTTTAGTATAAGAAACTTACATCAGTATACTTCTTCCCTCCTAGTCTTTAAGCTATGACTGTCATCCATTTTATTTTACATGTTGTAAATTCCATAGTACTTTATTATTTTTGTTTAAACAATTATATTTTAAAGAGGCTTAAGTAATAATAACAAATCATATATTTGTCCATGTTGTTACTATTTCCAGTGTTCTTCATTCCTTTGTGCAGATCTAGATTTCAATATGGTATCCTTCTTAAGGCCTAAAAGACATCCTTTAATTTTTCTTGTGGTGCAGGTCTCCAGGTAAGAAAGTCTTAAGTCTTTACAAGTCTAAAAATGTCTTTATTTCTTCATATCCATTATTCTCTTTTTGGTAGTATCTAGTTGGCTGTGACACTAATCCATTAAACTTTCCATTTCAATTATGGTATTTTTCAAATCTAGATTTCTATTTGGTAATTTTTCCCAATCTACTTGGTTATTTTCATACTCATGCTCTTTAATCCCCTTGTTTCTTTACATGTAAGACACACTTTATGTGATGTTTGGTGACTCTAATATCTTAAGTCTCTGTAGGTTTTCTCCTCTGTACATTGTTTCTGCTGGCTCTTGCCCATTATAAATGTTTGTGATTTTTGATTAAAAACTTACATTCCATGAAGCTGTCTTCCATTTTGCTTTTGCCAGGCACCTGGAAGGCATTAAAAACCTGATGTCACTTTAAATTTGCAGCTTGAGACTTTTTAGATTATACAGTTTGTGTGTGAAGCCACCAGTGGAAGGGCTGCCCATGGTTATATATTAATGTATCCTCACTCTCAGGAGGGATGTTTTCCCTCAGGATGGATAATCTTGTCTGCTGCTCCAGGGGCTGCAGGGATTGAGGGGGCAGGAGACAGGGGAGGCAGACAGGTTGATTCATAGTTCCCTCCTACACTAAACCTATCTTTTTGGTGTCCTACTTTTTTTTTTTTTTTTTTTTTTTTTTTTTTTGAGACAGAGTCTGGCTCTGTCGCCCAGGCTGGAGTGCAGTGGCGCAATCTCGGCTCACTGCAACCTCCACCTCCCGGGTTCACGCCATTCTCCTGCCTCAGCCTCCCGAGTAGCTGGGACTACAGGCGCCCGCCACTACGCCCGGCTAATTGTTGTATTTTTAGTAGAGATGGGGTTTCACCGTGTTAGCCAGGGTAGTCTCGATCTCCTGAATTCGTGATCCGCCCGCCTCAGCCTCCCAAAGTGCTGCGATTACAGGCTTGAGCCACCGCGCCCGGCTGGTGTCCTACTTTTGATGTCTTCTGCTAACCGTCCTACCTTGGACAGGATCTAAACTTTGTCTGCTATTCTGCTGCCCCATCCTCTTCCCAGACTATGAAAAGAGAGTTTCAGTATGACACTTGGCAACTATCTTAAGGGTGAAAAATGGCATCTAATTACTTCTTTGGGTTTCTACTTTCACTTTTTAATTTTAATTTTTTTGCCTTTGCGAACTCTTAATTATTTTGCAGCTCATTGATACATTTTTTAAAATGGTTCTTGATATGTATTCCAGAAGTTTTTGTTGTTTTCTGGTTCTTGTCAGCCCATGTTGCCGGAAATAAAATTCTTTCAACTTGTTCTTTAACAATTTACAGTATCCATATATTCCTTCCTGTTCTAGAGGCAATAGAGTGAGAACACACACTTAGGAGCCAAGCTGGCCTGAGATTAAGATCCACCAGCAATGTGACCTCAGTAGCCTATTTACATTCTGAGTCTCATAGGGTTGGTGTGATAATTAAATGAGGTAATATATGAACAACACTTAAAACAGAGACTGACACTGGTAAGGATGGACTTTCTTGTTATTACTATCTGAAAAAGTTGAAAAATTATGAGCCTGAGTAACAGTTATACATCTTACCCAATGGTTCACTAACCTCTGGTCCCTGGCTACCCCGGCCCCCTCTACCATGCAGTCACCCACACCCATGCTTATACTGATGGAGAGGAGTCAACTATGAGCTATTCACTGGATGACAAGCCCAGCTACTGTCACAGGTGCACCCCAAGTCCAGGACAGAATGCTAGCAGATAGCTGCTGGTCTGAGAAATGTCATCATCATATAAGCCTGAGTGAAAACACAGCCCCTTTACTACTAAGAAATCTGAAAACAAACAAACATAAACAAACATAATTTTAAATTTTGTATTTTTTATGATGTCATTTGTCCCAACAGCCATCTGACATCAATAGCCCTGATTACTAAAAGTCTCAACGTTATAGAAATGTTCTCCTCCTTTTTGAAAACCATGTTCATTTTTCCCCCACGATACAGCGCTATCTGCAAAGCCTTGAACTGATAACATAGCTCAGGGGCTAACTCTTGTCTTAGCAGAGTAGCAGCTGAAAAAAGAAGACAATTCTTAACAAACAGGGAGATCAGGAATGCTCACTTCTAAAAACATTATTTATTCAGGGCAAGTGGTATTTGTGACGTGCGAATGAAGCTTAAACTTCAGCTTTAATTTATAAGAATTAGGAAATGCAGATTAAATCTCTGATGCCATATTGTGAATTCAGTAAAGGTTAACTAATCTACGACGCAAAGACAAACGTTAGCTATCCTACGCTTATTATTCTGGAAATTTAATGAAAATTAAACAAGAAGACTCACAGAGTATAAGAATTGTCCCCCCGCCTTAACAGTGTTGTTTTCAGCCTCTGTTGCCTGAAACATTGCAGAATAATTCAGATTTTTTTAACCCCACCTTTTTATTGAGTAAAACCAAAGTACTAAACTAATAAATGTGAAAAAGGATGTTGGGTTTAAAAAGAAAAAGCCTCAAGACATCGAGCCTCTTAGATATTTTAAAAGTGAAGACTGAGAAGGAACGCACTGTTGCTAAACAGAATTATAGGATTATGGTCAATTTATAATCTTTTCAATATGGGATTTGAATGTTCTGATATTAGATACCGTGTACGTGCTTTATTTATATAGTACCTCCCGAGAAGAAAAAAACCAGTATTGGTTTATACAGTATTTGGCATGCTATTCACGTATGCAGTGATGTATACGATGTCAGAGCTAGAAAATAGCTTAGATACGATTTGGATTCAGCGCTGGGCGGCTCCGCCCCCGCCAAGCCCCGCCCCGTCCCCTCAACCCCGCCCGGCTCCGCCTCGTCCCCTCCGCCCCGCCCCGTCCCCTCCGCCCCGCCCCGTCTCCTCCGCCCCGCCCCGACCCCGGGGCATGCGCTGTGCGCCCGGCCGGCGTGGCTGGCTGTTTGAGGACTGCGCGCGGAGCTCCGTGGCGGGTGTCTGAAGTCGTGAGTTTACTGCTTGTAAGGAACATAGCGATCACTGGGAACCTGGAAGTAGAGACTCCTTTCTGCCATCCATCCGTCCCTCGGGCTGCTGCGAATCCCCCCGCCGGCCTCCAGGACCCCGGGCTGACTGAACGCCCGCACCGGTCCCGCCGCCCCAGGGCCCGCTACGCGCCCGGCATAATGGGAGAAAAATCACGACGGAAAGGCCCAGCCCCTCGCCATGCAGACGGGAAGCTTGGCCGCACGTGTGATCACCCTTACGCCCCTTGGAGTTTCACCCCCTCTTCGCGGGCTCCAACAGCCTGGGTCAGGCCTCCTTGTCCTGTGTGGGCCTCTCGGCTGCAAGAACACAGTCCCGAGCCCCGGCGAGCCCGCGCGCCTCCCACCCGCCGTGCACAGGCTGCACTTTACGCCCCAGCACTGCGCCTGCGGGACCATCTGGATCGCTTTTCCATTCTGATGACGTCCTGTACTTCGTGGCTGCAGGCTCCTCAAGCCCCAGGTCTGTGCAGAGACGAGCAAAGCAGCAGAATATCCGTGCCACAGCTTTCTGGAGCACCCATTTTACTACCAGATTTGGAAGGAACGAAGTTAAGTAATTTCCAAGGTAAGTAATTAAAATTTTACGATGAAAAGGCTAGAAACTCTTCTGCTGGTAATAACTGTCAGACATATCTGTGCCTGAAATGTCAGACTTTTTCTGAGAAAAAAACTGAAAACTTGTTTCCCATTATTTTAAATAGGAAAAATTATAGGGCACAACAAGTCAATAGAAAAAAACCTACCAATTTCCTAACTCACAGTGTGGCAGTAGGTTTAAGTTGCACATAAGTTAGGATGTAAAATGCTTAAATGTTGCCACTTGGTCACCCACATTTGATATGGTTGTTAACATGCATTTGCCTTGGATGCAGTAGCTGTGCGACCAGCAACATCACACGTGAACCTCCCCTTTGTCAACACACCAAAGCTTTTTGAAGTGACTGTCATGATCCTGATGGTCTACCAGTTGTTTCTGGAAGGAACATGTGGTTTTTTCCAGCAAACTATTTAGTTTAAAATGTTGTAATTTTTGAAAGCTCAAACATTATGTCTACAACCATCAGCCAAAAAATTTGAGACAGGTTCTTGCTCTTTTGCCCAAACTGCACCACGAAAGGGGTTCCAGCGATCCACCTGCTTCAGCCTCCCCAGTAGCTGAGACCACAGGTTTGTGCCACCATGCCTGTTAATTTCTAAATTTTTTGTAGAAACTACATCTCCCCACATTGCCCAGGCTGGCCTCGAACTTCTAGACTCAAGCAATTTTCCTGCCTTGGCCTCCCAAAGTGCTGGAATCACAGGCGTGAGTCACCAACCGCACTCAGCCTGAAAAATGTTTTGTGAGATAAATAGCTGCTATACAGTTTAGATATTAAAAACTAAGATGTGTTCTTCCAGGAAAGTTATACTTTCAGATATATTCTGTGTCACATCCTGTATGATGAAATAGATGGCAAAAAAAAAAAAAATCCCATTTAATTTAAAGATGGAAGCTGTAACTTCAAGTAAATTTGGAGCTGAGGAGTCCTTTCGGGCTATGACCCCAGAATTCTGGGGTTCTCTGTACTGATTTTTTGCTAGTGTCCACACACAAGCATTCCTTAATGCTGTGCATTAAACAAATAGACCTTTTTTAACCCCAGGTTTCTCTCCATTTACCATTCTGTTTCTCTGCTCCATGCAACTTCCTCACCTCATGTCCTCTCTTGCACCCACTCCTTTCCAGCTTTCCTCCAAGGTACTTTGCTGAAACGACTTTTATCTCAGTCATTTAGCTGCATTTGACACAGACGATACAATTGAGGAGTTCCACCCTTTCTTCTGGATTTTAGGGACCTTCCCTCCTGGATTCCCTCTCACCTTTATCCTCATCCTCCTGCTCCTCCTCCACCAGATCTCTAGTGATCCTCTCAGAATGATCCCACACAGTCTCATAGCTTTAAATACCATCCATCTGTTGATAACCACTAGGCTTGGGGCCTCTTCCCTGAGGGGAGCACCAAGAGTCATCCCTGACTCTTTTCCCTTCTCCCCCAACCCCCATGCAACCACACAGCAAGTCCTGTGGCTCTTGAGTGCAACCAGCATCCTGATTCACCATCTCCATTTCCACAACCAGTTTCAGTCACCTTCCTCTCCTACTGGGCTACTGCCAAGAATCCTCCAACCTCCCTGCATCTTGTCTTGCCCTGCTACAGTCCAGCCTCCACTCAAGCATCCAGAGTGATCTCTTGAAAATGTTAAAACATGATATAGGCATACCCCCACCCCTGTGTAAACCCTGCCACTATCTACTCATTGCAGTAGAATAAAAGCTCAGACAACCTGGTGCCTGCCTCTTCAGCCTCATCTCCTGCCCTTGCTTGTTCTTGCTATGTGGGTCAGATTTTCTGGTCTCCAGAGCTGAAAACAATCTTAACTGACAGACGTTAGATCATAGACTTTATCTACAGCATAAGGCATGGAAGGAAAAGTCTGAGAGAATGAAGGGCCAGAAAAGCTTGTTTAAAAAAAAAATAAAAAGCACAGGAAACTGGAAACGTAACTAACCTGTATGTATATACTTAAAAGAACATGGTAACAAAATGAACTCTTTAGAAACTGAGCCAACAGACTTGCAAACAAATAGAAATACCTTTGGTCCTACTCTGAAAACAAGAAGAATCCTTAGTGAGTATACAAGAACAAAAATTGTACACATTTCTGGGTCATAATGCAATAAAACTAGAAATAATCAAAAGAGAATTTAAAGATGTTCAGCTTCCTGAAAATGTTAAATTATCCTTTTAAACAAATTAATGCCTGCATCAGGGTGCAAATCCAAAACACAAATACCTTGCCTATAAAAATATATTTTTGCAAACAACAGTGTATCGGGATGTGAGGAGAGAGCTCACTGACTCAAAAGCTCCCAGAGTGACCAGATGTGTTCATGGGAACCGGAGCACTGCCCTGGAGTCATTTGACATCACCTTATTACAAGTAGGAACAGCCATGCTGGGAGATGCTCAGATGCCAGTAATAAGTCAGAGGATTCCCTCCTGAATGGGACCTCCCAGTCCTCTTTGGCACAGGGTTCCAGGCAGTGACCACAAATCCATCGGTGATGGCTTACAAGATCAACCTGCCCTCAGGCAGTGGAGTGGAAACTGGCACTAGCAGCTACAGTGGAAAAAATGAATGGCCTCTAAGAATATGTCATCTGCCCCATGCAAAGATTCTGGATCCCAGAAGTCCTCCTAGTAAGGACTCGGAGCCAGACAACTTCATTTCCTGTCACCTGGGCTGCTCTCCCTCTGACAGCTATGGAAATTGGTGAAGCACAGGAACGTATTGGAAATGGCAATGATGTGCCATGCCAATGTGTGGAAGTGTACAAGTTAAGTAATATTTTAAAAACAGAACACACAACAGTTTGCACAATCCGACCAAAGCTCTGTCATGTATGTTTCTAAACAAGTTTGGAAGAGAATTTGGAAATGGCTGAAATTTTTTTATAAAGCTTATGTTTTTAGTTTGTTTAAATGTAAAAGCATACACTTAGAAACAAGTTAGTATGTAAAAATTTTTAATCTTAGCTATCTGGAAGCTTCAAATACTTAGAATGAGGCATTTCCCAAAGGTATCTGTAACTTGAATTTTACCGTAGTTTGAAAACTCTTGCCCAGCATAATGGCTTACAGCGGTAATCCCAGCACTTTGGGAGGTTAAGGTGGGCAGATCACTTGAGCTAGGAGTTAGAGACCAGCCTGGGCAACATGGTGAAACCCCATCTCTACAAAAAATTTAAAAATTAGCTGGGAGTGGTGGCACTGCTGATAGACACAGCTACTCAGGAGGCTGAGGTGGGAGGATCCTTGAGCCCGGGAGGTCTAGGCTGCAGTGAGCCGTGATCGCACCAGTGTACTTCAGCCTGGGCAACAGTGCCAGACCCCGCCCCCTCCCCTAGAAGAAAGAAAACTATTAGTTCATAGTGCAGTTGATGAAATAATGTACATCCACAAAGAAACAAGCAATCATAATATGTATATAATTACTCAGTATTAAAATATTGTGTATAGTATTACATATATTGAATACCTATAATGAATGGGGCACTGCTTTAAGCACTTTATACTCATTATCCCACAAGAATTCTCTCTCCAGCAGGTCTTAGTATATTCAATTTAAAGGCTAATTAGTAAGCAATATATAGAATTGAATGAGAAACTACTTAAAACATAGAAGGCTCTCGAAAATACAATGTGGAATGAGTAATGCAAGTTACAGAGATACACAGCACATTTATAGAAAGTGTAAAAACTTACAAAGTTAAACAGTATATTATTTAGAGAAACAATATATTATTTAGAGATATTATTATGTAATAAAAGTATAATGAAAGTCAGGGAAATACTTTTTGTAAAGCTTCAGATGAATGATTGTCCCAGATGGGGTTACATTTCAGAAGGGCCAACCATGCAGATGGCTTCAAATGTAGTGGTGCAGGTGATGGGTACAATGTATTTATTTTACTTTTATGTGAGTCTGTGTATGTGTGTGTGTCTGTGTAATTTTGTATGTATAAAATAGTTCGTAATAATTTTTTTTTTGAGTTGGGATGTTTCTCTGTCTCCCAGGCTGGATTGCAGTAGCATGATCACGGCTCACTGCAGCCTTCACCTCTCAGGCTCAAGTGATCCTCCCACATCAGCCTCCTAAGTACCTAGGACTACAAGTGCGCACCACCATGCTTGGCTAAATTTTTTAAATCTTTTGTAGAGATGGGGTCTCACTCTATTGTCCAGGCTGGTCTTGAACTCCTAGCCTCAAACAATCCTCCTGCCTCAGCCTCCCCAAGTGCTGGTATTACAGGGTAAGTTGCTGTGCCCAGCCTAATTTTTTTTTTATTTTTAAACAGCTTTATTGAGGAAAAATTCACATACCTTATGATCTGCTAGGGTTTAGTATAATCACAGATATGTGCAACCAAAACCATGGTTAAGTTTACAACATTTTTATTAGTCCTGTACCTTTTAGCTATCACCCTGTTCCCCCACCCCTACCCCAGCTGTAAGCAATCACAAATCTAGTTTCCATCTCAATAGATTTTTCTTCCCTGGGCATTTCATATAAATCAATCCATATAAGTGTTTTTTCATGTCTGGCTTCTTCACATTTGTCTCATCCAGAAGGTGCCTGAATTTTTCCACAACTGGGAATACTAAGCTGTGGGGTGAATTTTTGGTTCCCAAGTGAATGTGAATGAGGCAGATTGGAAGGAGAGTTCTTTTACTGAGGGAACGGGACAAGAACCAATGAAAGAAAGAGATCCAGCAGGAGGGGAGGGAGGAAGCGGGGTGGAGAGCTGCTTGAAGCAGATGAACAGAGCTCTGGGCCATGACAGCAGAATAGAAGGTGCCGTGCAGTGGGGTGCAGGTCCTGAGGGGGAGGGAGGGGGAATGTGGAAAACAGCAGGTCATAAACTCTGAATTCCAGCTGCTGGAGCTGTGGGTCCCAGGGGCCTGGTTATCCCCTCACAGGCAGGAGCTGGAAAGTGGGGCTCTGCTCAGGTCCAGGAAGGAAGTGGGTGCACGGGTGGTGTGGACATGTGCATGGAAGCCCACAGTGCCCACAACGTGAGGTCAGAACTTCAGGGAGAACCTGCATTTGGGCTCCAAGCTGGTTGGAAGTATTCTTTCATTCAGCAGCCTTCTCATTAAGTGCCTGCTGTGTGACAGACACTGCAGAGCACAGAGATGCAATCTTACCTGTCCCAGCCTTCCAGGCACCAGGGGTGCCACGCGCTTTCAAACAACCAGCTCTCATGTTTCATAGAGCAAGAACTCACTCACTACCACTGGGAGAGCACCAAGCCATTCCTTCCAGGGACTTGCCTGGAAGGCTGGGACATGGTTATTTTCCATCTCCCCACGGTTCATGGAACTGTATTCTGCATAGAATGGGCAAAGTACAACTATCATTGATTAGTAATTGAAGAAACAAAGATTTTACCTTCATGTTTTTTACAAAATGCAATATCTGAGATGTAGCATTCTATATCTTTGGCTTCTTTAATGTTAGCTATACAGACAAAATAGAAAATGAAAAAAAATTTTCCAATATTAAATATTCACATTGATGTCTGTATTAGTCTATTTTCTGTTGCTATAAAAGAACACCCGAGGCTGGGTAATTTATGAAGAAAAGAGATTTATTTGGCTTATGATTCTGCAGGCTGTACCAGCCTGGCACCACCATCTGTTTCTGGTGAGGACCCTAGGAAGCCTCCAGTCATGGTGGAAGGGGAAGTGGAGCAAGGAAGAAAGGAGGTGGGGTGCCACGTGCCTTCCAACAACCAGCTCTCATGTTTCATAGAGCAGGAACTCACTACCACTGGGACAGCACCAAGCCATTCCTGAAGGATCTGCCCTCAAAGACCCAAACACCTCTCACTAGGCCCCGCTTTCAACATTGGGAATCAAATTTCTTTCTTCTTTCTTTCTTTCTTTTTTTTTTGAGATGGTATTTCGCTCTGTCACCCAGGCTGGAGTGCAGTGGCATGATCTCAGCTCACTGCAAGCTCTGCCTCCCAGGTTCATGCCATTCTTCTGCCTCAGCCTCCCGAGTAGCTGGGACTACAGGTGCCCACCACCACGCCGGGCTAATTTTTTGTATTTTTAGTAGAGACGGGGTTTCACTGTGTTAACCAGGATGGTCTCGATCTCCTGACCTTGTGATCTGCCTGCCCCGGCCTCCCAAAGTGCTGGGATTACAGGCTTGCACCACCACACCCATCCTAGGCCCCATTTTCAACATTGGGAATCAAATTTCTTTCTTCTGTTTTGTTTTGTTTTGTTTTGTTTTGTTTTGTTTTGTTTTGTTTTGTTTTGTTAAAGAGATAATCTGACTCTGTCACCCAGGGTGGAGTGAAGTAGCGCAGTTATAGCTCACTATAGAAGCCATGGCTGAGCTGAGCCGTAGCTTACTGTGGCATCCAACTCCTGGAGCTCCAGAGGTCCTCCCACCTCGGCCTCCTGAGTAGCTGGGATAACAGG
Organism: Homo sapiens; assembly: GCF_000001405.40. Lineage (NCBI taxonomy): Eukaryota > Metazoa > Chordata > Mammalia > Primates > Hominidae > Homo > Homo sapiens. The sequence continues at coordinate 21,544,523 of NC_000017.11, read as the reverse complement.
CTCAATCCACCATGCCCAACTAAGTTTTTAATTTTTTGTAGAGACAGGGTCTCACTAGGAGGTCAAATTTCAACATGAGATCTGGAGGGGACAAATATTCAAACTGTATCAATGTCAACAGGTTTTTTTTTCCTCATAAAAGAGTATCTATGTGTTAGGAACTTTAGATGTTCAAAAAGTGGTGGGGGGAAGAAATATATAATAAGGGACACACACTTTATAATTTCCTCACATTTTAAATTACTCCAATAACTAATACATAGATGGATTTATGGGTCTGGAATTTTTTCAGTGAGACATTTGTTTATAATTAAAATATGGATTTTATCTCCTTATTCCTTTTTAATTCAGTCCGAGGCCTGAGCCACCATCAAAACCTTCCTACATTGAAGCTGGGGTTTTTCCCTGAAAATGTTGCTTGTTAGGAAAAAAGGAGGCAGTTGCCTTGAGCCAGCTGACCTTGGCCGCCATGCCGCTCTCACATAGGAGTGTTATTCAGTGGGAAGTTTTGCTCTCTGCATCGCACCGCAGCCCCTCAGCCATGAACTCAGCAAACACTGTCCCATTTTGCCCCCAGTAACAAGCACAGGGGCACCATCACAGGCTAGTACCCAGTGTGAACTAAGTCTTGGGAACTTACTGGAATTGTTGGAAGATATGCCCCTTTTTAGTAATGCACATGGCTGTAAATATTAGGTACAATTTGATTTCAGACTCAATTCATTATGTGTTTTGGCTCAGCTGTGGCCTGCATATGGTGTTGCTGATATAGAAATGAAAATGCTGGTGAGCCACAGAAAGAAAAATCCTGTGTTTTCTGAAAGCTTCAAACACCTTTGGCCTTGTTCCTTAATCACCTGGGAGGAAGAGAACCTACAAAAACTGGAAACGCAGTGGCCAGCAACCAGCCCTTGAGAGGCTTGCTGAGCTGTGAGGGTCTGGAGGAGGAAGAAGCTCTACATTGTTTCTGCAGCCCCCGTGCAAAACAATGTTGAATTCCAGCGTGATATTGAAATGAATGTATTTTATTTTAATGTTAAATCTTAAATTTTTTATTAAGTCCTTTGTTCACAAATGGAAACAACAAAATGACAAATTATTTAAAATTTTCAGATTTTATAACCTTCCTGTCCTCTAGCAAAAAAAAAAAAGAAAGAAAGAAAGAAATTTGATTCCCAATGTTGAAAGGGGGGCCTAGTGAGAGGTGTTTGGGTCTTGGGGACAGATCCTTCAGGAATGGCTTGGTGCTGTCCTGGTGGTAGTGAGTGAGTTCTTGCTCTATGGAACATGAGAGCTGGTTGTTGTGAAAGCGCGTGGCACCCCACCTCCTTTCTTCTTTGCTCCACTTCCCCTTCCACCATGACTGGAGGCAGCCTGAGCTTCGGAAAGGAGGCAGTCCTTTAAGACAGCCGTGTCCAATATAAACAGAATATGAGCTATGCCTGCCTGTAGTTTTAAATTTTCTACTAGCCAGGTTAAGGAAACTAAAGAGAAACAGATGGAATTGATTTGTAATAATATAATTTATTTGACCCGATGTATCCAAAATATCATTTTAATGTGTGATCAGTATAAAAATACTAATGAAACGTTTTACATTTCTTTGTCCTAAATCTTTAAAACTCACTCCATATTTTACACTTCTAGCATATCTCAGTTCAAAGCAGCCAGATTCCAGATGTTCTGAGGGCTCTGACTCCCTGAACTCAGGAAGGTGAAGGGCCTGAACCCCACTTCTCTGCCAGGAGGGAGGGAGCTCCCCCTCCCTACCCACATCTCTTCTCAGTCCCAAAGGAAGAGAGAGTGCCCTGAGAGAGCAGGGGCTGCCAGCAGGAGGTGGCCACAGGTAGGCCACTGCTGCCCATCTGCTGCTTGGTGGGGCCATTCTCCCCTCCAGAGATCAGAGGACAGCGGGGTCCCAGGAGGTGGGTCCTGTCCACAGCCTTGACCTCCAGAGTTTAGATTTGGAGGGAATAGATTCCAGACAAATGCCTTACCTTGCTATTTGGCCTTTGCCCTAGTGGTCAGGCTGTCATCTATTTCCTCCTGTGTTGTGTGATACTGTGTGAGTTTTAAGCACATACATGTCTACATGCATTTCTTTATAATTCAAGGGACCCAACTTCTAATAAGGGGAAAAGGAATTCAGTACCTAGACGGTCCCTATAGTGTGCCAGCTAACTTGTAGTCAGCATGTTGTTAATCCTGGCATCCTGTCAGCTCTGGGTGTGTTAGTTAGCTGTTACTGTGTAATGAGCCATCCCAAAACTTATTTAGCTCATGATTGAGCAAGTCAGCAATTTATGGCAGGCTCCTGCCATAAATTAATTGCTATACCTATAAAACCTGCCGTACCTTTATAAGGTATAGCAATCTTCATGTGTGTGTATGGGAGAAGGGGGTCAGCTGCTGGTGACCAGACAGCTCTGCTGTTGAGAGTGAGTTGGCTTGTGGACTGGGCAACTTTGGTTCTCTTCCGCAAAGTGTTTCATCCTCTAGCAGGCTAACTTGGGCTTGTTGTCACGGAGATAGCACGGTTCTGAAAGAAAAGGAAGAAGCATTCAAGACCTTTTGAGACTGGGCCCAAAACTGCCAGCTGGATCCAAGTCTTGGGAAACAGATTCTAACTCTGGATGGGAGCAGCTGTAAAAGCGCATTGCAAAGGGTGTAGACACAGGGAAGGATGAAGAAACACGTATAAAGCACTTCACATGTTTGGAAATTCTTTTCATCCCATTTTGGTATTTGTAGGCTATTACTGGTCTTCAACACAGACTAAATCAAAATGCTGTGCCCAAAACAACCTCTTACTCTGAAAGCAAGTGATGTAAAGATAGATCTGCTGAAAAGACATTTCCTCCTGCTGCAATTTAGTCAAGCAGCTGAGCACGTCTTGAGCCGTCCTTTGATTTTAACAGGGCAGAGCTGTTTTCTAAGACTGCCCACCACCCCTCCCCGCAAAGCTGAGATGCTGCGATGAGGCAAATCCCCGCAGCACACAAGGAAATCAGGCACAGCTAAGGTTCTCACCCCTGATGCACCTTACAATCACCTGGGTGGCAGGGGGCTTTTAAAATTCCCAAAACCCAAGTTGCAACAGACCAGTGAAATCAGAATCCCTGGGGTAGGATCCAGACATCCTTGCTGTTTAAAGCTCTCCAACTGGTTACAATGTGTGGCCAGAATTGAGAACCACAGCATGAAACCAACGTCTTTTGATGAACTAGTAGCAAATGGTTTCTTAAACGAATGTGAAGTCTTTGCTGCCGAGCTGTAGCCTTTCAGTCTTAATTGCGTTATTTACATTACTTACTTACTTACTATCTTTTGCAGGACTTGACCTCTGCTCCTCGTTTTGTTTCTGATTCAACTCAATTTCACAAGTGCTGAGTGCATATGATGTGCAGAGCACCGTGCTAGTTATTGTGGCCTTGGTTTGGGGAGGACTTTGCTGGGAAATAAAATCACATCGTCAGAAATAAGAGTCTTACTACTTACCAAATTGAGGCAGAAATGGGAAGACCTAGGGGGTCTCACCCAAGGGTTAGGACACTAATAGATACATCAGAATATTACAGTTCATCTGATGATGCTGTGAGTGGAAGTGTCCCACTTTGAAACAAAAAACACTGCTGTTACTCTGAGATACTAAGTTATGTGTGCAAATATGTGGTATTTAACTATTTTGTTGATATATAACATGCATATAGAAATACGTGCATAAAGCATTTACTTAAGCTCAATATATATTATGACAAAATTGATACACGTGGGTAACCAAGAAATAGAAGCAGCCTCACTCATGTGGCCCACAAGCGCTTTCTGCCTCCCTCCTCTTCAAATGTACCAGTGTCTTAACAGCTGACATTACAGATCAGTTTTGTCTTTCTGTGCAAGTCTTTTCGTTACAGAAAAATTTAAATATATAAAAAATGAACAAAATTGTATAATAGAGCCGTGACCCAGCTTCAACAGCTAATAATCATGTGCCATTTTTGTTTCTTCTGTACCTCAGCCCTTTCCCTACTACCCCTCACTTTATTTTTTTTTTTAGTTCTTTTTTGGTGAGGTAAGATACACATGCATTGAAAGGCACAAATCTTAATTGTACAGCTTTGAAAAATAAATACACCCATATAACCTTCACCTCTTTTCAGAATGGAATATTTCCATCATCCCCAGAAAACACCCTCATGCTCATTCCTAGGCAATTTTTAACTCCCCCAGAGGAAAGTACTGTTGTGGGGGTTTTTTAACTGTAAGTTCATTTTGCTTGAAATCATAAAATATACATTTTTATGTCCAGCAGTCTCAGCATAATATTTGTGAAACACCTCCATAGTGTGTGTTTTAGTAGTTTGTCCCTTTGTATTGCTGAATAGTATTCTGTTGTATGAATGCACCATGGTTTGTTCATACATTTCTCTGTTGATGAATATTTGGGTTATTTCCTGTTTTGGGCTATCATAATAGTAAAGATCTATGAACATTCTTATACAAGTACTTTTTTGTATTGTTGTATTCCTTTATTAGCATTGAAGTGACACATTTTTTCATTTTTTAGCAGTTCCTCCAAGGATTACAGTGTGCATCATTAACATTCTCACAGTTTAGAGTTAATATTGTACTGTTACAGTGAGTGTAAAATAGAAAAACTTGCTACAGAATAGCACCATTTATCTCCTATCCTTTGTGCTGTCGTTGCCATAAATTTTACATCTGCACATGTCATAAACCCCACAACACAGTGTTATATTTGCTTTAGTCATAGATCTTTAGGTGAAATTAAGAGGAAAAAAAAGAAAAATATATAATAAATATTTGGAGGGAGATGTTTTGAGGCCACAGAAACATACTGTTTCTTCATCCACAATTTTTGCATTCGTTGATGACTCTTTCCTGCAGTAATGATTACTGTGGTGTTCTAGTGGTAGTTTTCTATTTGTGCTCCTTCAACATTTATTACTTGGAATTCTTCTGCAAGGAAGATTTGTCTTTCCTTCCTGATTTATGTAATCTTTTCTATATCAGTATGGACTTGTGGATATTTATTTTATGTTCTTGGTTACAATTTAGTGCTGTCATAACTGTTTGCCACTCACATTGTTCCACCTTGAGTCATAGAGAGCTCTTCCAGGTTGGCTTCTTTTGACATGTCCCCACCCTTTTATGTTTTTTAAAAGCACTTTCTTATTTTCTGGCACTGCAAGTTGCTCTAGTCTCATCTTGTGTTTTTCGTGGCAGGCCTAGAATTAGTCATTTCTCCAAGAAGCCTTGGTTTCTTTTATAGGAGAATGGTATTTAGAAACCAGGATCTGGGTACTGGGTGTGCTCATTAATACTGGGATATCACTGCTTCGAGGCCCTCTCAGCATAGTTTGGAAAAATGTGAATGTTTCCAAACATGTATGCATGAATACAAACTCAGCATCTACCTATCTACATCTGTCCATCTAAACAGATACATTAAAATAGACATGGGTTCATACTGACATTCCTAACTCCAGTCCAGCACCTTAGGGTTTATTCTAGCATTCTCCCTTTGTTTATTTATAACTCTTTCACCTACAGAGAGAAACTGGGCTCTAATTCTCTAAAATATATTTGCTAACATGGAAAATCATTTCAGAATTGCTCACCCATACCCTGAAACAAATTTGCCAACCAGAATACAGTATGTTTGTGTGCAGTTCTTGAGTCTTACAGTATGCAGTCAAAACAGTATTTTCAAAGGTTACTTAGGTGAAGACTTTTTTCCCCCACACTCTTCAATATGGGTTAGTCATAATTTTTAACTCAGTAAGATTCATTTGTCACCAACTGCATTCCATCTGACCCGCCCACCATCTTTGTTGATTTTTAAATTTACATAGAATAAAATTCATTCTTTGTAACATACAGTTTCATGAGTTTTGACAACTGTATAGAGTTATACATTCACGTTCACAGTAACACAACTGTCTCATCATCTCTAAAATTCTCTATTGTTGACGCCTCTTTGTAGTCAACCGCTTCCCCAACCGCATTCTTTGGCAACCACTAATCATTTTCTATCCCTATAATACTGCCTTTTCTAAAATATCATATAAATAGGATTATAGAACATATACAACACAGATGAATCAATTGGGTTGTTTGTTGTTGTTGAGTTGTCAAGAATCACTTGGCAATATATGTGAGAGTTTATTTTGGGGCTCTCTAGTCTATTCTGTTCATCTATATGTCTGTCTTTATGCCAGCACCACATTGTTTTGATTTCTGTAGCTTTGTACTAAGTTTTGAAATCAGGAAGTATGCGTCCTCCAACATTGTTCTTTTTCAGGATTGTTTGGGCTATTCTGGATCCTGAAATTTTATGTGAATTTTAGGATGAATTTTTCTGTTTTGCCCAGCACATCATTGGGATTTTTACATTCTTGGTTTAGTTAATTCCTAAGTATTTTATTCTTTTTGATGCTATTGTAAATAGAATTTTCTTAATTTCCTTTTCAGATTATTCATTATTAGTATTTAGAAACACAGCTGATTTTTGTGCACTGATTTTGTATCCTACCATTCAGCTGAATTTGTTTATTCTAACAGGTGTGTGTGTGTGTGTGTGTGTGTGTGTGTAATCTTTAGGGTTTTCTACATCTAAGATCATATCATCTGCAAACAAATATAATTTTACCTCTTTCTTTTCAGTTTGGATGCCATTTGTTTATTCTTCTTGCCTAATTGTTCTGGCCAGAACTTCTAAGCCATTTTGAATAGAAGTGGTGAAAGCAGGTCTCCTTCCTCTGTTCCTATCTTAGTAGAAAACCTGTCAGTCTTTCACCATTAAGTATGATGTTAGTGTGCGTTTTTCATATATGGTCTTTATTATATTGAGGTAGCTTCCATCCCCTCTGCATTTGCTGAGTGTTTTTTCATGGAAGGGTGTTTAAATTTTGTCAGATGCTTTTTCTACATCAGTTGAGATAATCATGTGATTTACCACTCCATTCTCCTCATGCAGTGACGTTTGAATGTTCAACCATCCTTGCATTCCAAGAATAAATTCTACTTGGTCATAGTGTATAATTATTTTAATATGCTGCTGAATGTAGTTTGTTGGTATTTTGTTGAGGATTTCTGCATTGGTATGCATCAGGGAAGTGATATGTGTCTCTAGTTTTCTTGTCTACTTTTTTTTCTGACTTTGGTATCAGGGTAATGCTGACCTCATAGAATGAGTTTAGAAATGCTCTCTGATTTTCAATTTTTTAGAAGAGTTGGATTAGTGTTATTTAAATGTTTGATAAGATTCACCAGTGAAGCCATCTGATTCAGGGCCTTTCTTTGTCAGAAAGTTTTTGATGACTGATTCAGTCTTCTTAGTATTTACGGGGTCTATTCTAATTTTCTGTTTTTTCATGATTCAGTCCTAGTAGGTTTTGTATACCTAAGAACTTGTCTATTTTATCTAGACTGTCCTATTTGTTGGCAAATAGTTGTTTATAATACACCTCTTATAATTCTTTATTTCTGTAGAATTCGTAATAATGCCCCACTTTTATTTTTGGCTTTGAGTCTCTTTTTCTTAGTCAATCTAGCTAAAGTTTTGTCAGTTTTGTTCACCTTTTCAAAAACCAACTTGTGGTTTTGTTTATTTACTGATAAGGAGGGATTTATTTCTGTCATATACTGTTGGTTGTTTATATGCCTTGTAGCTTTTTTGTCCTTCATTTCCTGCATACTGTCTTCTTTTGTATTTAATTGATTTTTGGTAATGTTTTAATTTCCTCATTTCCTTTTGTATATGTTCTATTGTGTGTGTGTGTGTGTGTGTGTGTGTGTGTGTGTGTGTACCACCATGGGATTACATTTAACTTGCAAGTTTATTCATTCTATTCAATTGTACAAACATACCGTAATTTATTTATCCATTCTACCCTTGATGGTCCTTTGGATTTTTTTAAATTATTGGACTTTTTTTTAGAGCAGTTTTAGATTTACATGAAAAATGAGTGGAAAGTACAGGGAGTTCTCATCTATCCAGTCTCCTGCCCACATGCCCTGTTGTTACCCTTACAGTCTTGCCTTGTGGTACATTTGTTACAGTTGATGAACAATGTAGAAACATTATTATTAACTAAAATTCATCAGAGGTCACTCTTTGTATTGTACCTTCTATAATTTTGAGAAATGTGTAATGACATGACATGTATCCATCATTAATGCAGCATACAGAATAGTTTCACTGTCTTAAAATATCCCTGGTGCCTCAGCTACTTGTTCCTTTCTTTCACCCTCCCCATCCCACAGCCCTGGCAACTTCTGCTGTCTTTACTGTTTCCATAGTTTTGCCTTTTACAGAATATCATGTGGTTGGAATTCTATGGTACATAGCATTCAAGTGGGCTCCTTTCACTTACCAATATGCATTTAAGTTTCCTGTGTGTCTTTTCATGGCTTGTTAGCTCAGTTTTAAATCAAGGAATAATAGTTCATTGTGTGAATCCACAACAGTTTATCCATTCACCTATTGAAAGGCATCTTGATTGCCTCCAAGTTTTAGCAGTTATGAATAAAGCTGTCATAAACATTTACATGGAAGTTTTTGTGTGGATATAAGTTGTCAGCTTACATATGATAAGTGTATACTTAGCTTTATAAGGAACTGCCAGGCCAGACACAGTGACTCACACCTATAATCCCAGCACTTTGGGAGGTTGAGGTGGAAGGATTGCTTGAGCCCAGGAGATCATGACCAGCCTGGGCAATATAATGAGACCTCATCTCTACAAAATAAATTTAAAAATGAACCACGTGTGGTGGTGCCTGTTGGTGTTAATATCATTGTTATGCAACCTGCTCTAGGAAATGACGACCCTGTGTTCTCTAAGATGAACCTAATGAGAACCACTCAAGTCAGTAGTCACAACCCATCATTAGCAGAAGCTCAGAAAATAAGATGTTAAATGCCTGGCCATTAAGTTTTCTTATCTTTGTTTATTTCTACAGAATCATCTCCCCTGCCCCACAAACATGAAAGAAAAGACAAGAGAAGCACCCCAGAAGAGGAGGGGAGAAGTGCCCCAGAAAAAATCATCCAGTCTCTGAAGCTTTGCCCAGGTGGGCACAGGCCAGCCAGCCTCTCCTCTGGTTGCCCAGCTGGCTGCAGGCTGTCATTTAACCTTCCGCCCAGCATGCTTTTGAGTGTGCAGAAGTGCTGCATGCCCTCTTCTTTGAAAACCTGTTGAGCAAATGCCTCCGCATTTTATGCACCTTCAACCTCCACAGCCAAAGGCCCCCAAGACCAAACATGCTGTGCACACACAGCAGCTCTTTGTGTCCCACTCCTGGCCGATCTCCTGCATCATCTCGTTGAGCTTCATTGAACCCCGCAGTCTGCATGCTCTGTGGAACTCAGGGTCTTCATTTTGCATGAAACTCAGGGTCTTCATTTTCCGTGGAACTCAAAGTCTTCTTGCTCTGTGGAACTTGGAGTCTCAGGGCCTTTGTGCTCCATGGAACTTGGGGTCTGTGTGATTCATGGAACTCAGAATCCTTGTGCTCTGTGGTACTCAGGGTGTGCGTGCTCTGTGGAACTCGGGGTCTGCATGCTCCATGGAAAGCACCAGGATGCACTTGACCCCCCACACCCATACATACATCCTTCATTTTATTCCTGGCCCTCACCTGTCCACTCTGTGAGGCTTCTTCACCCCCACTCTCCTTTGAGCTCATGCCGGGTCTTTCAGACTGGCCTGAAGCATGGGTGTTCGTAGGGGGGAGTGGCTGATGTCACACCTTCAGGCAAATTCTGCTAGTGTCACACCTGATGGAGCTGCCTAGGGAGGATGTTTCCTTGGAGGATGCGCCCTGGCAGCCACTGGCTTCTTACGGTGCCTGCACTGCTGCTGCTGCCATGGGGGTGCCACAGGGCCACACTGGGGGCTGTTCTGGAATTGGTGGTTTTCATTTCCAGGTTAGGTAGGGACTGGCAGGCACCTTGGCTGTCCTTGTGGCTTCTGTCTTGACCCTGGTCCTCCCCAGGCAGCTGATTTTCTGGGCTGCTGCTCTTCCAGGAAGAATTAAAGGTGGGAATGGCTGAAACCTCAGCTTTGGATTCACAGAGACCCTAGGCTGTGTCATGCAGAAAGGGAAAGGATTGCAGATGGTGGTGGGATCAGCCGAAGGCAGGGCCTTCACTGTGATGCTGGAGCCCTCCATGCTGGGATGTTTGCATACAGCCCAGGTTCAGTTCGGTGGTCCATCAGCGAGTCCTGGATCTGGTCTCACTCACAAGCCATGGACAACATGAGCTCAGTTTGCCAGGACTCTTGGGGTTAGGGAGAGCTCAGCATCCGGGTGGCTCTGGTTCCTTCTCATGCTGAAACTCTGCTGGTGTTCCTCCATGGGGCAAATGTGGGTTTTTCTGAGGTGCCCCTCTTGCTGGAGTTGAGGATGAGAAATGTTTTCAGTGGGTTTGCACCCTCCACACATATGTAAGAGGTGTTGTGTTTCATTCCTGTCAGGATCCATTGCTGCAGCTTCCTGAAGTTGTGTCCGTTAAAAGGCAGGGACCCGGTGTCCAGGCTACAGAGGGTGACTCCAGGTTCCACACCACCACTGTGGACCAGTGTGCCTATGGACTTAGGAGAGTTCCCAGATCGCACAAGGGGGCTGCCCCAGAGGGTGTTCAGCTTGTTGCCAACAGTTGCTGAAGCCAAAGTCTGCAACCTTGATGTTCAGGTCAAGTAGCCAGAAACAGGTGTTCTGGCTTTAGGTCCCTGTGGACAATGCCATTCTCTCCTTCCCAGGCTACTGATGTCCTGGGTTGCTCCTCTTATGGTAGAAGCTCAAGATGGAATGGCTGGAGCTTGGCTGCCTCCGGTTAGAGCCTGGGCTCTGTATTGCAGACATCACCTGGCAGAATTCCTCATGGGCCCCTTTTGTCGTGGGTGCGACTGCTGGGCCAGGGTTGTCGTGGGTAGTAAAGGTATTTACCAAGACAACCGTGAGTAAAGAAAGGCAAATTTATTACAGAAACTATGAAAATACATTGCAAGAATGCAACATGCAGCACAGCAGAGAAGGGGCTGTCTGCAAAGATAAAGGGCTGGAGGGAAGTTTTCTAAGGTTGTGCTGGACGGCGCTATGTGCAGGTGAGCTTGTGCTATATGCTAAGAATATGTTGGAATAATTTTAACTGCCAGACCTTTCCTCTTCTGGTGCCCGAGGGAAACGCCCTGCTGCTTTTAGCTGTCTTGTAACCCACACGCCTTTTCACTTCTGAAGTTGCAAGAATAACGGCTGTGGTTTTTCACACAAAAGGGTTGCAGACTGGGTTAGGTCCCTGTTCCGCCAACCTGGCTGTTTCCCAGTTTCAGTTAACTTAGTGGTTTACTAGAGCCCCACACCTTTCTCTTTCATATGGCCATGATCCAGGAGGTAATCCGTCACCTCCCCTCCACTAGAGTGCTCCATGGCCAGGGATAATCCGTCACCTCCCCTCCACCAGAGTGCTCCATGGCCAGGGGTAATCCTCACCTCTCCTCCGCTAGAGTGTTCCATGGCCAGGCAGTGTTTCCTGGGTCCAGAGCACCTCAAACAATTTCAGTGTTGTGGTGACTCAGGGCCTTCACCATACAGACTTGACAGCATAGTCTAGAGGCTGGAGGGGCTCTGTGACTCCCATTAATGACAGTCACTGCCACGGTTTCCCCAGGCAGGATGTGCCAGGAGAACTGCTCCATGTTGGCTCAGCAGAATGTTATTATAGGTAGCTCAAAAAGAGAGGGAACAGGGCTTCTCTAGATTATTTCAGGGAACGAGCTATTATTTGAATGTTAATTTAAGACTATTTTATCAATTAAAAATGTAAGGCCCAAGAAACTTCAGTGAGGAAGAATGAACAAATTGAATAAATACTGTTAAACTTTATGCTTCTTTCAGCAAATATTTTCTGCTCGTCTCTATGAGTCAGGCACTTTGCTAGATAACATAACATAGAAACATAGCATCAATCCAATATGGTGTGGGTACTGTATGTCAAATTTAAAAATAAAAGTGCTATATAAGAAACCTCTCAGTGCCCTGGAGGCAGGGTCCAGAGACATATCCTGTGGATGACTGGGGCTGAGGTTTAAGGGATGAGCCTCGGTGATGAGACAGACGGGAGAGGGCACCCTAGGAAAAGCGTCTTCAGGCAATCGTGGTTCAGTGAGCTGCAGCCGTCGCGGCAGGAGATTGAGGAGCGCGGCCTATCTGGTGATTTGCTGTGGTTATGTTCTGTAAACTCGCCTTGGGTCCTGAAGTATTGCTTCTGGGGAAACACAGGGTAAGGTTCCTGCAAGCCTCTGGTTGCAATATTTTCAACTGCCAAGGCACCATTCATGTTCCATGGGTTCATTTTCCAACATCCCTGTAAAACAAGGCAGTCCCATCAGTGTTGAAAACTGCTCTCCACATACCCTTTTCCCGTAGAGTACTTCCTGATCTACAGAGCTGCCACTCCTGAAAAGCTAACACTTTCCATGCCATGCTGCCTTTTGAAAGGTGCCAGCCAGGCAGCATTAGCTAAGGCCTCTTTTTGGCTCTCCTCACAACAGTGCTGCCCGCTGTGCTTTCATTGGTCATCATCTCATGAAGTCACAAATGTAGCTGCTTTTCTATGGTTTCCATGGTTTTGCCACACTCTAGGGGATATTAGTTTTGCACTTTCCCAAGCAGCCTCGTGTACAGGTTGGTGAAGCTCCCCTTCCTCTTTCTGGATGCACTGTAGTGTTTGTCATTAGCGTTGAACTCACAGTTCGCAGCACTAGAACCCACACCTGAACCAAGCTTGGCTAACAAGCGTTTTCTCTGTAAGGCACATTACAGCCTTCTTGCTCATAAGGACACTAGACAGCGCTTCAGCATTATGCTTGGAGGCCGTTTCAAACAGTGAAATCAACAACAAGAAGCTCAAAACTGCAAAAGAAGTGGTACTATAGAGACCATGAGAAGACTGGTTTGCAGGTTGAGAGTAGGAACAAGAAGGCAGCGTGGGGCCCTGCATGGCCTCCGCTGGGAGGCCGATGGCTCAAATTGTTGCCCTACTCTGCACATGTTTTCCTGTGACTGTGAAAGCAACACGAGTATTGATTCGGGGGTTAAAAATACATTTTAACAAGCAGAAAAGTTCACAAATATGAAATAGTGGCTAGTGAGGACCACCCCCATGCTGGAGCTGCAGACAGAGGCTTTTGTGAGTGCGAGGCTTGCTCCTATCCCGGGAGCTTCTGGTTGCCACCAGCACCTTGTAAGCCAGGGAGTGGTGTCACCTGTACTGTAGCAAAAGCACCTTTTCTAAATGTGAAGTATGGCTTGAAGAGAGGAAGATGGAAGATGGCTGTGTTAGGGATGAAGCAAGGATGGGGGTGGATTGACCAAGCTGGGCCAGAGGTGCGAGGAGCTGATCTGCGAGCCCTGTGTGCCTGTGAGTCCTGGCGGAGTGGCCGTGCGTGGTGACAGGGAGGAGGCATCCAGGACAGCACCCACGTTCCCGCCTGAGGCACATGAGGGTGGATGACAGGGTTCGGGGCCCTAGCCTTCAAGTCAGACACACCTGAGTTCAAATCCAGACTCCACCACTGACTGGCTATGTAGCCTTAGACATGTTCCTTCACTTCCCTAAGCGTCCATTTTCTCATGTCCAATACATAGATTACTATGCCATAGGAATATTAAATCACTCAGTGATTTTGAGGTTAAAATGAGTGCTGGTGCTTTTTATTGAAATAAAATGGGAAAAGAAGCAGCATTTGAGGTGTGAGGGAGGGGAATCTGGGCATGGGGAGTTGGATGTGCCTGTGGACACCCATGGACAAATGTCCAGCAGCCATCCAATGTGCTTTCGGGATGCTGGGGCCAGGATGTGGGGCAGCAACATACAGACCTGGAAGTTACAAGCAGGCAGGCAGCTGCTGCAGCTGTGAAGAGCAGGCAGTGCAGGATCAGAGGCCCAGGGTAAAGCCTGGGGAATGCCAGCATTTAGAAAGAGGCCGCTGGAGATCAGAAAAGAGCAACAGGAAAAGCAGGAGGGTGTGGAGGGATGGGAGGTGCAGGAGGAGAGTTTCCAAGAGGGAGGGGCAGGAGTCGGTGTTCTGCAGGCATGGACTGGAAGTCGTAGTACTTTTGAACTGTAGGGACCTAAGACATCTTTTAGTCTAATCCCCTTATCTATCCGGAAGAAGAAATCATGATTCCAAGGTGACATGAGTTGCTTGCTTTAGGTCACAGTGATTTCACATTGGGATACCTCGATTTCTAATGAGTAATAGAATATTTAATAAATACTCTCGAATTTGGAATTGCTCCTATTCCAGTCACACTGGATATTTTCCCAATTTGGTGAAACTGATATTTTAACAACTGTTAACCATTCCATGTACTAAGATGCTTATAGTCAAACTGTGCCTCTTAAACCTATTTTTATTGTGTATTTAACAAATTTTGCTATAATGTTAAAAACAACTTATAACTCATCAAACTGCATTTTAATTTTAGTAAACACAAATTACACTGAAACGGGAGTGTTCCCTGGCCCCTCTCACAGGACGTGTGACAAGGGTTCGGCTCGCTGCCTGTTCAAACCCCTTACGGGAGGGGGATCACGCAGAGGGACAGGTGCAGGAGCCCAAGTGGGTGTGTGCTACAGTGTGCTCTTTTAGCCTTGGCATCTGTGGATGGCTTGAGTGTTAACTAGCTCAGTGGACCCTCAGCCTTTCTGCAAAGGCAGAGGGTCATTGTGACAGCTTTCTGTATCCCAAGCTCTTGTCCATGATCCTGGAAGAATCAGGTCACACACAGACTTGAAGGATAAATGCAGGGGTTTCACTGAGGGGTAGAAGTGGCTCTCAGTAGGATGCATGGGGAGCTGGAAGTGGGGAGGGAGTGCGAAGACGATCTTCCCCTGGAGTTTGGCCACTGGACGGCCAAACTCCTCTCTTACCACCCGCAGCTGAACTCCTCTCAGCGTTCAGGTGTTCCTCATCTTCTCACTTTCTCTGCCATGCCGTTCTGCTGTTTGACTGCTTTTCTCTTCATCTCTTCATCTGCTCCTGGAGCCTGGGGTTTGGGGTTTATATGGGTACAGGATACGGGGGTGTGGTGGGCCAAAGGGCAACTTTTTGGGTACGAAAACAGAAATGCCTGTTCCCAGTTAGGGCCATGGGTCTCCAGGCTTGAGGGTGGGGCCTTTGCTGGGGAGCCGCCCTCTTCTATGCAGTATTTCCCTGTCTCTTTTCTATATCAATACCTCAATAAAATTTAGTTTTAAAAAATAGCACATGTAAAAAGTTTGGCTATTTAAACTAAAAAGTAATTATGTCCTAAATTATTTTGTATACAAAGACCTGAGGACTTGAAATATTGTAATAATTGGAGCTTGTCTCTGCTTTAAGGGCACCACTCGCCCCTGATCCATCTTGGTTTCCCGCACAAGGCAGCAGGATTGCCCATGAATGAACATGGGTGAAATCGTTGGATACAGGTAGTAAATACATTCTATTTCCTGAAAAATATTACCTAACTACATGTCTAGATATGGAATTGCATTTTCAAGCCAAGCTGGAATTACAAATTGTAGCCCATTTGAAAATGCATACAAATGTGTGACATATACACCCAGAGGAAAAGAAGTCACAGTTATGAAAGAACAAAGTGGGAAAATATCTTTTTCATGTAAGATTGAGCATTTTGGTTGATACTGTGATAAAAAATCTTGTGACTGATTCTCTTTTGCATTGGTTTTTAGTGTCATGTGCACTCTGCCCAACTCAGATAAAATTGTATATGATGTAAATAGCAGGAAACTATAAATGGTGATATTGTCCTGAAAGGAAGCCACTTCATTTTTCAAAGATTTCTTCCGCGGCAGGGATCTAGGAGTGTGCAGGGATGGAGTTTTGCATTTCTAGAGGAAACAGCAGGCAGGGTGTGTGCAGCCGGAAAGGGGGCGTCTAGGTTCCAAGGGCAAATCCCACCCCCTTAGAGGGGATTGGAGAGCCTGGGAAAGAGGCTGGGCTGCCTGTGATCCCCACCCCACACCCTGCCTCCTACAAGCCCCTAGAAGGTCCACACTTTGAGTTGTCAGCCAGAGACAGTAACTCAAAACCTCGGCTTCGGGCAGCCAGAAGCCCAGAAATGGGGGAGAGGGCAGGCCTAGACACCAGGGATGAAAATAAAGTGAATATTAAAAATTACCTGCATGTAATGTTTCATATATTCTACATATTTTAATATAAATGCCAGAGGTTTTTGAACCAGAGCAACTCCATCTTGAATAGGGGCTGGGTAAATAAGGCTCCACCCTCAAGCCTGGAGAATCTTGAATAAGGCTGAGGCCTACTGGGCTGCGTTCCCAGGAAAGTAGGCGTTCTAAGTCACAGGATGAGATAGGAGGTCAGCACAAGATACAGGTCACAAAGACCTTGCTGATAAAACAGGTTGCGGTAAAGAAGCCAGCCACAACCAAGATGGTGATGAAAGTGGCATCTGGTTGTCCTCATTGCTCATTACACGCTAATTATGATGCATTAGCATGCTAAAAGACACTCTCACCAGCACCATGAGAGTTTATGAATGCCATGGCAACGTCAGGAAGTTATCCTATACCGTCTAAAAGGGGGAGGAACACTCAATTCCAGGAATTGCCCACACCTTTCCTGGAAAACTCATGGATAATACACCCCTTGTTTGGTATATAAGCAAAAAGTAACAATAAGTACAAGCAGTTGAGCACCCCATTCCACTGCTCTGCCTATGGAGTGGCCATTCTTTTATTATTATTGTTATTATTATTATTGAGACAGAGTTTCACTCTTGTTGCCCAGGCTGGAGTGCAATGGTGCGATCTCAGCTCACTGCAGCCTCCATCTCCTGGGTTCAAGTGCTTCTCCTGCCTCAGACTCCTGAGTAGCTGGGAATACAGGTGCCTGCCACCACACCCAGCTAATTTTAATATTTTTGGTAGAGACGGGGTTTCTCCATGTTGATCAGGCTGGTCTCAAACTCCCAACTTCAGGTGATCCGCCTGCCTCCTCAGCCTCCCAAAGTGCTGGGATTACAGGTATGAGCCACCGTGCTTGGCCACTGGAGTCGCCATTGTTTTATTCCTTTACTTTCTCTAATAAACTTGCTTTCACTTTATGGATTTGCCTCGAATTCTTTCTTGCACGAGATCCAAGAATTCTCTCTTGGGGTCTGGAACAGTGCCCCTTCCCAGTAACATAAATATGTAATAAAACAAAGGTCCATAACTTGACCCAATTGGAAACACAAAATTTACTATAAGGATTTATATAACAAAGAGATAAAAGGGGCCGTGATTGGCTTTTGTGCCTGTGCAGCATGGGCTCCAGATTAACAAATGCACCAATTGACAAAGCTTCATGAACTTAGTCAATGCTGGGACTCAAATTACAGTTATACCTGGGAATCTCACTAAATTTAAACACTGCAATGCCTGTGATCCTGGCAAAATAACTATAGAGGAAAAATAGCCATGCTTTATTTTAACTGTAGCTTTGCCTAAATTTCTCATAAGCATAATACTCATTGCCCTAAAACATGCTCTAACACAATGAGTAATATGTATGATTCAATTAAGTCTTTGGCACCTACAAATTGGCTTGGACCTTGGAGGTCCCCAGTAAAAATAGTTAATATTGCTATAATTATGAGGTAAATTGGACCTTGCAGGTCCCCAGTTAAAATAGTTAATATGACTCTACGTAAGTTATAGCAAGATGTGTTAGTCTGCTAGGGCTACCAGACACTGGGTGACTTTAACAATAGAAATTTATTTTCTCACTGTTCTGGAGGCTGGAATTCCAAGACCAAGGTGCGGGGTATTTGGTTTCTCTGAGGCCTCTCTCCCGACCTGGGATGACCTTTCCTATGAGCACACCCAGCACTGAGGTCTCTTTATGTCTCCAGATTTCTTCTTTTATAGCGACACCTGTCATGTTGGATTAGGGCCCACCTTAATGGTCTCACTTTAACTTAACCACTCCCTTTAAAGGCTGTATCTGTAAATTCAGGCACATTCTGAGGTACTGGGGTAAGGGCTTCAGTATGTAATTTTGGGAGAGACACAATTCAGATGTACAGGACCTTCAAGTTTAAAACTTAATATATAAAACCTAATTAATAAAAGGGTGATTCTCTCTACTGCTTCTCCATTTGACAGCTCAGTCTTGCCTGTGCTTAAGCCTGGAAAAAAATAAATGGTGCTTCACAGTGGATTACTACAACCTTAACATTGTAATCCTTTCATTAAGACCCCATACCCAACACCCAGTATTATGGAACTTACTGACCCCATCCAATCAACAACTGGTAAATATTTTGCTGTTATAGATTCGGCTATCATGTTCTGTTCAGTGCCTATTTCAATAGCCTCTCTGCCTTAATTCACCTTCACCTGCAATGGGACACAGTACTTCTTCTCTAGGCTACCCACGGGGTATCCCAGCAGCGTTGCCACCACATACAATCTTCATAGAGCTCTTAACTGCACCCGTTTCTCCAGGAGCTCAGGGTGCCCCAGACCTTCATCCCAGACAGCATTGCCCTGGAGCTCACAGCTGGAGATGACATCACCACAGACATCCCCAACCCAGCCCTGTCCTGCAAGCAGGATTCTGGCCTCCCTAGTTAGGCCTCAGAACTGGCTGATCACCTGGCTTCATAAACCTGGGTGTTTTCAGGGAAATTTTTGATCTCTACAAACCGTGACATGTAGAGAGGGAGACATATCTGATTCAACAGTCCCTGATCCACTGATCCATGGACATATTTGCCCACAAGGAATAACCAAGAATCTCTCTCTGGTGGAGGTCAGGGGCATTACATGAGCTGAGTAGAGCTTAGTTTTTAATCCCTAGACATAGGCAAGGTGTTTAAGTTATTACGCTTCCAAGCAGCATGGCCCTCACTCACTCAAGGTGAGATAAATATTGCTGCAAAGGAACAGCAGCTGCATTGTTGGAGTTTCGCTTTTGAGGCATGTGTGTGTGCGTGTGCGTTGATTTCTTTCACAAAATACATTTTCAAATACTTCCTCACTCCAATCAACATTGCCCCTTCCTTTTAAATAAATTTTTTGAAAACTAATAAGCCTATTTTATTTATTTACATTTTTTATTTACATTTCTTTACAAACTGTTCGCTATTAGTCTACAGTGAAAAGTCAACACTTTATAAAATAAGATTGGCATTTAAAAGCTTCTCAATTCTAATACTTTGAAAGGCTACGCCGATTTTCAGAAAGTCTGGGCTATTCAAAATATTTTACAAAATTCTGAAACTTTGAAAAGCTGCAAGATTTGGAGACAGCAAGACGAGGCGTTTTTTCTTATATCCAGTTTTGTTCGTTATATGATGAAATAAGCACTTTTTAAATTAACAGCTTGAATTCTAAAATATATTTTTGAAAATCAATAATGATTTTTGTAAAAATAGAAAATCTGTTGTACTTTTATCTTAAAATTCATTTCTTATCTATTTTCTAGATTTGATGTTTTGCCATTTTAAAGAATACTAGACAAGAGGATCTCAATCTGGATCACTATATTGGGCTCCTAATATCCTGATATAATTTTAAATCATCCCAAACAACGCATTATTACCATATACATCAGCATTTCCCAAACTGTGCTATAAGCTATGTATACTATTGATATTTTTGAGCTAAAATATACTTATAAATACATAAAAATATATTTATCTAGGTGGTGTTATGCAATAATGCACTTTTCAAAAAGAAATGATATACCAGTCTCAAGAATACCCGGAAGCTGCATGAAAATTCTTGATTCCTTTTATATATAGTGACAGAAAAAGATGTAAATATAACAATTGGTTATTTTTATTGTATAAAGTTTTTTCTATAAGCACATGTGAATTAAGTATTCATTATTCCACATTCCCCATGTCACCAACGCTGGGTGCCCACAGCACAGTTATTCTAACACTGCAGCTGCGGGACTGAGGGTGGCAGACTGGGCACCTGCACTGAGCCACATTCTTCACACAGTCGGACCAGCCCTGAGCCGGGGGCAGAAACATCCTGACGTGAAAAGCTGTTTGCCAAGTACAATGACCACACGTTTCGTCTATTTTGAATACACCATCACAACAAACTCTACGTTCTTGACAGATGAGACAGGCAGATATGATCTTTGAAGGCGAGTGAGAATGACGTTCACACAGACTCCCATCCTCCCTCACATGACTGGAGGATTAAATGGCGGCGGAGGGGTGGATGTTCAGCTCAGGGGCAGATTAGTGACACTGTCACAGCTATTTTAGGACCTGAAATATTTATATGATCCTATTCCAAACCCTAATACATAAACAATGAACTCAAAACTGTACACAAAGGGAAACAAAAAACCACTCTGACAGTGTCCAGGTCCCTCATAAACTCCCCAGAAGTCAAGGAGGTCCAGGCTGTTCTCAAATTCCTGGGCTCAAGCGATCCGCCCACCTGGGCCTCCCAAAGCTCTGGGATTACAGGCATAAGCCACCACACACGGCCTAATAAGTTCTTTTGATATGTTTGGAATGAATGTGTTTCCAAGGGTAAAAGCTTACAATGACATCTTTCTTACCTGTAAGATACCCGAAGAGCAGAGAGAGGGTCCCCAGGCTGGCTAAGCATCCAGAATGCTGGAGGAGCTTTAAAAACATAGATATGAATTATTGTGCTTCACCCCTTACTTACTGAGTCACAATCCCAGGGATGGAAGCGCCCAGAGATCTGTCTTTTCAGAATTTCTCTGGCTCTCCAGATGGTGCTGACAATCAGGCAGATTGAGAGCCAGTGCTGCAGGCAGCTCGTCCCAGACCTCGGGAGCAGGGGAGTCACCCAGGGCTAGGTCAGACTGAAGGTTCTGGTGCATCAGGGGTGGGGAGGGGCTTGAGAGTTGGCCTTTCCAACAACCTTCCCAGAGGGGCTGGTTTGCTGATCCTCAGACCAGGCTTTGAGGGTGCACAGCACTCTTCCTCTAGGTGTGTGTCCACATACCTGGCACCTTTGTTGTTGCATTGCCCCAGGTATAAAGTGCAGGGTGCCCCCTCTACGCCTTCAGCCCTGCTCTCTCCCCTGCTGACCCCCAAATCTCTGGGGCTTGGACTTGCCTTTATAAAGGGACCTCTCAGCTCAGGGGAGGGCCCTCCCCACTGGCCCCCTCTTCCCAAGGCCCAGCATCAGTGGGAGCTGCTTGAGCAGCCCCTCATCCTGAGGGGTCTATGTGGTGTGAAAGGCTGAGGGACACTGTTCTGTTTATTGTCAAGGGCCAGGAAACAAAGCCTGGAAACAAAGTCTGGTATTGCTCAACCCAGTGGTGACGAGTGACAAGATAGGGTGGGGTGCAGAGGAGACTCCCACACACAGCAGGACCGAGTGAGCATCAATTCTTCCTTCTAACACTGGCACCAAGGAGAGACCGCTGTCCCTTCCCATAAAGGCAGTGGACAATTGGAAGCATCGCTTGGTGTGCCAGCTCCTTTGGGGCAGGAGAACAAGAGGAGCCCCATCCCAAGCACAGTGGATGATGAAGGGGGTCCCGGGCTCCCCAGATCCTGGGCTTCTCTTGATTCTCAGTGTTAAGCTTGTTGATTGAATATAGTTGGTTAATGTGGACCCCAAGGCAAGGAAAAGACACAGGCCAAGAAACGGGGGCTTCAGTCAGCTCTGAAAAGTCAGGAAGAGCATTTGTCTTTTTTTTTTTTTTGAGACGGAGTCTCGCTCTGTCACCCAGGCTGGAGTGCAGTGGCGCGATCTCAGCTCACTGCAAGCTCCACCTCCTGGGTTCACGCCATTCTCCTGCCTCAGCCTCCCGAGTAGCTGGGACTACAGGTGCCCGCCACCACGTCTGGCTAATTTTTTTTATTTTTAGTAGAGATGGCGTTTCACCATGTTAGCCAGGATTGTCTCGCTCTCCTGACCTCATGATCTGCCTGCCTTGGCCTCCCAAAGTGCTGGGATTACAGGCATGAGCCACTATGCCCAGCCAGGAAGAGCATTTCTAACATCCAAATGCAAACGTCTGCCACCCCGGGCTGCTCCCCTCTGGAAACTGCACTGCAGGGCACAGCACGTCCCAGGTTTGCCTTTCCTAATTCCCTGCACCACCCAGCTCCCGCCTCCCTCACTTTGCGGGATGAGAGGCCCACACAGACAGTTCCTTCTCACCTTTGAAATGGCAGTGGTGGCTGCAGCCTGGGAGCTGAGGCCATCCCAAGCGGGTGAGACCCCCACCAGGGGCCCTGGGTGCCTGCCGGCCACAGGCCGAGCCATCCAGGCTATGCACAGGCACGCCTCAGCCACCAGGATTTCTTTCCTGTGGAACTGGGCCTTCCATCCAGAGAGTCTTGCAGCAGAGAGCAGAAATGGGCTTTCTCTCTGCTGGTGTAGGAAAGCCATGGCAGGAAGGTGGTACCAACAACACACAGCTGCCTGTCCCATGTGGGGTCCCACACCTGCTGCCTCCTGGCTTTCCTGCCCCTTTCCTTTGTAAGTGTGTTCTTTGATTAAGTGTCCTCATTTTAATTGTGTCCAAATGTTCACACTGTCTCAAGTGATGCTGGAGCCACAGCCTGGGGCCACTGCAGGTCCTTCCTCTGGAGCAAAGGGTCTTTGTCACAGTGTTTCTCTAAAAGCATATCCATCCTGAGTGACACTTATTTTAGAAACAGATAGAATTGCTGAAAAAAGGGTTGAGCATTTGAAAATGTCTCCAGATTTCAAAGAAGTTGGCCACTATCTATGGGGAATTGGGGGTGAGTAATGGCTCTTTAAGTAAATGAGGACAGACCAGGCGTGGTGGCTCACGCCTGTAATCCCAACACTTCGGGAGGCCGAGACAGGTGGATCACTTGAGGTCAAGAGTTTGAGACCAGCCCGGCCAACATGGTGAAACCCCATCTCTACTAAAAATACAAAAATTAGCTGGGCATGGTGGCGTGAACCTGTAATCCCAGCTACTCAGGAAGCTGAGGCAGGAGAATTGCTTGAACCCAGGAGATGGAGGTTGCACTGAGCCAAGATTATACCACTGCACTCCAGCCTGGGAGACAGAGCAAGATTCCATCTCAAAAAACTGTAAATGAGCACAAAATCCCAAAGGCTAGAGCCACCGCCCAGAGCAGGTTCAGGATTGAAATGCCCCCGTGGTTCCCCTCCCACCCGAATGCTCTATTTCAAAATGAAGGTCCAGGACAAGGGGAGAGCATGTCATTACTAAGGTTCAGTGTTAAATAGAGACGTTCTTCCACCGATGACAGCCATGATGGGCCACCTGAGCTTTCTTTGGTTTTCCCTGCCATCTGCATGGTCCTCCATTGCACTTGAACAAGGAGTCCTGAGGGTCCAAGTAACTTGCAGAGATTGCTGTGCTGCCAGGAGCGAGTGAAAGAAGAGGCGAGAGCAGCTGCCTCAGCTAAAAAGAAAGCCAGAGGAGAGGGTGGGTATTTAGGGAGCGGGGATTTTTAATTTCAAGTGAATTCTGTAATTAAGGACAAGGGGTGGTGGTGGTGGGGCTCGGGGCTGGGTGCTCTGGCACTGTCCCTAACCGCAATCACAGTGATGGCTTTGCTCCTGTGCTGCCGTCCCTCCTCCCTCTCAGCAATAGGAAGAACGTGTGTGCTTTGATGCACGTGGTGCAGCAGGCCTGGAATGCCACATTTCACACAAACTTCAGGTGACCCCAGTGCTGCTGATGCATGGACCACGCTGTGAGTAGCAAGGTCACAAACTCCCTTGAGGGAGGGGAGTAGCTGGGCTGGGTTTCTGAGAGACCCTATTACGATTGGACTACTTTGGGCCTCCCTTCTTGAGAACCCAAAACAGCTGCTGGGTGTGCTGAAGCCATATTCACCCCACCACAAAGAGGACAGTCAGCACCTTTCTCCACACAACGGTATAAGGTTTTGTTTTCATATAAAACCTCAACAGATGAATGGGGCCATTATCAATCATTTTCAGAAAGAAAGGCTCAAATACCAACTATTTATTTTTTATGGAGTCTTGCTCTGTCACCCAGGCTGGAGTGCAGTGGCACGATCTCCACTCACTGCAACTTCTGACTCCCGGGTTCAAGCAATCCACTCGCCTCAGCCTCCCAAGTAGCTGGGACTACAGGTGTGTGCCACGCCTGGCTAATTTTTGTACTTTTAGTAGAGATGGGTTTCACCATGTTGCCCAGGCTGGTCTCGAACTACCCTGACCTGAAGTGATCCACCTGCCTCTGCCTCCCAAAGTGCTGGGATTACAGGTGTGAGCCACTGTACCCAGCCCCCAAATACCAACTATTCTTTTAAAAAAATTATGAGTATGTTGGAGGCACAGTGGCTCATGCTGTAATTTCAATACTTTGGGAGGCCAAGGCAGGCAAATTGCTTGAGCCCTAGTGTTGGAGACCAGCCTGGGAAACATGGCGAAACCCTGCCTCTACAAAAAGTTTTTAAAAAATTAGCCGGGCATAATGGCATTCATCTATAGTCCCAGCTACTCAGGAAGCTGAGGTGGGAGGATTGCTTGAGCCCAGGAGGTTGAGGCTGCAGTGAGCTGTGATGGCACCACTGCACTCCAGCCTGGGTGACAGAGTGAGACCCTGTCTCAAAAAAAAAAAATATATATATATATATATATAATATATTTATTATATATATTTATTTATTATATATTATATATGTATATATTTATTATATATATATATATTATGTTGGGAGAGATGTCCCTCATAATTAAACTAGGTTAATACAGATGATTTTATTTAACAGCTGAAATGGTTCTGTTACCTGGGAGCTTGTTTTATATTTAGTTGATCTTGGAGGATCCATCATGAACCGCCCTAGAAGCGCCCACAGTTACATGTTCCATGAGTGCTTGATGGAAAACCATGTATTTCTGAGGCTCTGGTGGCAGGTAGCAGTTATGCAATGGCATGAGGAAAATCCATTTAGTAGAGTTGTCCAAAAGTGCAATGGCCTGGCTCGGTAAGCTGTAAATTCTCTGTCCCTGTGAGGGGTAGAAAGTGAGGATGGAGAAGGAAGGAATATGCCAGACAGGGGTTGAACCAGATGGGCTTCTTCCAGCTGTCAGCTTCGTGACTACGGGTACTGTCCATGTCTCCAGGATCCACCTGGGATGCCTCTGATAATGTAACCACGTACCCCCATTTTTCTTAGGCAGTTTATTCCAACAAGTGAGCTATGGTGCAGGCATTGGGCCATGCGGTATCTGTTTGACTTTCAGGGCCTTAGGTCAGCTTGGTGGAGTTCTCTGGGTCCCTCTAGAGAATCATCCAACCCAGGGATGGCCTGCAGGGTCCCGCCCCACCACTAAAGCACTTACATTCACACAAAATCCTGGAGCTGAATGTTCTCAGCAGGCTTATTCCTCATAGCCAAAAGCTAGAAACAAATCCAGAGGTTCTTTGAGGAGCGAGTGGTGAAACAGTTGGGGTCATTGTGGAAATGGAGGGAAGCCTTTGGAGAGATGTATAGGAAGAACGAACAGGACTCGGTAATGGATTATTCATGACATGGGGGGATACAGGCTGAAGAAACTCTCCTAGAGTCTGGATTGGGGTCCCTAGGTGAGCCGTCACACCATTTATTTAGACAGTAAGTCTGGGTCACAGCCAAGTCAAGGAAGATGACCTGGACAATAGAGTGGGATCAGTTTTAATCTGTAATGTCAAAGAGGCATTTCAGTCTGGAAATCAGCTAGGCAGCTGTACATATAATTCTGAGTGGAGATAAAATCTGGAGGTTGTAAGAATAGAGTTAATAATTAATGCTTTAAATATCAATTTGGTCACCCAGAGAGCTTGGGGTTCTTTTTTTCTGGCATACCAATAAAAGAATAACAGAGTCCAGGGGTGAGTTATGACGCACTTCAGATTTTAAATCCCAAGCAAGGGTTGTGAGCGCGCTGGCAAACCTTGGGGAGGAGCACAAGAAATGCAGGAGGAGAAGGAGAAGCATCGGCGTCAAGAGCCAGGAGCGAGATGGACCCCAGAAACAAAAGGAGCCACTTACCTGGACTGCTCCTGGGATGTGGTAATGGAAAGTGGCCATTAGATTTTCCATCATGGAACTGTCAAAAGACAAAAGTACAACAGATTTAGTTTAAAGATCCTAATTGGCTTTATTTGCTATTCTAGAATCAGGCAACACTTCATTCCATAAAACAGACTGAGCGTTCCTCCAAGCAGAGTGGGGGAGATGGGCTTTATGGATAGAAAAGGCTGAAGTGGAAGCAAAGAACAAAGCATAGATTGGTTGCAAAGTTACTTTCCTTGTAAACATTAAAGCAGAGGGGAAGGACTGCTTATCACTCTGGCTAAACCTGGCCTGTTGGAGATTTGCCTTTTATCTCTCTGTGTCCTGACTTCTCAGAAGGTCAGATAAACAACTTAGTTTTGGTTTGGAAAAGTGGAACTTTAGCGCAAGGAACTCCATTCCAGTCCGGTCTTGTTACTGAACTGAACCTGGGTCTGCTTGCCCCGTGTGGTAAAACCAAACACCCACACGGAGGTTTGCAGCAGGAGAAAGGAGGGTGTTAACTTGCAGGACACCAAGCAAGGAGAATGGGGCAGCTTACACTTCAGACCCAACCTCCTGGATGGCTTACAAGCAAGGGATTTTAAAGGCAGGGGAACAATTCAGGAAAGCAGAAGTTACAGGGAAACCATAAATCAATGCAGAGGGTATACATTGGTTTGGCCCAAAAAGGCGGAAGCTCTTGAAGCAAGGGGCTTACAGGTCATAGGCGGCTTCAGGATTCTTTGATTGCAATTGGTTAAGGAAGCCAGGCTTTGTCGAAAACTTGGGGTCAGCAGAAAGGAATGTTAAGGTCTGGCCTGTGGGCATGACTCTCTCCAGGCCCCTGAGAAAGAAATTTACAACAAAGAGCAGCCGTCAGAGTGCAGCCCTCAGCTCCCCGACATCTGAGGTCTCTGTGATGATGGTCAGTATTTTCCATCTGACGTGGGTCCGGGTTTCTGAAAAACCATTCATGGACATATGCTAAGATGTAATCTTTAGTTTCAATAGGGGACCAAACACCTTGTGGCTCTGACTTACTTGAGTGCCTGTTACTTGAAGCTATTATTCCCTTCTTGCTTATCAGGTGGCTCATTTACTTCTCAAGGCCAGCTAGGTACCTGGAATTTCCCTTGAAGGAAATCAAGATTTTCCTTTGTTTCCATGCTGGAGGAGGCCCAGCAGGCCTCTAATAGGGGTCCATGCTCCGTCTCAGTCTGTTGGGCCTAGTGCAGAAGCTCAGTCCAAACTAATGGCCTCCTGTAAATGTATTTTACAGAAGTCAGCAGTGTCCACAGCAAGGGAGAGTTTCTTGAGCAACCTGTTGGGAGACGTAAGAGTGCAATAAAGAGTGAATGTCAGGTGAAAACACTGAAAAGATGAGGACTGACAAGTATTTACAGAGGGTTAACTCTGAAGTGGTTCCAACAAACTGGGATCTTGAAAAGCAGGTCGTGGAGGGAAAAATGGCTTCCCCTTCCCCTTCCCCTTCTAGGTTCTTTGGCTGGGCTAGGAATTAAATTGACATAAGAAAAGCTAATAGGAGAAACACCACTTTAATTACATCTATATGCACAGGAGTCCCCCAAACTATAGACTAGGAGAAGGGCCAGATGAATGAAGCTTAGATAGTGTCCTGAGTTACAGAAAGGAACAGGGGCTTGGGGCTTGCTGAGGATGGGCACAAGTTCTGGGAGGGTGAGGGGAGGCAATGTCTGGTGAATAAAAGGTGTCTTGTTCTGCAGAGAAAAGTCTCTGGGGTGATAGAAGTTGTCTGGAACCAGCCCTCTTCCTGATACAGATACTTCACTAATGTAGATTTCTTTTATAGTTATAAATTTCTTTTACAAAAGGGCAGTTTTTCAGAGCTACTCCTGTGTCTGCAATTTCTTAGAATAACAAGATCAAAATTTGCCTAAGAAGTATATTTTGTGTTCACATATCTGGTTTTGTACTGTCATATTTTGGGGTGGTGTGTCCTGAGCCCCACCAGCAAGGGCCATGTTATAGGAATACAATTTTTAATTGACTTTTTAGAGTTGTTTTGAATTCACAGCTGAAGGGGCTTAGAGTATGCCATCCCAAAATATGCCACTCTGATACAAAGATTATTTTGAGCTGAAGACAACTGAGACCAAGTAGACACAGGACAAACTCTCTGCCCTGTCCCCATCTACCAGAAGGGCAGGATGGCTCTTACCAGCCCAGAGGTAGCACCAGAAAAATCAACATCACAAGCACACCAAATCAACCTTATCTGTCAGCTTCCCCCATAGATCTACCTTCCCACAACTTGTTATCCAAAGAAGCTCAAGGTCCCCTTCCTTTGTCTTTCCACTTCTCTACAAATACATTGCTCTCTCATTAAGATGCTAATAAGCCCAAGTTCTAACCACCTTTTTGAGTTATTACTTATCACTGAGCTCTCCCATGTGTATTTGCGATGCATGAATTAATAAATGCGTTGTTTTCTCTTGTTAACCTGGCTTTCATTGGTCTAAATTTGTGGGGCCAAGGCAATAAACCTTAGATGGGTGGAGGAAAGATTTTTTCTATACTTACACAGCAAAATTGAGCTGAGCGTGCAGAGAGCTCTCATATACACCCCTCACCGGCCCGCATGTGCTCACGTGCGCACACACACACACACACATACACACACACACATGCACAGCCTGCCCTACTGTCCATGTCCCACATCAGCAGGGCGCATTTGTTACTACTGCTAAACCCACACCAACACATCATTATCACCCAAAGTCTGTGGTTCACATTAGGGTCACTCTTGGTGTTGTATTGTCAGTGAAAAGAGCCAAACTCTGTAAAATATTTGAAGAGATTTATTCTGAGCCAAATGTGAGTGACCCAAGGTACAGTCAGTCTCAAGAGGCCCTGAGAACATGTGCCCAAAGCAGTTGTTTTACAGTTTGGTTTTATACGCTTTAAGGAGACATGAGTCATTAATCAGTACATGTGAGATGTACATTGCTTCAGTCCAGAAAGGTGGGACAGCTCGAAGGGGGTCGGTGGGAGGAAGGCTTCCAGGTCATAGGTGGATTCAAAGATTTTCTGATTGGCAATTCATTGAAACAGTTATTATCTAAAAACCTGCAATCAATACAAAGGAGTATCTGGGTCAAGATAAGGGGTTGTGGAGACCAAGGTTCTTACCATGTAGATGAAGTCTCATGGAGGTCGCCCTTAGAGACAATAGATGGCCAATATTTCCTATTCAGACTTTTAAAAGGTGCTAGACTTTCAGCTAATCTCTAGAGGATTGGGAGGGCCTGGAAGGGAAAAGAGCTAGTTATGGTAATAGAGATTCTTTACGGATGCAAATTTTCCCCACAAGAGACAGCTTTGCAGGGCCATTTCAAAATACACAAAAAAAATCCTATTTTGGGGTAAAATATTTTTATTTCCTTCTTTATCTGTCATATGATGTTATACGAGAGTCAGGTGGGAAAGAAAGCTGTGTTATATATAGGGTTAAATAAAGCCCATCTGTTGAGATGTCAGTTTCTAGGGTATGACTCCCCAGGCCCCTTAGATAGGAATTTGGGCAAGAGAGAAAAAATGTCAGTTTAGTCCTCAGTACATTCTGTGGGTTTGAACAGATGTCTAATGCCATATCCACCACTGTCATATCATACAGAGTAGTTTCACAGTCCGGCAAATCCCCTGTGCTCTGCCTGTTCATCCCTCTCTCCCCCAACCCCTGCCAACCACTGCTCTTCTTACTGTCTCCATGGTTGTGCCTTTTCCAGAATGTGACAGAGTTGGAATCTTACAGTATGCAGCCTTTTCAGATCAGTTTCTTTCAGTTAGTAATATGCATTTAAGGTTCTTTCATGCAGCTCAATAATGTTTGGCAGAGACTCAAAGGCAGGGAGAGGAATGGGAAATCTGCGGTGGAAAAGGGGAAGAGGAGTCCTGATGGGGTTGCCAGCCACCAGAGGCGGCTGCTAGTGAAGTGGCCTCATTGTCTGGGGTGACACCCAAGGTTCATTGTCTCACAGCCACAGAGATCAAGGGCGAGGACACACAAAGGGTGAGGTTAAGAGTGGAAATTTAATACGTGAAAGAAAGAGAATAGCTCTCTGCTACAGAGAGGGGTCCCGGAAAAATAGGTCGCTGATGCACAGTGGAATGCAAAGATTTTTATAGATGAGCTAGTGGGGAGCAGTGTCTGATCTACATCGGGTGCGAAAAAACAGGACCAGGTGTGCCATCTGCATAGGGCACGAATCTCTGGACGCCCCCACACCAATCTTTTATTACGCACGTGGGTAGCTACTCCATGTTGCTTATTTCTTTCTTACTGTGCATGTGTTAACAACAACAAAAAATAATTAGGGAAGGTGAACCCCCCATGGTGGACATGCCTGGCGCCAGGTAGTCCCTTTTATCAGTGCAGCTGCAGGCCTCCCCCACCCCCCTGCAAGCTTCCAGCTTCCTCATCTATGTTTGCAGCTCCATCTTTCAGGCTGCTCTTTGTTAGAAAGAAATGATTTCTTGGGATGTTTTTTGTTAGAGTTCTGCCAAGGACTCTTTTGCCCTATCTGCCTAAACAATTTATTTCCATCTCCTGTATCCAGTCAGGGGATCCTACCTGACTGGTAAGAGGGTGCCTATTTGGTTCTCCCTGTTGGTCCTAAGTTGGAAGCAAGGGCAAAAAGGAGGGAAGCCGTCAGTGCAGTCCTGACCATTAGGGTTGCTGTATGCAGTTTCCAGCTGGCTGCTTCACAGACTGTGGGTCAGAGCGTCACCAGGCTCTTGGGTGGATTTTTTAAATCCCACGGACTGAAACCCTTCTTTATTATCTCCAGTCACTTGATCACCTTTCTTTGACAGAGACAGTTTATTCAGTGTTGCTATTTAAAAAAAAAAAAAAAAAGCTGCTACTATTACTACTACTACTACAATTACTATTTATAATAATGGTAATAATTACAATAATGATGAATCCCAGCAAGGACCAAATAATTATAATTACTGATTTAATATTTATACATAAATATTTACTAAAATATATAATCTATATATTACGCATATTTGTACTATGACATTTATAGTATCTACATAAGTATATATTATTTGTGTATTTATGACAATTTATATTTATAAATTACATAATAAAAAGAATATTATTACTACTACTACTATAAACCTCAGGACGCCCCCCCACCCCCCACCATAACCTAATATCCCGTTTAACCATCCGGCCACCCAATCCCACGTCGCCCCCGCTGGTAGAGCTTGCTATATATAAAGGTGACCGCCAGGTGTCGCTAGACAACCAGCGTGAAAGCCAGCCGGACGGATCCGGATCGCGGGCGGGCGGGTAGGACGCCAGGCCTCGTCAGGGTCCACCTCGGGTCGCATTCCCACCTCGGGGTTCCCTGGCAGGCGTGAGTGGAACCGTGAGATCCCTGGCAGCCAAAAGAAGCCTTGGAAAATTTGGGGAGGAGCGCCCTAGGCCAGGGACAGCTGCCGAGCAGGGGACAGACTCCCCAGCGCCTCCCGGGCCAGCTCCCCACCCAGAGTGGACTTCAAAATTCACCGGGGTCGACCTACCTCAGCCTCCCCAGGGGCATTTAGAAATTTCTGCAGACAGAAAGCCCCTCCTGCGTCCTCTTCAGAAGTATAACTGTTTATGTCTAATCACTATTTATGTAGATTTATTATTTATAAAGTATAATTTATACTTATAATTCTATAAATGTATATTATTTATATTGACATAGTTTTTAAATGTAAATAAATTATTATTTGTTTATAATACTTGCTTATAACAATTACTATTGCTATATAAATCTCAGGTTCCCCCATCCCCCTACCCTTACCTCCCCACAGGCCTCCCCCGACGCCCTTCTCTCCTCGCCTTTCCCCCTTCTCCTCTCCCAAATTCTAGTTGCCCATCTGCTTGGTTGGGCTGCTGGTCGATCTGATCAGCTTTCTGAGGCCACATCAAAACTGCAGAAATGAGGCTGATCGACCCAGCAACTCTAACAAAGATCATCCATGGGACATCTGGTCGCCCCTCTATCTCGGAGCCAGAGGCTATACGCTCTTCCCCGGTGGGGAGGGTGGGGCCCCAAAGTCCAACCACAAGATCCCATTATGCGGGCCACGGCTAAATCCACTGCGCCTTCCCCGTTTTTCTCGTACTGCCCAAGCCAGTCTCCACCTCCAAAACAAGACTCAGAAAAAGGTGTGAAGCTCAAGTCGGATGACCATGACCCACGCGTGGCCACGGACGGGCCCATGCTACCCTTCGCAGTCCTCCTGGAACAGCCGGGCCGGTCCTCACCTCCGGGTCGGGGCTTGGAGATAATGGGTGTAATGGAAGGCCTGAGGACCGGGCCCCACGCCAGTCAGCGTCCGGGCGGGATACCCCATCCCCCGTTCACACTCTCGGAAGGCCCAGCGATTCCCGCGTGTACTAATTGACCCGCTCAGGCCACAGCACTCCGAGCTCAAGAGCGCGCCTACAACGCTGACCCTCAGGTTTAATCTCCGACGAAAGGACGAAGAGTACACCCAGCAAAGCCGGGCTCATCCTGCCAGCGCTGCCAGTCCCCTGGAACTCTGCACCGCGCCCTGTGGCCAAATCCCCTTTCTTGCCGGCTTCGCCAGAGCGCCGGAGAGAAAACCTTAACAGTGCAGCCAGGTGGCGCCCGACAGCCGGCGCCAGCGGCCGCGGATCGGATCCGCATCTCCGGCGGGCGAGGCCTCTCCTAGTCCCTGACCAACTGGGATCGCGTTTCTCGGCCTGGGGCGGGTGAAGGAGCTCCCAGTTGGCACCGCCTGGAATGGCGCGACCCCGCAGCCGAAGGAGACTTGAAAATTTTTCCTAACTACCGTTCTGCTCCGAGTGACTGCTACCTGCGAGGACAGACAGCCCACGCGGCTCCGGGCCGGGCGATCTTCCGCGGGAACCGGGAACGTTTCCGAAGACCCCCGCAGGCCGGCGCCCTGCCTCGGCTTCCCAGCGCAGCGGGGTCCCGGGCTCCTCGCGGATTAGAAAGTTTTGCTGGGCTCTGGCGGCGGGAGAGACAGTGAAGTTGAAACCGTGAAAGGGAGAACATGGGTGAATCGCTTTTATTCTGTCTTTTCGGAATGGGGAAGCCTTTCTAAAGCATTAAATAAACCCAGAAGCCATCAAGGAAATGATTGATCGGCTTGACAACATAAAGTTTGAACAAAATACACAAGCAAAGTCAAAAGATAACAAATGAGTGTGGGGATCGCTTATGCATAAGATAAGAATATTGATTTCATTCACAGTAGCCAAGATACGGAAGCAACCTAGCCAAGATATGGAAGCATCTACTAGTGGCTGAACGGATAAAGAAAATGTGGTGTATGTACACCACGGGGTACTGTCCCGCCTTTGAATAAAAGGAAATCCTGCCATTGGCGACAACATGGATGAACGTGGAGGTCATTGTACTAAGAAAAGTAAGCCAGGCACAGAAACAAATACCACCTGGTCTCTCCTGTATGTGGAATCTGAAAATAGTTGAACTCATAGAAACGGAGAGTAGAACGGTGGCTACTTGAGGCCGGGGGAAGGGCAGGAGGGGGAAGATGTTAGTCAAAGGGTACAAGGATTCAGTTAGACAAGAGGAATATGTTTTAGTGATCCACATGGCACGGTGACTGTAGTTAATGCATTTTATATGTCAAAATTCCTTAAATAGTAGATTTTAAATAATCTCACCACAAAAAAATAGATGTGTTGGTGATGGATATCTTAATTAGCTTAAAGTAATTGTTCCACCAATGTATACATATATCAAAACATCACATTGTATCCCATGAATATATACAATTATGATTTGTCAATTAAAAATAAACTTTAAAAAATCTTTTAAAAATATTTCAGCATTATTTACTATAATAACAAAAAAAACTGGGGTGGGGGATAATAGCCATTGATTAAGAGGGGTCGGGTTAAATAAACTCCAGTACATCCACACCGTACACTGTGTGAATTTGTTTTGTTTTAGATGAGATAAATGTTGATGATGAAATGTTAAATGAAGAATTTAAAACAAGTATTAAGTTACCCCTATTTCAACACGTTAAATAGCTAGTAAAGACAGTGTGGTATGGACAGAGGGAGATGATCTACAGAACAGAAAAGAGACCAAAACAAATGCACCCAGCTGGTGTTTGACAAGCATGCAAAAGCACCTTGTGGGAGGAAAGGTAGCCTTTCCATCAAATGGGAGTAGGGCAATTGCACATCACAGGCACAGCAAACAAGCACGCAAAACAAAACCCTTGACCTAGACACTGTCAACTTTAGAATCCCAGGCCCCCACCAAATGAATGGACCCCCTCTTGGCCAAGGGGACCTCAGGAAAATCTTAAAAGTTTAGTTCTAGTCATGATGGGGTGGGAGGTCAAACACGCCTCATTATACCCCCTGCCTTTTGGGGTTTAGACCAGCATTAATGTTAACACAGAGATCAGAAGACTGACAGAACAGACTCTGTGGCAATAAAATGCCAAATTATAAACAGGACCTAAGGCCATGCCAGGCAAGGGTTAAGTCATTAACCCTATGCTTAAAGAATAAACTGTGTTCTAAGGACCACAAGGCTTTTCTTTTTCTCTAGCAGCTAAACAACCACTGGCCTCAAGATAGACAAGAGTAAAACAATTTCCAGCTCCACCACCCACTGACTTACTAAACCCCTGCTCTACCAGCCATAACTTCCTGATAAGACCACCAACCATGGATTGTCTTTGGCTGGTTTACAGAGGCTGCACACTTGTGTGACTTCATGCCCTGAAAAGACCTGTTGACATATAGGACCTAACTGTAATACATTTAAATGTTAAGTCTCCACCCCAAAGTGAACATGGGTCATATGCTACATGCATGTCTGTTCAATATGCATGTGTCAGGACCACCTTCATGAATATTCATAGCACCTCCTATAACCTGTTGAATATGTATGTTTAGCCTATCTGCCCAGCATAAAGCTGCTACCCTAACCCCTCCTCCTTCGAAGTGCCTGTTTCTGGTCCCTTGGCTGGGATGGCCACCTTGAAGGCTGTAATCCTTATGAGAAATAAAGTCTCCTCACCTTTCTTAATGGATAAATTGTGGGGGTTCTACCCTCACACCTCATACAAACATTAACTCCAAATGGATCACACATTTCAATGTAAAATGTAAAACTATAAAATTTTAGGAAAAAAAATTCTTAGAGAAAATTGGGATCTAGGCTAAAAAAGGAGATTTTATACTTGACATCAAAAGCATGATTCATAAAGAGAGATGGGTAAATTGGAAGTCATCAAAATTAAAACCCCAGGCTCTGTGAAAGGTCCTCTTTTTTTTTTTTTTTTTCGAGATGGAGTCTGGCTCTGTCGCCCAGGCTGGAGTGCAGTGATGAAATCTCGGCTCAGTGCAACCTCCTCCTGCTGGGTTCAAGCGATTCTCCTGCCTCAGCCTCCCAAGTAGTTGGGACTACAGGTGCGCACCACCACTCCCAGCTAATTTTTGTATTTTTGGTATAGACGGGGTTTCACCATATTGGTCAGGCTGGTCTTGAACTCCTGACCTCGTGATCTGCCTGCCTTGGCCTCCCAAAGTGCTGGGATTACAGGCGTGAGCCACCACACTCAGCTGAAAGGTCCTTTTAAGAGAAGGAAAACAAATTATAGATCAGAAGAATATATTTACAAACCATATATTCTACAGGAATGTGTAAAAAAAAAAACCTCAAAGTGCAACGGTATTTTTCTTCAAAATCCAATTACAAAATTGATGAAAGACATGTTAAAGTATGCCCCCTGCAGAAAGAAAAAATGACTCCCAGGAGACTAACTGAGGTGCTCAAAGTTAAAATGGAACCAGGGAGCCGTAGCTGGGTGACAGAGCCTTCATGTACTCTGTGTTCTCAGAAAGATGTTGTAAAAGTATCACAAGACCTCCCTTCCACAACCAAACCAAACCAGTTCCTGTTGTCAGTGCCAAGATAACTGTATCCTGAGCACCACTTCCCTGGACCCCTGACAGCCATTTATAAGAAATTTCTGACAGTCTTCTGCTTAAGGCTTAAAGAACAAGTCAGAACTCCCCTGCCCTGGCCAATCAGGACTCAACTGCATCAATCAGGGTTCACCTGTATTGACTAATCAGGATTCAGCTACATCCACCGATCAGGACAGCACAAGTTTCAGTCCTTCATTTACATAAATGAAAGTAGTTGGAAACCTGGACAGAAACTTTTACCATAGAACCCAAACCCTTTCTTAGTTTTCTAGAACTTACTTTCCTTTTACACTGAAGGCTGCAACTTCCCCATTTACAAACTGTTCACTGAAATAAAGTCACTTTCCACATTCCTTTTCAGAAAACTTAGTTCACAGACATGAACTAGCATTTCACTGAGCAGGATGTACAGATGGCAAGTCGGCACATGAGAAGACGTTAGCCTTTTGTGGGAGTGTAAATTAAAATGACAGTGAGACGTCATGACACATCCATCAAATGCCTTCAACAAAATATAGGAACAGCATCAAATGCGGGTGAGGCTGTGAAGGAACAGGCTTTCTCACACATTGCTGGTGGTAAGGTAATATTGTACTGCCACTCTGGAAAACAGTGTGGCAGTTTCAAAAAAGAAAACAGCAACAACAAAAACGTGCAAGTGAAGCGTGGCAGAATATGCCACCCCAAAATATGCCACTTTAGCATAAGGGTTATTTTAAGCTAAAGGCACTTGAAAAACAGCAGACACAAGGAAGATGCCCTGACCTCCCCTTTTTCTTCCTGAAAGTAGGAGGTGAATCTCCCATGGGAAAGGCGCCCTCCCTGTACCAGGAGGAAGGAAGCCATTCTTACCATCAGAGGCAGGGAGTTGGGGCCGAGGGGAATCTGTATGAACAAATCTCGTTAAACTAACCCTCATCTGCCTCGTCACTTCTCCACAGTGAACTGCCCTATCCCAGACCCCATTGTCTTGCACGTTTTCACAGCTTACTCTTTGTCCAACCTAGTATATAAGCGTTCAGGCCTAACTGCTTCTTCGGATCTCTTTTTCCTACAGGGTTCCACTTACATGTGCAAATCTGTGTGCTTTTCTCCTGTTAATGTGTTTTATGTCCACTTACCTCTTAGGCCCAGCCAGAGAGGTAAAGTTTAGGCCCAGCCAGAGAGGTAAAGTAGAGGTAAAGTTTTGCTTCCCCTGCCTAAGGACCATGTAACCCAGCAACCAAACCCCTGGGCATTCGCCCCAGAGACACGGGAACTTGCTGTGAGTGAAGGGTTGATTCAGCACCTCTGGGGCCGAGGACTCCCCCTGACCTCTGACCCTGGGCTACAGCAGGAATTAGAATATTTCCTAGCCTGAAACTCCTCCTTCCTCACCTTCAGTCAACCAGACACCCTTTATGGATGGGAAAATCTCATTCAGTGTTTTTATAACAATAACAAATAATAATGGTAATCATTACAATAATGATGAACAACAGCAACAATAACTATTATTATTGTTAACCTCGGAGGATGAAAGGGTAGAGTACAGACCTCCGCACGTGCTCCTGGAGAATGACCACCTACTCCTGCTGGGTCCCAGGGTGGGCTGCAGTCAGAGACCCAGGTTTGCACATGCAACACGCTCTGTGAAGGCAAGGGGCGAGCAGCAGGAGGAAAGGGAAATTGCCCTAAGACAGTGTGGCAGACCAGTGAGGACCGTGGGAAGGGAAATGGGGGAGGGGCGCGCAGGGAGAGGGACCCAGGTCGGGCACCCGCTGCCTGGTCAGTGAGCTGCCAAAGCTTCCTCCACAAGTGCTGGACTCCTTGTCCATGCCTGCCTACCCGGCCCCCGGCCAGCAAACTGCGGGCACCAGCTCACGGTGCACAGAAGTATGCACTCCAGATGAATCGCACACCTCGATGTTAAATGTAAAAGAGAAAACTTCAGTAGAGAATGCTAAGTGTTTGTGTCCCCTGGAGAAATGTTCTTCAGTGTGGCACAGCAGAAACCCAGGTGGTCGGCAGCCCGGTCTGGTGTGGTGCCAGGGAAGAGCGCTGACCTGGAGTTCTGCCTGCTGTGATCTACCGCGGCGGCCTCTGCATCTGCAGGGTAAGGCCTTCAGGTTTAGCACCGCAAATCCAGGCACTTGGAGTCTGTTGGGCCAGTATCGCTGCTCAGGTGCAGATGGGCCGGTGGACTTCGCCCGAATTGTAGCTGCCAGCCTTCGTGAGAAATGGGGGCGCTGCTGGGACCGGCCGGCCGGCTGGGGCCTCGGGTGCACCATTTCTGCTTAAACTCATGTCCCCCAGGCACTTGGGGCCCCCAACCCCCAAAGCGACCACGAGGTGCTGGGCCTCCCTCTGGCTAGGGGGAGCAAGGAGATGGCGAGTGTGGCAGCCAGGACTGGGCCTCAGCGCTCCCAGGGGGTGGGGGTGTGACGGGTGGCATCACGACAGGTCCACGGGGAAGGTTTGTAGGACTGGGGCTGGGGGCTAGCCTTGAGTCCTGAGCCACCCACCAGTGGCAAACTGCAGTTTTGCAGAGTTTGACCCTCCAGCACCTCTCTAAGGCAGCTAGGCTGGGACAGGACTGGCAACAGCAGCACCAATGCCTGTGTGTCCTGAGCAGGGGGTGCTGCACTCACAGGCTCCAACCAGCAACGTCATTAACGTTTTTCTCCACTGCGAGGATCATGCAAACCCTACCAGTTTCATTCCAATGTTTTTTGAAAAACATACTTGAACACAGAGCTGGGAGTTTTGACAGGTAGGCTTTAGGAGCTTTGTCACCACTGCCAGGACACAGGGATCTCCCAGCAAGGTGCTCAGGGACCTGTGGGGCCCGGAGGCCAGGGGGCTGGGAGCGCCTGGAGTGGCCGGCAGGGAGGCCTCAGAGCCATGCCTCCTCCTCCCCTAGTCACCCCAGCAGACCTTCCCCTGAGAAGCAGCAGACCAGGGAGGGGGCATCTGTCATTCTCTGCCTGTCACTTTCTTCTCCACTCCACCACCTATGCATTTAACACAGAAAGTGCATGAGGCCACGCCGTCTGCAGTCAGCCACTGCCACTGCTCCATCCAAGGACTCTGCACCAAAGGCCAGCAGGACGCCCTGGGCTTCCTGCAGGGGCTAAGCCGTGCACGGGTCCTGGTGAAGTCAGGGCCCCAAGGCAGTGAGAAAGGTTCAGCCTGGAGGCTGTGGTTAGAGATAGGTCCTCGAGGGTCCCTTTAAGGTCTCAACGCTAGGATCCCGTGGGGTCCCGTTGCTGTGGTTCAAATTTCTCAGTCTCCCTTGATTTTGCTGGTTTTGCCTCTTTACAGATTATTTCCTTTTGGATTTTCTCTACTTTTTTTTTTACAGCCCAGAGGCCTTTTTTTTTTTTTTTAACACCTATTATGCCGTGAATTCATAGGGAAGAGGTTCCAGCAGCTCAGGTTCCTTCCCATTGGTTCTACATTGGTTCTCCCATTGGTTCTCCCATTGCTTCTCTGGGTGGAGCAGGCTGGCGCTTTAGTTGAACCCAGGTACCTTTCTCTTTGGCTTCTTTCTTTTTCTGATCATTTTCCTTCACATGTTTCAGGAAGCTATCTCGGCTCTCAGAGTGCTTAATGTGCTCAATACGCACCTTAATTCTCTTGGCAAGAATCTTGCCCTTAACTTGTTTGTTTACAACAATGCCAACAGCATGCTGGGTAACATTGTAGACTCTTCCAGTTTTGCCATGGTAACACTTGTGGAGCATTCCTTTTTGAACAGTACCCATTCCCTTGATGTCTACAATATCACCTTTCTTATAGATTCGCATATACGTGGCCAAAGGAACAACTCCATGTTTTCTAAAAGGCCTAGAGAACATATATCGGGTGCCTCTCCTCTTTCCCTTTGTGTTCGTCACTTTGGCGAATTACTGGAAGATGGCGATTCTGGCCGAAAGGTGGGTTTTCTGTCCTTATAAAGAACTTTTTGTTGTGATTATTTCAGACACTGCCTGAGGATTGAGATTTTACGGTTTTCAAGAGTTATGGTTTTCAATACATCTTTATGTTCTCTCGTCCTATTCTCCTAGAAGTTGGCTCTGTGCTGTTAGCTGCCTCCACACATGTGCCCTTCATTTGTTAGGACTCGAGCGTCACATCTGAAATGGGGGCTAGCAAGGTAGATCTGCAAGACCCATCCCTTGGTTGAAGTAGCAAGCCCTGGAGTGGCCCAGCAGGTGCTGATAAGCTGACCTGTGAGAGACTGAATATACAATGACAGTGGCGAGACTACACACAAAAATCAAACTCTGAGCCATAATCTGCAGCAACCAGCCCCAAAGCCAGCCTGGGATCTGCAGCAACAGCCCAGGAAGCCAGCCCACTAGAAGTCAGACCTGCAGGAAGCCAGCCCGCTATCTCCAGTCAATCCAGGGAGTCTAACACCGCCCTGTAACAACCAGCCCAAAACAGCCAGAACTTGACTAATAACAGCTTCCCTAATTTTTGTCCCAGCTTCCAACTTAGAACCAACCAGAAAATCTGCTGCCCTAACTGACCACACAGGAGGCCCCGTTTCTGGTCGGCCACCCCAGCTTCCCCAAGCCAACAGCCTCCACTCGGAGTGCACCTGGAGCCTCCTCTTTTTCCACTGTGAACTTTTCCCATCCTCTGTCTGCCTGGAAATTTCTACCAAAATGCAACTGGCGATGGCTGACTCCCTTGCTGGGGCCTTTGCGTCTCTCATTTGAGTGGTCTTTGTTTATCCCCATGCTGCTTCCCATGCTACTACG
This sequence comes from Homo sapiens, assembly GCF_000001405.40. Classification (NCBI taxonomy): domain Eukaryota; kingdom Metazoa; phylum Chordata; class Mammalia; order Primates; family Hominidae; genus Homo; species Homo sapiens. Next base: position 21,503,684 of record NC_000017.11, on the reverse strand, counting down.
GATGGGCATTTCCTGCCCATCCACGAAGATTTCACGTGCGTGCCTGGGGTGGCAGCATGCCCAGGTGCATTTCTCCTGCCTCCTCCTTCTCTCTTTATCCCGCAGTCTTCCCCCTCACCCAGCTAGCCACAGGTGTCCACATGGAGCACAGTCTGAGGAGAGAGCAGGGTCAAACACAGCCCGGTTCTAGGCGGAGCTGGGTGGTGTTTGACAGGTGCCAGGTGCTCCCCCAAATGGATCTTTACATCATAAAAATGATTTTGTGCTTGAGGATGTTGCTTCAGATCCACCAAGCATAAAGTCACCACCTGAAATTAGAAAGAAAACATCCAATAAAGAGACCTTCTTCACTCCAGCATCCCTCTCCCTATGTGCCTTCTGAAGCTCCTGCAGCAGGCCTGCAGATGGGTTCAGAAACTGTTTCCAAGAGGAGCACCACACAGCTCTAACACACACACACACAAACACACACACACACACACACACACGGAGTCAACATGAGGGTAAGAATGAGGAGAGTGATGGCATGTGGTGTCTGAGAGAATTTAGTCTCGAGGATTAAGGGAAGGCTCCCCAGGTGAGTGGGAAAGGTGAGCAGTGTTCAGTCTCTCAGAGGCGTGGATGGAAGTGTCGTCCAGGCAGAAGACAAATGCACGAGGCTTGAAGCCGGAGCAAACAGATTCCATATGCAGGAGCGCAAATGGCAGGTGCTTCTATGGCAAATCCAAGAGTGAGGCAGGAAGGGTCAGGGCCTGGCATGCCAGGCCAGTGACTTCGTGGAACTAGCAAACCAAGCTAGGCAAAGTGTGGCATGTTACTTCCTTATAATATTTTTAATTAGAATAGTAATATTTTCTCTTTAATGCAAAAAATCAATAAATTCTTAAATAATACCTAGCCCAAGGCCCACTATCCAGAGACATTCATGCTGCTAGAATTTTTAATGTATCCTTCAAGAAATATTTTCTATATAAACAGAAGGCTGAGATGTATATGCCATTTTTTGTGGTCTCTTCCACCAAAACTTCCTCAAATGTATTAAGAGCACAACTCTTGAAAACATGTTCACACAGAAACGTGCACACAAATGTTCTTAGCAGCATCATTCATTATAGCCAAGAAGAGGAAACAACCCAAATATTCACCGACTGATGAGTGAATAAACAACACGTGCTCCATCCACACAATGCGACATTCACACGTGAGAAATGCCACACCATGGTGAACGCCAGAAACAGCACGTTCAGTGAAAGAAGCCGGTCATAAATGACCCCATTCATGGAAATGTCCAGAATAGGCAAATTCGTAGAAATAGAAAGTAGATGAGCAGTTGCTTAGGTCTGGAAGGGATGGGGAGCATCCTTTCAGGATGCTGAAAATGTTCTGCAATTGACTGGATAATGGCTTCACGGCTCTGTGAATATGCTACCAACCGCTGAATTGTACACTTCAGTGGTGAATTGTTTGAAATGCAAATGACGTCTCACTAAAGCTCTTATTAAGAAATACATGAGTTGATGGCACATAGCTACCAGGATTATGAGGGTGACATCGCAGGGAAGGGGCTGTGTGTGTGGAGGGGCCAGCACTGCACAGGACGTCAGCCATTGAAGGGTCCTCTGATGTAAAAATAGGAATTGTGACCTGAGTAATTAATGAGACACTGGCTGTCCTGAATGTGCAGCTAGTAAAAAAGTTGTGTAGCAGGAAGAAGCTTGGTTTTTCCATAACGGGATTTTGGCTGCTGCATAAGAGAATTGGCTGGAAGAAGCACCATTCGCAAGCGCTTACTGTCAAGAAGTAAGAAGCACAAAGCACTTACCATCAAGTAAGAGGGACAGGACTCCCAGTAAGGGGGTAGCAGAGAGATGGCGGCAAGTGGACAGATGCATGATACACTTGGGAGGCGACACTGACAGAACATGTCTCTGCGGATGTGCAAGAAGAATTAGGTAAAAGCATAGGTCATATCAGGGTATGTCAAAAACAGTGACAGGAGCAAATAGATAATCTAAATTGAGGAACGCTGATTTAAGAATTCTCAGACATGGATTATTGATGGAAAAGCCAAACTCTGTAAAATATTTGAAAAAGGTTTACTATGAGTGAATGAGTGACAGTGGCCTGGGGAAACAGTCTTGAAGGGCCTGAGGAAGCACTCCCGAGGCACTCGGGTTAGTTTGGTTGTACATATTTTGAGGAGGAAAGAGTTCTAGGCAAAGACATAAGTCAACACATGGAAGATGTACATTGGTGTGACCTGAATATGTGGGACATCTTGAAGCAGGGGTTTACAGATTATAGATGGATTCAGAGATTCTCTAATTTGCAGTTGGTTAAAGGAGTAAGCTCTGTCTAAAATTTGATGTCAGCGGAAAGGCATGTTTTAAGTTAAGGATGCTATGTAGCAAGGTTGATGGCCTGCAGGCCTGACTAAACCCTCACCTGGCATGGCCTTAGGTCTTCTTTATAATTTGGTCTTTTATTGACACAGAATCTGTCTTGTCAGTCTTAGGATCTCTAATGTTAATGCTGGACAGTTGCACCTAAACTCCAAAAGGGAAGGAGTGTAACAAGGCTTGGGATTCCCTTGGCCAAGAGGGGGTCTGTTCAGTCAGTGGGGGTGGCTTAGGATTTTATTTTTAGTTTATAGGATGGATCAGATTGTTTTTCTTTTGTCATTACAAATAAGGCTGAGGCCAAGCATAGTGGCTTACGCCTGTAATCTCAACACTTTGAGGGTTGAGGTGGGAGAGGCATGTGAGCCCAGGAATTCAAGACCAGCCTGGGCAATACAGGGGGACCTCGTCGCTACAAAGAATAAAAAAATAAAAATTAGCTAGGCATAGGAGCCTACTCATGTGGTCCCAGCTGCTCAGAAGGCTGAGGCAGGAGAACCACTGGAGCCCAAGATTTCAAGGCTGCAGAGAGCCGTTGTTGTGCCACTGCACTCCAGCCTAGGCAACAGAGTGAGACTGTGTCTCAAAAAATAAATAAATAAATAGACAAATAAATAAGGCTGAAATGAACAGCCTCATCCATATCTTTTCATGAACACTCACCAACTTTTCCTTCCAAATAGCTTTCTAAAGCTTTCGAATAGCTTATTTTTAAGTCATGCAATGACTTAACAAATTGCATGTTAGAAAGCCTGTTACGAATTTAAACTCCTGTGCTATTTTGAGATAGATATTTTGTCTTCATCCCCGTCCCCATTTCCTGGCAAAAAGCTCCTAAAACCCTTGGAATCTCCAGAGTACTAAGAGTGTCATTTGTGTGCTAATGAAATGACTGGTGGCTGGGGACCCTGGAGAGCTTCAGGATGGGGGCTGGCCACCAGAAAGACAGAGGCGGGATTAGGGAGTTGGGACTTTTAGCCCCACCTGCCAACCTCTGGGGAGACGAGAGGGACTGAAGGTTGAGCTGATCACCAATTGCCAGTGATGTGGTTGATGATGCCTCTGTAATGCCGCTTCAGTGAAAACCCACAAGGACAGGGTTTGGAGAGCTCCCAGATAGCTGAATACGTGGAGTCTGGAGGGTGGTGTGTCTGGAGCTGGTGTGGGAGCTCTGAGCCCCTTCCCAGATGCCTCACCCTGCGCACCTCTTCCATCTGCCTCTTCATTTTCATCCTTTGAAATATCCCTTGTAATAAATGAAGAAGTGTAAGTAAAGTGTTTCCCTGATCTCTGTGAGCCACTGTAGCAAATTAATCAAACCCGAGGAGGGGATGCTGGGAATCCTGATTTGCAGCCAGTTGGGCAGGAGCACAGGTCACAACCTACTACTTGTGACTGGCATCTGAAGCAGGGACAGTCTGGTGGGACTGAGCCCTTAACCTGTGAGGTCTGACACTGTCCAGGTAGAGAGTTTCAGAATGGAATTGAATTAGGAGACACCCAGCTGTTATCTGCTGAAGGAATGGTTGGTGCGGAGAAATCTCTACACTTTTTAGTGACCAGTGATCAGAGAAATACAATTATCCTTTGGTATCTTCAAAGGGATTGGTCCCAAAACTCCTCCTCTGGAAGGGTTTTGGTGATTTGGACACCAAAATTACCGGATGCTCAAGTCCCTTATATATGAAAGTATAGTATTTGCATATAACCTACACATATCCTCCACATGCTTTAAATCAGGGGTGTCCAATCTTTTGGTTTTCCTGGGCCACAATGGAAGAAGAATTGTCTTGGGCCATACATAAAATACACTAACACTAACGATAGCTGATGAGCTTTAAAAAATCGCAAAAAAAAAAATCATAATGTTTTAAGAAAGTTTACAAATTTGTGTTGGAGGGTAGGCCACAGGTTGGACAAGATTGCTTTAAATCACCTCTAGATTACTTATATCTAATACAATGTAAATGCTATGTAAATAGTTGTTATATTGTATTGTTCAGAGAATAATGGCAAGAAAAAATCTGTACATTTAGTACAGACACAATCATTCTTTTTTTTCAAATGTTTTTGAATCGAGGTTGGCTGAATCCATGGATGCAGAACCCGTGGATATGAAGGAGAGACTGTATTCTGTGTGGAATTTATGCTGAATGGAGTGGCAGAACATACATATTCAATAAACTATAGGAGGAGCAATGAATATTTATGAAAGGAGAAATGTGAATGTGCCATTGAGTTTCATGCCTCTTCATGGGTCACGTGTTCATGCGAGGGTGTAGTTTTTAGCCTCTGACATCAAAAGGTGAAGCAGGGGCCACAAACCACTCACTGTGCATCCTCTGTGAGCCAGCCAAAACTGGTCCAGAGGCGGTGGTCCATTTTAGGAAGGATGCACTGTGAAGCTGGTGACTGTCACTCCAAAACTGCAAAGAGGTAGGGTGAGTCCAGCCACGGCCTCAGATGATTGGCTACAGATGATAAAGGAATGAGTCCTGTGTTTCTTGTTTGCCAGAGCTGGTTTCTGCTTACTCCTTAGGAAAGAGTTCTGGCTAAAGGTTAATATGGAAGGGACATGGTGAAGTGTATCTGACCTCCCATCCCATCATGGCCAGGAGCTCAGTTTTTAAGGTTTCTCTGGGGCCCTTTGGCCAAGAGAGGGTTCTATCAGTCAACTGGGGGAACTTAAGATTTAATTTTTATTCCTCGGGTCAATGTAGTAGACCTTGCAACTTTAAAATAAGCATTATCAGGTCTAAGAACTCAGTGTGTGAGCACCGCTCAAGCATCACAGCCTGCTGCCAAGATGCTAAATGTTGTAAGAAAATTAATAACTTAAGGTAAAAACTGACCTCCATGAAGATGAAAAGCCTGAAGACACTGTAACTCTAGAGAAAGGAGCATGTGTCCCTGTTGCAGGGACGGCAGCGTCCATTTCAGGGCACACTGCAGGCATGCCAGAGTTTTTCAGGAGTCTGCCAGGTGTCCTGTCCTGTCACTTGAGACTCCAGCCCAGGGACAGACAGAAAACCGGAAGACAGCACCTCCTGGCCAGGATCCCAGCATCTATTTGAGGGAGACAAGATGAGAAGGAACATTGTTGTAGCAAAAATAATAGGTTCTCCACTTCCCTACACAGGAGGAAATTCCCATACCTTGATAGGAGGCAGTTCCCCTTCCTGCCCACCTTGGCACAGGCAGTCACACTGCCCACCTGTATGTTGAGGGATGGTGCAAGAGGGCAGCACTGTCTGAGTTGGGACATCCACAAGCCCCTGCTCCTGCCCACCCTTGGCTTTAGTGCTGGTCCCTCTTGGCCCTGGCCTGAGGTCCTCCACCCTTCTTCAGTTCTCCCTCTCAGGCCTCCATCATCTCACAGCTTTTCTTCCAATCTCTCCTCTTTTTTCTTTTTGATGATGTTTCAAAAGAGTCAGCACTTTGGAAGACAACTGTAGACTTGCTTTCAAATGCAGAGTGTCAGAGAGCCATGGTCTGCCCGCAGGTGGCCTGCAGCTGGGCAGAGCTGTGCCTCTGATGGCCAAGGGGGAGGTCACAGTTGCTGCTTCTGTCCTCCTCAATGCTCCTGTGACACAATTAGAACAAAGCCTTACTGCCGTGACAAAGAAGAGGCAAACTCATGCTGGTGGGTGTCTTGTCCAGAGTATGTCAGCCACCCCGTGAGTTGGCAGAGCCAATGGGCAGACACACAGGATGAGGTTACAGGAAGATGTTCTCCTGCAGCAGATCTGAGGAGACAGAGACCCCAGCAGTTGGCCCGAGAAGCTCCCACCTGCACCTCCAGCATCAACAGGCAGACAGAGCACTCCTGTGAGAGGGGACAAGGCAAGTCTGGGGGCCTTGGAAGACTGCAGGAAGAGCTGTGGAGGGTGTGAAGCAGGTTCACTAACGACCAGTCCAAGGGAGGCCTCCCACTGCATGGAGAGCTGCAGAGATCATCACTGCTCCTCCCACAAGGAATATTTGGCCTGGAATATTTGCTACTTTACACAGTATGAATCTCCCAGTTACCTGTTGGTGTGCTTTTAACTAACATGAGAAGCAGGGACTGGGTTGTTTGTTGAGTATTATGTCTTGATATTTTTTAGTTCAATTGTACGTGTTAGTAACAAGGGTAGGGGTGGAGGGTGTCCTCATGCATGGCTGCTATAAAGGTCACAAGCAATCAAAAATAGAAATAATTATTTCCATTAGTTGGGATATTATTGTAGGATGAAGGTGGAGGATGTATGCTCTGAACATGAAAAAGAGGGCTTGGATCACAGCTCTGCCTTCTGATGTTTTGTTTGTTTGTTTGGAGCTGGTGCTTGATCCTATAGGTAGAAAACAGACTTAGTGAAGTTAAGTGATTGTCCAAAATCATGCTGCTTCTTACCAGTTGGCTAGAATTCAAACCCGAGCTGACTTGAATAAGAGCCCAAATTTACACTGGTTATGTGGGAGAGGGGTTGCTTTTGTTTATTTCTCATTACTGTGAAAAGACATCTTATACTCAGTAGGGGATATAGAGTCTATTTTTATACTCTAAAAATTATAATGAAATGGACATGCATGTACCTTCACCCACTGGAGATATGCACCGGTCCACCTGCCTCTGTAGCTCTGATTTCACACTCCAGCCGCTACACTCACGTCAGCGGTGCATAGAAGAACTTCAGTTATTTCTCGTGTGAGAGTTCACCTTTTGCAAAGGCTGACAGGAAGTGGATGACAAAGAACTGAGTTTTATGTAAAAGAGAGGGAGAGGTAATTGATGGATCAAGGCTGAGCGCACCACAGGGAGGAAGGATGGAGGGCACGGGTGGAGGGGAAGGTCACCATGGCAGAGACGGGGACATCTCAGATGAGATGCCCAGAGGTGTAAGAACTCTGATAGGAAGCTGTGTGTGAGCCACATGCCTCTGCAGGCTGCAGCCCAGTTTGGATCTTACTGGTCTACGTATCAAGATATGGAGTGAGCTTACCCTCTCCAGGCTGCAATTCCTGTGAGTTTCTCTCTTCTCCTTGGAATCTGAGTTTGTTGGTTCCAGAGTAGCTTTCCGGCTGGAAATCTGGGGTGAGATGTTACCAGCCAAAGGCTGTTGGAAGGCAAATCAGGATGTTGGGTATGGGCTGGGCTGACTGCAGGACTGGACTGAGCACTGGACCCTCAGGGTATCACCCCTGGGGCAGGGTGGGCTTTGGGAGGAACACAGCCCTGGCAGGTGCCCACCTCTGCCTAGTTTGTGCTGGTTGCTATGGGAGTGAAGGGGCTGCCAAGTGGTAGCTCCAGGTGGGGCTGGCCCTCCAAATTCCAGGCCTATAATTTGTCTGGCACACATAACCCCTCATTTGAGGCTTAATTTGTTTCCCAACCCTTGGGTTTGAGAGATCTTATAAAACTTTTATTTTATTGTCATCATATTGTGACAAGTGAAGTTGTACCCCAACAAAAAATTGAGGATAAACTCCAGTTTGATGAGTTTTTCCTCCTTTTGGTGTGTTGATATCAAGGACCCTGCTAGACATATGGATTAATATCAGGTCTGCTTTTCAGACACTGACTCAGCTGGGAGAAGGGGGACACGGCCCTGGCCCAGCCAGTAGACATAATAGATATGGACCTCAGGCAGCTGCAGGCCCAGGCGCATGGGCACAGAAGTCTGTGGTGCCGGCTGAAGAGGCTGAGACTTGGAGGACAGCCAGATTCCTCCTTGCCTCTGCTTAGGATGCTGCATTCTCTAACCAGGCATGGCTGTTGGTTCTGGCCTCTGCCTGCCTCACAACTCCAGTAAGACCCCTTCCAGATTGTCCACCCGGGAGATCAGTGAGACTGGAGAGAAGGGCGGGTTATCAGAGCTGTGGGTGGAGCTTGCCTTGTAGCAAGCAACCCCAGGCCAAACTAAGCAGGACAAGCAGCACCATTGAGTGTCCCGTCGCGTGACTGGTTTCGTGTGTTGAAGAATCTGCAGCCTGGAAAACAAGTGGCAGAAATCTGAATGGCAGCATGGTCACAGACACTGGCTGTCTGAGTACTTTCAGACTGTTGTGGTACTTTCTCAAGGCTTCTGTTCCCTTACTGGTCCAATTAGAGTTGACACCAGACACACCCTAAGGTCAACTGATCCCTGTCTCTCCTGTGGATTCACTGCTACCTGGAGTCAGGAGAAGGGAGCGGGAAGCAGTCAAATCCTTCAGGGCCTTAGTTCTTGTGGACCAACATGTTAACAAGTGCAGCTGTCCCAAGCTCTTCGTTACTGTGGTAGGCAGAGCAATGCCCCCCAAAAGCTATTCCCATCCCAGGCCATGAAACCAGCGACCATGTTACATATGTGGCAATGGGGATGTGCCCCTGCATTGAGGTGAGGCTCTGGAGAAGATGTCCTGGATTTCACGGGTGGGTCCAAGATGATCACAGTGTTCCTAAAGAGGGAGGCAGGAGGGCCAGGTCATAGAAAGAGAGGTGGGCATGGAAGCAGAGGTTGGAGTGATGTGGCTGTTAGCTAGAGAATGTGGGCAGCTTCTGGAAGCTGAGATGGTGAAGAACAGTCTCCCCAGGAGCCCCCAGAAAGGAGCGCAGCCCTGCAGACAACGTGACTTTAGCCAGATAGACCTATTTGGGATTTCTCGCCTCCAGAAATGTAGCACAGACGTGTGTGGTTTTAAGCCAGTTTGTGGTATTCAGCCATAGCAGCAATGAGAAACAGACATAACTTCCATGTGATTCCTTGACAGGCCACGTGGCTCAGGGCTCCCGACTCCTTCCTGGCTTTGTTTGCTTGACTGCAAGACACAGTGGGGCTAGACACCTGCTGTGGTCTGAGTGTGGCCCCCAAAAGCATGCATTGGAAACTTGGTCCCCAGTGCAACAGCATTAAGAGGTAGGACCTTTTATTTTTTAAAATAAAAAGGTGCCATGAGGAAGAGCCAAAGTAGGTGGAATCTTTAAGACGACGTGATTAGGCCGTGAAAGCTCTAACCTCATGAATGGATTGATGCCCTTATCTCGGGAGTGGGTTAGTTATCATGGCAGTGGGTATCTCTCTCCCTCTCGCTCGCTCGCTCTCTCTCTTCTCTCTCCCCCGCCCCCGACCTTCCACCATGGGATGATGCAACAAGAAAGCCTTCCCTTACCACATGTCAGCATCTTAATACTGGACCTATCAGTCTCAAGAACTGTGAGACATAAATTTCTTTATAAATTACTCCGCCTGTGTGGTACTCTGTTGTAGTAATACAAAATGGACTAAGACAACACATAATGTTTTATAAATAAATTGTATTTGTGGGGTGCTTTTGTCTTTCCAATCTCTCCAACAAAAGACAACTTTGCAGGCCTACTTCTGTTTGCAGGCCCTCTGAAAAGCCATCTCAAAATATGCCAAGAGTATCCTTTTCCTTTTTTTTCCAGTCTTTTTTTCCAGTGCACCAAAGTATATATTGAGATAAAATATTTTTGGTTTTCTCCACTCCCCACTTTGAAACTTCAAATGTTTCACATATAAAAAGGCAAGTTGATTCCTTTGGAGATATTTAGGTTGGAGCTTGTTAGATAAGAGACAGGCAAAGAAAAGAAATGACAAATTTGAATGAGCAGAAAAGAACAAATTTAAATATTTTGTCTCAGATCTTCTTGAGACATTTCTATGGAAACAGAAGAAAAACAAAGGTTAATGTCTGGAATAGTGTATAGACTAGTTTTTCCAGAGTCGCTGAAGCATCTTCAAATTGTAGTGGTAATCTGACAGATTTTTCTGGATATTAGTTGGAATCAGGTGTTCCAACAAACTTTCTGAGTAGTCTATACATCAACAGGTACAAAGGCTGTTTACATGTAAAGTTGCTATAGTGATTTCTCCTAAAGTTTATATCAAGTTTTCTAGCGTCAATTTGCAGGGCTTTAAGAAAAGCACAGTTTTTTTTGTTTCTAGTGATTCCAAGTCAGAAAAATGTGAGAAAATGTGAGAACATTAGCTTGGAGACTTGTAGCCAGAAAAGAATTCAGGATTCAGTCCCAGTTGTAGACAAGTAATAAAAACTGAAAAACAATGGACAGGGCTAGAATAGAATAGTGGGTATACTATAGTTTTCTTCTGAAACATAGTTTTTCTCTCTCCAGTTCCCCATTTCTAACAAAGACAAATCACAATAGGACCAATTTATTCACAAAATAAGTTTTCGTTTTGTTATAATTGGCCTGATTGTTTGAATAAAGTACAGAAAAAAATGGTGATTGGCCATTCTTTTAAGTTGGCCTTGCTGGAACTTTTTCATAAGGAATTTCAGATTAGACTTTTAAAATCCTCTAAAGGCTAGGAAACCAAGCCAAGAGTTTGCCATCAGACTGCGCCTGTAATGCCTGTACAAATTTGGTGAATTCCTCCCTTCTTGAGGTCCCAATATATCTTGAGGTTCTTGGGCCCTTCAGAAAGTGACATTCTTTACTTACTGCAAGGTCCAGAACCTTGTAAGGGAACTGTGTAGACAAGGTACCTGGCCAGTCTTTCCACAAGGATTTTTATTAGATCTATAAAATCAACTTTAGTTCTGCTAAATACGCTCATCATATCTGAAAATATGCCATTCTTGTCAAAACCTTGGTAAAATAACCAGTGTCTCCAGTTATGTCCTGTTATTTTAAAAAAAACCATTCTTACTGAGCTTATGCAAATAACAGATTTCTAGAGAAATCTGGTAGAGAGAGAGATAAATGTTTCAATTTTGTTCAATTGTTAAAAGCTATGGATGGCTTAAGAGGAAATAGTTTTCTTGATTCTGGAAAACAAAGCATAGAAAGAATCCACAATGTTTCAAACCAAAGAGTCGAGAAAAAAAAATGTTCAGTCCTCTATCAGTTCAGTCCCATGTAATTAACTCTTGTTCTGCTTGATGTTGGGTTAGCAATCTTCAGGAACCCATCACCTTCTCTTATCAGAGTTCTGGAAGTTTTTGCCTAGTCCAATGGTATGATATCCAAACTTACCGGAAATCTGTATCCAAGAGTACTTGTCAAGGACTTTTTGATAAATTTCCTTGAAGAAGAAGCAAGCTTTTGACTATAATAAATCATAAACTGCTTTCTGAGAAGAGTCAAAGTAAAACAAAAATTATCTGTGGATGACAAAAGACTTAAAATAACCAGGGTTAAAGACACAAGTGACAAGGAAATTTGGTTACTTCTGTGACATTCAGCAATTTAATATAATAATCATAATTATTACTGATAACACATATGAAGACATATCAGAATTTTAGTAACCCCATACCATTTAGGAACACATATTAATAACACATTTTTATAACTACAACTCAAAGAAATTTAAATACAATTTCTTATGTGGCCAGTCTTTCCATATGATTTTTGCATACCAAATAAGACTAATACGTCCCTCTTGGACTTCCAGGAGTTCTTCATGAAAATACTTACTTTCATAATTTCAAATTAGATTTTGGGAAGTTTTCCAAATATCAACAGTTTAAAACACTTGATAAAAAACAGGATGAATCACACGCCACTATAAAGTAATAGTCATTCATTAGTGATGATTACCCCAAGTGATAATGTAAAGATTTTTAAAACCAAAAACTTTTACTCTTTGATAGAAGGGAGACTCTGTTTCCCAAATAATCAAAAGACCTAATGAAGACAGCATGAAGCAAACAAAATCCATCTCTCTCCTCTTTTTTGTGCAGTTTACTTACAAGGAAAACAAAAATCATTTACTATCGCTTATTAATACTACATGAAAATCATGTTTAAAAGAGAAAAACAAATTCTGCCTTTGCAACGGTGTATTAATGCTAAAGCTAATTTTAATAAAATCTTATAAATAGATCCCTTCAATCTCAGTTTTGATCACATAAAATAAGATTTTCATAAACCTTTTATAACTTCTTGCATTTTTTCTATTTTCTTTTCCCCCCCGCTATCCATTCAGTTTTATGACTGTAAAACACCTAACAGAGACAGTAAAAACCTGCCTAATTAGACCCAGGCAAAAATGTCTAAATTAAATTCTGAAGATGTTTCTGTTTTATTTACTTTTCTTTTTATTTATTTATTTATTTTTAGAGACAGGGTCTCGTTTGTTACCCAGGCTTGAGTACAGTGGTGCAATCATAGCTCGCTGCAGCCTCCAACTCCTGGGTTGTAGCTGAGATGACAGGCATGCACCACCACAACCAGCTAATTTTTTTTTTTTTTTTTTTTTGAGACGGAGTTTCGCTCTGTCACCCAGGCTGGAGTGCAATGGCATGATCTCAGCTCACCGCAACCTCCGCCTCCCAGGTTCAAGCGATTCTCCTGCCTCAGCCTCCCTAGTAGCTGGGATTACAGGCATGTGCCACCACACCAGGCTAATTTTGTATTTTTAGTAGAGACGGGGTTTCTCCATGTTGGTCAGGCTGGTCTCGAACCCCCGACCTCAGGTGATCCGCCCACCTTGGCCTCCCAAAGTGCTGGGATTACAGTCATGAGCCATCACGCCCAGCCCACAACCAGCTAATTTTTTACATTTTTTTGTAGAGATTGGAGTCTTGCTATGTTGCCCAGGCTGGTCTCAAACTCCTGGCCTCATGTGATCCTCCTGCCTCAGCCACCTAAAGTGCTGGGATTACAGATATAAGCCACCATGTCTGGCCCTTCTATTTTACTGTAGCAATAACTTAAAAACTATCTTTATGGCTCGGCATGTAGCGCATGCCTTTAATCTCAGCACTTTGGGAGGCTGAGGCAGGTGGATCACTTGAGACCAGAGTTCAAGACCAGCCTGGCCAACATGGAGAAACCCTGTATCTACTAAAAATAAAATAAAATAAAATAAAGTAAAATAAAATAAAATAAAATAAAATAAAGTGCCAGGAGCGGTGGCACATGCCTGTAATCCCAGCTACTTGGGAGGATGAGGTATGAGAATTCCTTGATCTTCGAAGGTGAAGATTGCAGTGAGCTGAGATTACACCACTGTATATCAGCATAGGTGACAGAGTGAGACAGTCTCAAAAAAGAAGAGAAACTTTTTTTTTGGAGACAGAGTCTTACTCTGTCACCCAGGCTGGAGTGCAGGGGCACGATCACAGCTCACTGCAGCCTCGACTACCCAGGCTCCAGAAATCCTCCCAGCTCAGCCTCCTGAGTGTCTGGGACTACAGGCCCATGCCACAACACCTGGCTAATTTTTGTAGTTTTGTAGAGACAGGATCTCACTTTGCTTCCCAGGGCTGGTCTCGAACTCCTGGGCTCAAGTGATCCTCCTGCCTCAGCCGCCCAAAGTGCTGGGATTACAGGAGATTGTACCATTGGATCTTTTTTTTTTTAAACAAAGATACTGCCTCAAGTGGCTCACCAAAACCAATAAGGCTTAATCAAGATTATGACTTAACCAAGGACACATGAGGCATCTCCAGAGAGGAGCACAGCAGTCCTCACCAGATCCAGAACCACCTCAAAGACAGCTCAAAGAAAGGAAAGTTTTGCTAGCCACAAATGGGGTACAACCCACATCTGCCAGTCATATCTTCCAGGGTCTCAGCCTTTCAGCTGACCATATACACACAAAAGCCTAAGAGCCCCGTGTAACCCCTCAAACAGGAGATGACAGAAAACCAAAAGCTGTCTATGGAAGGGGAAAGGATCAATGACAAGTGGGTACGCCACAAAGTCAAAAGTCACACAAATATCAAACCAAAAGCGACTGGCTTCCTGACCAGGACCTGCACCCAGGCCATGGCAGTGAATGTGTGGAATTTTAACAACAAGACTGCAAGGTGGGGCCAGGTGCAGTGGCTCACGTCTGTAATCACAGCACTTTGGGAAGCCGAGGCAGGCAGATCACGAGGTCAAGTGATTGAGACCATCCTGGCCAATATGGTGAAACCCAGTCTCTACTAAAAATACAAAAATTAGCTGGGCATGGTGGCACATGCCTGTAATCCCAGCTACTCTGGAGGCAGAGGCAGAAGAATCGTTTGAGCTTGGGAGTTGGAGGTTGCAGTGAGCCGAGATTGTGCCATTGCACTCCAGCCTGGGTGACAAGAGTGAAACTCTGTCTCAAGAAAAAAAAAAATAGACTGCAAGGTGGAGTGGCTGGCACTGCAGATTCCACAAGGGACCCAGGGCAGGCATTTGGAGCATATGAAGGATTTTAGCTTTGTTTCAGGTCAGACTTTTGCTCTTTAACCTCATCAAGAGGATTTCTAAGGCAAGCCATGACACTATGATGTGTCTTTTAATTTAATCTTCCAATGAACATAAATAAGGCAGTTGTTTAGAATAAGAAATCTCTAAACTATTTTTTGTAATTTAGAGGTCTTTCTGACTTAAAGAATCCATCTTTTGGCTGCTAATGGCTAGAATTTCCAATGATGTACTTACTCTAATAGCAACTCCATCCCACAGCCTCTTCATGGAAAGCCCCGGATGTGGTTTTTCAGGCTTAGAGTAGGCTATTACCATTTAAGAAAGACTTGTTTCCTGAAGAGGGTGAGGATAGGCAGTTCCAAAGATCCCTCCAGTAAAATTCACTCCTAGAAACAGGCTCAGATAGGAAGAGACTTTTTTTAATTTTAACCCACAGTTTTTATTGGTTGAAGTAATAAAATAAAAATTAGCTCCTTAGTTCCTATTTCTTGTCTATTGTTTTTCTTTCTTTTTAAAATTTAATTTAATTTAACTTAGTTGTAAGTTCCAGGATACATGTGCAGGACATGCAGGTTTGTTACATAGGTAAACATGTGCCATGGCGGTTTGCTGCACCTACCAACCCATCACCTAGGTATCAAGCCCCGCATGCATTAGCTATTTAACCTGATACTCTCCCTCCCCACCACCGACAGGCCCCAGTGTGTGTTGTTCCCCTCCCTGTGTCCATGTGCTCTCATTGTTCAGCTCTCACTTATAAAGGAGAACATGCAGTGTTTTGTTTTCTGTTCATGTGTTAGTTTGCTGAGGATAATGGCTTCCAGCTCCATCCACGTCCCTGCAAAGCAACGGACTCTGTTGCCACACATGGTTAGGATGGTGTTTGTGTACACAGTGCCTCTGGTGACCCACACATTTCTGGGGACACCCATCAAAGACCCCTTAATTCATGACACTGGACAGCTCTCCTAGGATGGGACTTTCCCAGGACTATCCAGGCAACAAGGGCCAGACCACAAAAATTCCTTATGGATGGGACTTCTTATTAAGACAAACATTCCCAACAGCTGGACACATTCAGAGCAAAAAGTGTGCTGCCTAAAACCTTGTATCTCAGGTTCCCAGGCATCTTCAGACTGAACACCTGATGGGACCCAAAAATCACACCCCAGATGGTAGAAACAAGAGACAGTGCTCCCACTTGTCACAAGTCAAACACTCCAGGGCATAAAACAAGATGAGAGGGGTCCTCATCTGGCTTCTATTTTGTTTTTGTTGTTGTTTTGAGACGCAGTCTCTCACTCTGTCACCCACGCTGGAGTGCAGTGGCATGATCTTGGCTCACTGCAACCTCTGCCTCCTGGGTTCAGGTGGTTCTCCTGCCTCAGCCTCCTGAGTAGCAGGGATTACAGGTGCTCGCTACCATGCCTGGCTAATTTTTGTATTTTTAGTAGAGATGGGGTTTCACCATGTCAGCCAGGCTGGTCTTGAACCCTTGACCTCAAGTGATCTGCCCACCTCAGCCTCCCCAAGGACTGGGAGCCACCGCACCTGGCTTGGCTTCTATTTTGAGGACCCACAGCAAAGTTTGAATGCCCATCTGATCTCAGCCGCAGACTGGCTGCTCTTCAGGTCTGGCCTGAACAATGGGCTGGCAGGATCTTCAGCCCCCATTCTACCCTACAAGTCCTCTCCTCAGGACAGAACACAGGAAGACCAAGACAGAGGAGAAGAATCCTCCTGGAAGGAAGGGCACTAAACAATATGAATATTCACACCAAAAAGTACACCAGAGTCGCTGCACCCAACATTGTTCACACAGATCCTTTCTCACACTAATCAACATCTTGCAGAGGAAAAATGACTGATTTTTACCATCTGCTCACCTGGATTCCACAGAGAGACCAGCCAGAAGCCTGGCTGGTAAGAATTTGTTACCCTTCTGCCAGCTTGTCAGGTCCTGGGTCCCCTGACTGAAGCTTCCAGAAGAGCAAAGCAGCTTTGGTATTCTGTTCAGGACACCAAAACTGTAGGGGCCAAAAGAAAACCTCCACTTTGCCCTTGAAAAGTTCACTGAAAAATCAACTCACAAAAGTCAGATTAATTGGAGAAATGGCATGCACGTTTATTAATGTGCAGATGGAGAAGGACCAGAGCGATGATCCCAACCCCACAATGGTGTGCAGAAGCTTATTTACCGCCTTGAGATTACAGAAGGAACAGAGGCTGGGATGACAGCAAGACAGGTTAGGGGAGAGGGAGGAGGAGGCCTGGCTGGCAAAGGTGGTCTCAGAATGCAGACAGAACCACACAGACAGCAGTCCTCGGAGAGAATAGATGGTAAATGTTTCTTTCTGATGGCTAAATATGTCAGACTGTGAGGGACTCCTTCCTAGATCCAGACAAGGGAAGGCTTCAGAGGAAACTTGCCTGCGTCAGTGCGGATTCTCTACAGATGCAAACCTTCCCCTCAAAAGACAGCTTTGCAGGGCTGCTTCTGTTTGCAGGCCCCTCTAAACAGCCATCTCAAAATGTGTCCAAATATATTATGGGGTGAAATATTTTGGTTTCCTTCAACTACATCCTTACTACTTAGTTCAATGCAATTTCTCTTAGCCATGAACTCTTCAAGTCTTCTTTTTTGCCTGAAAAGGTTTTGATTCAATTCATAATCTTGAGTGATCACTATGTAAGCAGATAAATCTTGGTTGACAGTTATATTTCCTCAGTATATTAAAGAAACCTGGCTGGGTGCAGTGACTCATGCCTGAAATCCCAGCACTTTGGGAGGCCAAGGTGGGTGGATCGCTTGAGCTCAGGAGTTTGAGACCAGCCCGGGCAACATGACGAAGCCCTGTCTCTCCAAAAATTACAAAAATTAGCCGGGTGTGGTGGTGCATGCCTGTAGTCCCAGCTACTCAGGAGGCCGAGATGGAAGGATCCCTTGAACCCAGGAGGTGGAGGTTGCAGTAAGCCTGAGATCACACCACTGCACTCCAGCCTGAGCAACAGAGTGAAACTCTGCCTCAAAATAAATAAATAAATCTTTCCATGGTTGTTGTGTGGCTGTTGAGATATCTGCCTTGTCTACATTAATTTCTCTAATTTTTCCTATCTTTTATTTTGATGTAATTTCAGACACTTTAAAAGTTGCGGCCGGGCGTGGTGGCTCAGGCTTGTAATCCCAGCACTTAGGGAGGCTGAGGCAGGTGGATTCCCTGAGGTTTGAGACCATCCTGGCCAATGTGGTGCAACCCCGCCTCTACTAAAAATGCAAAAATTAGCTGGGCATGGTGCGGGGTGCCTGTAATCCCAGCTACTCAGGAGGCTGAAGTAGGACAATTGCTTGAACTCAGGGGATGGAGGTTGCAGTGAGCTGAGATCGCACCACCGCACTCCAGCCTGGGCAACAGAGCAAGACTCCATCTCAAAAAAGAAAAAAAAAAGTTGCAATAGTAGTGCAAAAAAAATCCATTTATGATTCCTTCAGATTCCTCTCATATTAACATTCAACTACATTTGCTAAATTCTCTTCTCTTGGTGCAGATGTAGAATACTATCACTATTTTCCTAGACCCTGTGAGAGTCAGTTGCAGACATGATGCTCCTTTACCTACAAGTATTGAGCGTGTGTTTCTGAAACCAAGGGCAGCTCTTACATTATCACAGTACAGTGATCAAAAACAGGAAATCTTCATTAACACAATACAATTCTCAGACCTTCACATCTTCTTCGGATTTTGCCAACGGTTCCAATATTGTTTTTATAGGGGAAGAAGATCCTGAACCATGCCTTCATTCAGTTGTCTCATCTGGAACTGTTCTGCAACCTCTTTGATTTCTTGATATTGATGTATTTCCAGATACAGGCTAGTCATTTAATAGAACGTCCCTCCATTTGGTTGCCTGATACGTCCTCACATTGAGAATCAGGTTTTGCACTTTCAGCAGGAACAGTACAGAGGGGATGCCGGGCTTTTTCAGTGCAACCGCTAACAAGAAACATGAAGCCAGTTTCTCCCCTGCTGTGAGGGTGAGGTGGGCTTTCTCCCTGGACTGCAACCACCTGGGTGAGTGTGTTTTATAAAATTATGCTTTCTCCACTGTAACCTTCTCCCGTTTCCATTTCTGAGTGCAAACTATCTTGTGGGTGGATACTTTTGAGATTCTGGGTCTCTTAAACATTAATTTTGGTTGATTTACTTCAGTATCACAATACTTCTGCATATTATCTACTTTCATTTATTCTTGGCACTCATTGTGGTTCTGGAATCTAAAGATCAATAGTTTTCATCAATTCCAGAAATTCCTTAGCCATTATCCCTTTGAATAGGACCGTTCTCTCATTATCTGCATTTTCTCCTTTTGTAATTATTGTCAAGCATATTTTGCATATTCTCATTTCAATTCTCCAGTCTCCTGATGATCTTTCACAGTTTGCAAATCTTTATTGCTATATATTCTAGACAATTCCACATATGGATATTCTTATAATTTCTATCATCATCTGAGGCTAATCTGTTGTGTTTTAATTTTTAACTTCACTGATTTCACTATTCTGTTGTGTTTTAATTTTTAACTTCACTGATTTCACTATTCACTTCCAGAAGTTCCCCCTTGGTGTTTCAAACAAACCTGTCTTCTGTGATGGCAATGTGGTATTTTCTAGTGACTGCAGCCATTCTTACCTATCTTTAATCCTTTTAAACCTAGTTAAAAGATTGCCTTCTTCCATGTTCCCTCTGAATGTTATCAGCTTCACATTGCTAAGGTTTTTGAGGTATAATTGACAAAGTGAGGTGTAATTGCTTTATTGAAGTATAGTTGTCTAAGGTTGTATACATTTAAGGTGATGTGATGATCACAGTGTGATGTTTTGATCTATGTATATATTGTGAACCCATTACCACAACCAAGCTAATTAACACATCTGTCACCTCACACAGTAAGCTTGTGTGTGCGTGATGAGAACCTTAAGATATGCTCTCAGCAAATGTCAAGTATTATTAACTATAGTCCCCATGCTGTATATTAGATTCCAGAACTTATTCGTCTTGTAACTGGGAGTTTGTGCTTATTTATTTATTTATTTTTGAGATGGAGTCTGGCTGTGTCACCAGGCTGGAGTGCAGTAGCATGATCTTGGCTCACTGCAACCTCTGCCTCCTGGGTTCAAATGATTCTCCCACCTCAGCCTCCTAAGTAGCTGGGATTACAGGTGCGCACCACCATGCCCAGCTAATTTTTGTACTTTTAGTAGAGATGGGGTTTCACCATGTTGGCCAGGATGGTCTTGAACTCCTGACCTCAGATGATCTGCCCTCCTTGGCCTCCCAAAGTGCTGGGGATTACAGGTGTGAGTCACCGCACCCAGCCAGAAGTTTGTACTTTTTGATCAACATCTCCCCATCCCCTCCACTCCCAGCCCCTGGCAACCCCTGTTCCCCTCTCTGCTTCTGTGAGTACAATTTTTTTAGATTTCACATCTAAAAACAGGAGTTAGGGGAGATTGTGCAATACAGTCAACCCTTGAACAATGTGAGAGTTGGGGGTGCTGACACCCCCATACAGTTGGAAACGTGTGTATAACTTTTGACTCCCCAAAAACTTAACTATTAGTAGCTTACTGTTGCCTGGAAGTCTTATGTGTTAACGTAAACCATTGATTAACACATTTTGTATGTTATACATATTATACACTGTGTTCTCATGGTAAAGTAAGCTAGAGGAAAGAAAATGGTATTAAGAAAACCATAAGGAAGAGAAAATCTGTTTACTATTCATTAAGTGGATCATCATAAAGGTCTTCATCCTCATCATCTCTAGGTTGAGGAGGCTGGGGAGGAGGGAGAAGAGGAGTTGATCTTGCTGTCTCAGGGGTGGCAGAGGCAGAAGAGGTGGAGGAGGTGGAAAGGAAGAGGCAGGAGAAGCAGGCCCCCTTGCTGTAACTTTTTTTGAGAAAAATTCACGTATAAATGGACCCACACAGTTCAAACTTCTGCTGTTCAAAGGTCAACTGTATCTGCCTTTCGGTGTCTGGCTTATTTCACTCAACATAACATCCTCTGGGTTCATCCACAGTGTCACAAAAGGCAGGATTTCCTTCTTTTTTAGGGTGAATGATATTCTATTATCTCATTATATGTACATCACATTTTCTTTTTCCACTCATCCGTGTGTGTACACTGAAGAAGTTCAGGAAATTCCTTCCCCCCACCCAGAATATGCCAATTTGATGTGTTGATTGCTTCAAACTGAGGGCAGTGGTGGAGGAGCAAATGCAGGGAGGGTTTTCTCTGGTTCTCCCTCATCTGTCGAAAGACAGATCCTCCAAAGGGAGCACAGCTGGCATGAATCCCCTCCCTGGGAATCTCGTCAACAAGGGAAGATTGGTTCATGTCACAGCAGCCCAGACAGACCTCGTCACAGCTGTCCCTTTCTCATTATTCATTCTTCCAGGGATCCATTTATCTTTCACCAAAGTCATTTACTCTCCCTTCGGTTCCCTTTGTCTCCTCTCTTTCTCCCCTTTGCAGAAAAATACATAAGCTTCCGGCCTCACTGGGTGTTGCATTTCACGTTTCTTTCATGTGATGCCTCCCATGCCCACATGAAAATTTGTAAGCCTTATTCTCCTGTTAATCTGCCTGCTGCCCATTTATTTCACAGACTCAATTATCAAACCCTCTGAGGGTAGAGGGAAAGCTTTTCCTCCCCACAACACCTGGGTTGATTCCGTTTTTCAGCTATTGTGAATATGCTGCAATGAGCACGGGGATGCAGACAACTCTTCAACACCCTGAATGCATTTCCTTTGGATATACACCCAGTAATGGAGTTGCTGGGTCAGATGGTGGCTCTATTTTTAGTTTCTTGAGGAACATCCATGCTGTTTTCCACAGTGGCTGTACTAACTTACATTCCCACCAACAGTGTACAAGTGACACTGTACCGTGGTCTGCTATACCCTCCTTTTCTGGCTTTGACATTTTGTCTGCGGTGCACTCCTCAAATGAGTTCCATGGCATGTCTTGTTCCTGTTTTCACTGGAACATACTGCATGCCATGAGGATTATTTCTTTGTGGAGGCCTGGTCATACTTGGTTGAGTAGCAGAAGGATCATCTGCCTTTTAGAAGCAGATGTTTGACTTCAAGTTTAAAATCTTCTGTAATTACTGATCAAATTAACATCTCCACGATACTAGTTAACACTTTTCTTAAAACGTCTTTTGTTTCCTAGTAGTTTTTCTACATTTTTGCACAAAATTATTTCATTTTAATTACCCTTAATTTACTTTAAATTTGGAAGTGAGCTTTCTTTTCAACAATCCATAAATGGTTTTTTGTTATTTTCTCTTTTTTCTTGTTCATATTTTCCCAACATTGTCCATTATGTATTTCCTTATAGTTAACCAGATTTATTTCTCATCAATCTAATTTGTTTTATATTTTAATCAATTTATCTTTTATCATTATGAATTTCTTTTTTTTCTTACTTTTTTTTTTTTTTTGAAACGGAGTCTTGTTCTGTCACCCAGGCTGGAGTACACTGGTGCTATCTTAGCTCACTGCAATCTCTGCTTCCCAGGTTCAAGTGATTCTCCTCCCTCAGCCTCCTGAATAGCTTGGATTATAGGTGCACACTACCACAACCAGCTAATTTTTGTATTTTTAGTAGAGACGGGGTTTCATCATGTTGGCCAGGCTGGTCTTGACTCCTGGCCTCACATGATCTGCCCACCTTGGCCTCCCAAACTGCTAGGGTTACAGGCGTGAGCCACCACACCTGGCCATTTTATCATTATGAATTTTTGTTCTACTTTTTCTTTCTTTCTTTTTTTTTTTTTTTACAGATTTTAGTCTTGTTCCACTTTTTGTTTACCTAACTTCTTCAGTTAACGTTAGCTTATTAAAATGTTAAATTTCTTAGGAAATGGTAATCTTCAGAGGTTAAAAAGATTTAAATTTCTTATTATTCTCACAAATGCACCTAAAACTATACAGCTACACATTTTTTCTCTTAGAACAGCTTCTATTGTATTCTGAATATCTTCTTATGTTGTACTTTCAATCCTAGATACCTTCTTCTCTAAACTTGGTAGGATCTTCTGAAAGTAGGAGCAGAATGGGCTTTATAGTTTAAAAGGTCCACTGCTGTCCAGGGATGTGAATTCTTTGAGGAGGGAGTTACTGCACAGGGAGGTCTGGAGCTGAGGGAGTCTGATGACAAGGCCCTGGGGTGTAGGAGAGGGCGCAAGGCACAGCAAAGCCAGCCTCACTGCTTGTCCCTGGAGCCTGTGCCAGGTCTACTTCCTGGCTGCCAGCTTTTCCACAAATGCCCTGTGTGCCTCGCACTTTCAGATCAGACTGAAAGCTTTCTGTAGGTCACGCCAGGAAAGGGAGGTTAAGCAGGCAGCTGTCTAAGGGGTTTGGGGGAAGCTGGGGGGAGTCACAGGATTTTGTTGAGGAGAGAGAGGTGAAGAAGATGGGGCTGGGTGTTGGGGAGGAAGGTTCAGACTGGAGATCTAGAAATCCATTGGATCCTCTGGTGGGTCAGGGACGAGAGTTGGAGGTGTTGGGGGTATAAGTGGGTGGAGGAGGATTTATGGTGGGAGTGGATTTCAATGTCTGCTCTAGGTCAGCTTTTGGTTCCTTAATTTTGTTAAGGGATGTTTTAAGACTAACCATAGTACATTCTGTGTTCCTCAGTGTGATCTTCCCATAGATGCCAACAGACCAGTTGTTTAGAACGAGCACTCTCTAACATGTTTTAAACACAAATCCATCTCTGGCCGTGGCCAATTCAGATCTACGCCGGTGCATATGTTCCAGTAGTGCCTTAATCTGCCTTTCCAGGGAAAGGCCAGGAGGTGGCTTCCCATCATTACCAGAACGCAAGGCGTCTTCCTGCAGTACGTGCAGAAAAGGCAGCCCGTCATCCAAAAATTCACTCTCAGAGATGGATGAAGAAAGCAAAGACTTGCGTTGCCACGTGCAGGTAGGGAGAGTGCTTGTGCAGACCACACCTCCAGTCTCCCGTGGAAGCTGAGATGCCTTCAGCCTCAGGTCCACTCACTGTGACACTGGGCAGGTGATACTGGAATGGGAATCTCCCAGCACTAATCAGGGCAACAAGGATAAGATGAAGAAAGCCCTTATGAATTGGCGTCTTACAACAAAACTCCGTGAGCGCTTGACACATACAGACAGAGAGAGTGCCACCTGGGCCTCATGCGTCTTGAGTCCCCAGTCTGGTCAGACTGCTGCCTGACACAGAGCCACACTCTGTGCCCCTCAGATGGCGGAGACCAGAGAGGCGTCCTCCTTGTCACACAGCCAAGCTCTCAGGACATAAAACGAGGCGAGAGGGGAACCCCATCCCTTTTGTTTTTTTGTTTCAGGGACCCACAGCACAGTTTGCTTAGGCAGACATGGGTCTGACAAGTGCCACAAACCCAAGCGCTGGGGACCCAGCAGACTTTGAAGGACCTGTGCCTGTGTTCTCTACCTGACGCTTCCTCTCCTTATGACAAATGGCAGGAAAAAGACAGAGACAAAGGAAAACAAAGACCATCTCTGAGATCAAAAGGATCAAATAGAAACCTAGAGAACTCACAAAAACACTAAAAGTCGCTTTTTACCCAAAGAATTAGTTCACAAATGTTTTATCCTGTCAATCTCAATTTAGAGACAGAAAAAGACACAAATCTTTTATCCTGTCAATCCCAATTTAGAGAGAGAAAAAGACACAGACAGCAGAGACCTGGAAGGCTGGCAGTAAGAACCCTGCCTTTGCTGGCTCGGGTCAGAGGTCCCGGGTCTTAGCTGCAGTAGCTCCAGAATAAGCAGCGTCCTAGCCTGTGAGGGAGGGCCCCGGGCTCTGCGCCACGTTCTGCAGAGACCCAGAGATCGCCTCCAACCCCACTTAGCTCTTACATGGGATCCTTGGCTGGAACCTCGGCTAGAAACCAAATTGAAACCAAGCATATTAACAAGAGAAAAGCATAAAAATTGTATTATATTAAAGGTACATGGGGATCTTCCCAAATTAGTGACGTCTGAAGAAGTAGCCAAAGCAAGATGCTTTTGTACTTTTTAGACAAAGAATAATAAATTTGAGAAGAAATGACAAGGCCAAGCAGAATCTGGCTAGGGACAGTAAATTTCCAGGGGAGCCTCTAGGTGATATGCAGGAATATAAAATCAGTGGGCAACACGGCTTACTTCGTGAAGTACATTTACTCGGGTCCGTTGCTACCCCTAATCCCCAGTCTCTGGTGCTAAAGGCTCTCTTCTTGCCCTTGTGTGGGGGTGCCGCCCCCAGAGGAGTCTTTATGGCTTGCTACATGCAGGAAGAGGCAGGTCAGCTCACCCTTTCTAAAACTACAATTTCTCTAATGTTTTTAACATAAAATTATCAATATACCAATTGGGCATATTTTGGGATGGCATTCACTCCTTCAAGGGAAAGGTGGGCTGGGGAGGTGCGGGGTCAGGTGAGGATGTGGTGAAAGACTCGGTGGGGTATGGATGGAAATGGGCTCTAGGGGAAGAGGGAACAGGCATGGAAGGGGTGAGGAGAGAGAGGGCCATGAGCCATGGGTCTGGAGGCAGAGAGGCAGGCACTGGTGCAGGTGATGAAACCTCACATGAGGGGCGGCACAGGTCAGGGGGAAGGTGGAGGCCACTGGTGAGGAGACCGGGGGTCGGGGTGGACAACTCCATAGATCCCAAAGGTGATGGGAAAGAGCAGCATCTTCCCTGGCTTCCCACACAGCAGCATGTTGGCCCCCAGGGATAGTCCATCACCCCCCTGGGCAGGGCTCACACTTCTGACACCCAGACTCTAGAATACTCCTCCATCCCCACCCAGGGCAGATCCCTGCCCTAGAAGTTCTCTCTCTCATGTCTGGCAAATGCTGCATAGAGCCCTGGAATTCCACAGGGCAAGTTAGGAAGAGGGACAGCTGAAAAGAGGAAGTAATCACCTTCCCCAAAGAGAAGTTCAGTCCAGTACCATCTTGTGCCCCTGGGCAAGCTCTCCAGGCTGAGGGAACAGGAGCAGGGGTTATGTTGGGCAAAGGTGGAAGCAAGGGACCTCCCAGGAAGTGCTGTAGAATGTTCCAATGGGGACACCTCATACCCTTCCAGGATTAGACCTTGAAACCTGGAGATCCCAGGAAATTAGTATTCAAGGTTGAAGGGCCAGCGACAGGAATAGGAAGGCCCACTGTGTCATTCACAAAGCACTTCCAAACACATCACCCCAGGTGACCCTCACAACAACCCCGTGAGATCTGCAGGGCAGGGGCTCCCACAAAGAAGGAGTCGGGAATGTCGGGATTTTAACACTTTCTCTAAGTCAGAACCAGGAAATGCTGTCCCAGCACCAACCTATATTCCCTAGGCTTCCTCCCACACTACAGCTTAAGGTGACTGCTGCCTCATGGGCAGAGACCCTCGCTTTCCAATCCCTACAAGGGGCTGTGCAGGGGGGAGGATGAAGCCCCTCCTCTGACTGTCTCCTCTAAGATCCTGTTTTCTGAGGAAAGTCACTCTGGGAACTGTCGGCCTCTGCAAATGGGAGCCCGGACCTCATGGAAAGAAGATGTGAAGGTCACACCTGGAAGGGACCAGCGCTGGAGAGCAAACCTCACCTTTTAAAATTCCCAACTTGCATGTCCTCTTGCCACTGCATTGGTGCTGACTTCTAAAGGAGCAGCGGACGTGAAAAAGTTGACTTTCTTCTAGGTTAACTTCATGAAGATTGCTAAAGTGATGAAAATATTTATCCTATTCTCTATAAAGCTCCAGCGAATACAGTTTTCTGCACATGCTTATCAAGGTATCTTTCAGCCAGGAGCCCTCTGCTGAGGAACAGCAGAAGGCCCGGGAGGGGTGCTGGACCTGCTGGGGTGGGAGCAGGGGGAGAGCTGACTGTTTTGTCCCGTCCTGAGTGCAAGAGTCATCTGTAACCCTTCCACAGCCTGTGATGCGGGCCTGGAGCTCTGCACTGAGCAGCACGTTCTCTGTGCCCAGTTGGTCTCATCTGGGACGCACATGTCGCTTCTGGAAACAGTTGAACACAATCTGATCAGAGTCTTTCATGGGTCAGCGTTGCTCCAGGCCAGCCCAGCACAGTCAGGAGCCTCGGCCCAGGCACGCCCAAGAAGGGAGGGTGGCTAGTGCCCAGGTGCTGGGGACCTGCTCTTTTTGGGTGCTCTTAATTCTGTTAAGAAGCCAGTCCATGGCCCCGATGTCGTGGTGTTTGGGGCTTTACCCTGGCATCCTGAACACACCCAGGTAGCTGGGTGTGAGCACTGGAGAGAAGCCCCGGTCCCCACTCTACCTCCTGCCCTGCCCAAGCTGCTCCCCTGGACTGATAGTGTTCTAGTCTCTCCTGAGCATTCTCATTCGTGGGGCCCCTGGGGTCCAATGGTCAATTTAGGAGCCCATCTAAAGAGACTAGGGGCTGGCTTTAGGGTTCCCTTACAGATGAATTGGTAAATATGGATGGCAGTGGATGCAGTTGCATGACAGAAAGCACATCCCAACCCCACACAAAATAATGAGAAATGGAACCAAAGTCCCAGGGCTCTCCAAGCACAGAAGAAGCCACCAAATATTCTGCATCTCCATCATCTGAAGTGAGCTGACACCTCGGCAGCTGGGCACAGAGAACGTGCAGCTCAGTGCAGAGCTCCAGGCCCGCATCACAGGCTGTGGAAGGGTTACAGATTACTCTCGCACTCAGGAGGGGACAAAACAATCAGCTCTCCCCCTGCTCCCATCCCAGCAGGTCCAGCACCCCTCCCAGCTTCCAGGCCCCATCACCCTGCTGCCACTACCTATTTTCTGTCTCCAAATTTACATTACTGTAAGTTCCTTTTCACTCTGTCCATGATCCAGACATTAACAGGGATCCCCTCAGAGAAACAGACTTGGATCCCAGCTTTGGAGGTCTGAAGATCTCTAGGATTTTTTTTCTAATTCTCAGGCACTAAAACAAATTTTTTTGAAAGTATAACACACAGATGGAAAGCACAAATATCTTAAGCGTACAATGCAATGGATTCTCACAAACAGTACACTACGAGAGTTGAACTCATGCCAGAAAATGGGCTCACCCCAGGACCTGGAAGCCTCTCTAGGGCCCCTTTCAAGACGTCACCTATGCCACACCTCCCCTCCACCACGCTCTCCTGACTTATGATTTTTCCAGGCACAATTTTATAGTTTTCCTGTGTTTTCACTCAACTAACATTTACAGTAATCTTCTGAGATAAACACTGCACTATCCCCCGTTGCAGATGGGAAGCTGGAAGCACAGACGCTGGTTATCTGTCAGGTGCCCACTGCTAAGGGCGGAGCCAGGGTCCCATGCGGAAGCTCCCTGCAGAGCCACATTCTTGAACCATTGAACTGCTCTGTGAAAAGCGCTTTGGCTGCCTGGGTGCGGTGGCTCACACCTGTAATCTCAGCGCTTTGAGAGGCCAAGGTGGGATGGTTGCTTGAGTCCAAGAGCTCAAGACCATCCTGAGCAACACACCAAGACCCTGTCTGTTAAAAAATAATAATAAAAATAAATTAATTAATTAAATTAGTGGGTGTGGTGGTGCATGCCTGTGGTCCCAGCTACTGGATTAGCTGAGATGAGAGGAAAAAAAGAAAAAGCTCTTGGCAAGCAGGAAAAACAGCCCAGTTCAATACAATTGGGTATGTGGAAAAGTCACCAGCAGCCTCTGGGTAGGCTAGGCAGAGGGTTTTGCACACACTCTGGGAGTCCTGTCCTCTGCACTGTGGTTGGAACCTGAGAGGGGCTGTGAGGCTCTGAGCAGGAGAGAGACTTGCCCAAAGGCCACAGACAGGGAGGAGTAGAGTCTAACGTGAGTACAAGATAGACTAGGACCATCGTTTATCTCTTTACACAGGAACAGGAGGAACTTGAGGCAAGGAGGGGCTATATGAGATGCAGTCCTCTCCCCACAGAGGCCAGCTTGGCACTGGATGCGTGGTTGGTTTTACAGTGACTTGAACTCTGGGACTGCGGCAGGAGGGGCCAGCTCCCTGACTGTGCGGGAATAGATCTCTTCCCTGAACCAACAGACGCTGTATGAGGAGGGGAGGAGGGCTGGGAGGCCAGCCAGGCTGGAGTGGGTGGGCAGAGAGTGATGGGGTTTCTCACCTGTCCTAACAACCACAATCACCTTTCTGGCCTTAGAAATAGGCAACAGGGAGTGCATGCTCTGTAGAGTTCTTCAGGGCTGGGCAGATCCCCTGGGGAGATTTGTCGAGGGTGGGGGAACAGAATTCAGATGAAAGAGACTTGGAAAAATGAGTTTCAAGAAGTTTTACTGTGGGTTATGATTTTGAAAATGATTAGAATTTCATTTCAGGATGGGCATGGTGGCTGATGCCTGTAATCCCAAAACTTGGGGAGGCAAAGGCAGGAGGATCTCTTGAGACCAGGGGACTGAGACCAGCCTGCACAACATAGCAAGACCTCATCTCTGAAAAAAAAAAAAATTAAAAATTAGCCAGGCATGGTGACACACATCTATAGTCCCAACTAGTTGAGAGGCTGAGGCAGGAGGATCACTTAAGCTCAAGAGTTCAAGGCTGCAGTGAGCTATGATCACACCACTGCACTGCAACCTGTTTCTGAAAAAAGAGAAGAATTGCATTTCAGTATATTGAAATCATAATTTTTTAAGGTAAATGCTATAACCTTTTATTGAGAGAGGAAAAGAGTTTGACAGTTTCAAACTTGATACCGGCATAAAAATAAACAAAATAGCCCAAAGGTCCTTGCCAAATATTCATGTATGTATAGGAACTGATAACAGAACAAAGGTTGTTTTCAAAAGAAATGATGGATGGCTCACAGATTCATTGAGTATTGTTGAGGAAATAGGCTATCCATCTTTGCAAATGCTCAGATTATTCCTACCACACAATATACAGAAACTAGTTGCTGTATAAGGAAGAAGAGGGTGGCTCTGGGCAGACACCTGTGTTTCAATCCCAGTTTTGCTCTATGCAGCTCTATGGCCTAGAGAAAGTTACCCTACATCTCTAGGTATATGTTATCCAGATATTAAGTGGGTTTAAGAAAATAGCTAGGCTGGGCATGGTGGCTCACGCCTGTAATCCCAGCACTTTGGGAGGCAGAGGTGGGAGAATTGCTTGATGCTAGGAGTTCAAGACCAGTCTGAGCAACATAGTGAGTCCCTGTCTCTACAAAAATAAAAACTAAAAATTAGCTGGGCATGGTGGTGCACAACTGTAGTCCCAGTGACTTGGGAGTCTGAGGCAGGAGGATTGCTTGAGCCCGGGAGTTCAAGGCCGCAGTGAGCTATGATTGCACCACTGCACTCCAGCCTGGGCAACAGAGCAAGACCCTGTCTCAAAGGAAAAAGAAAGAAAGAAAGAAGGGTAGCTAAATCATAGAATGGTTCTGATAAACTGGGATCTAGTTATGAAGACCTTAGAACAATGCCTGGCATGTTCAGTAAATACAGTCTCCCCACATCCGTCTATTAATAGCACGCTAAACACAGGAGGAGAAGGCCACACAAGCAAGTGGGTTACAAACTTCTGGTTCTGGATAGGACTCAGGAGCAGAGAGAGATAGACAAGGGATGATGGGGGATAGCTGTGGACTCACTAACCCCTCCCTGGCTCAAATCTTGGAGGGGAAAAGGGAAAATCCCAAAGGACTTTGGCCATGGGAGTTTTGCTGCTAGAATTCCAGGGCATGTCCTGGGATTCATGCTCTCTAAGACAAATCATTTTATAGCAGTTGCTATCCCAGAAAATTCCTATTCCAGCTTCCCTGGGCCACAGGTGAGACAGAGCCTCTCTAAAGTCAACCTGCAGTTTGGCTTATTTCATTTAGCGGTGCCCTTTCTTTCAACAAGGGGCCTCCAAGGCTGCCACGACGGAGAAAAGAAATGGGGATTACACAGGAGATGGTTCTGTGAGCCAAGACCCAAAGCAGCAGCCTTAGCTTCTGCCCACATCATACTGAAAAGGACTCAGTCCTGTGGCTTCTGCTACATGCAGGGAGGTGAAGTTTACCTGATCTGCAAGAGGAACATGAATGGGTTAGGTGAGCAATGGCACTGACTGCACCAGCATGCCTTCAGGTTGGCAGATCATCATGTTTCTGTTGCCCCTTCACACAAAGAAAACAGAAACTCACTCTGTCTCCAAGGTGGCCATGCAAAGGATTCTCTAGTAATTCCATCCTGCTCCAAGCTCAGGACCATTGGCTCACACGGAGTCCTCTCCAAAGCAGCAAGATGTGGCCCTGTGCAGCCAGGAGGCAGAATGATAACTTTAAGGTTCCCATTCAGAACATGCAGAACATGGACCAAGGAGAAACACACAATAATTTGTGTAGCCTACAGGGCTGGCGATGGGAAGTTAGTAAAAATGTTTTCCTTGATTGGACATCAAGTCTGCTCTCTGGAATTAAGTCCATTTCCATTTTGTTTTCTCTTCTTGTCCCTGGCTCTCCTCTCCAAGGAATTCATCATTGTCTGTCACCATCTTGGGTGACTTCTGAAGTGGGTTTGGGGGAAAAAGTCTCCATGGGAGCTGCAAGTTTAGCAGCCTACTTCCTTACAAAGATGGTACCAAGACTTGCCTATGGGTCCGAGCATTTTAGATCCTGCTCTGCATTTAGACCAGGCTCATAGCTGTTTTGCAAGCCACCCCAAATCTTGGTTAATTCACATCCCTGTGTTTCCAGTCAGTTCCATGAGCCAATTACCACATCCCAAAGGCCTTTCTTGGACATAATTCTCAAGACTAAGCCTTGGTAGATCGGACTTCTAAAATACCCTCTTACTACTTGGGGTCCAGAAGCAGCAAGGTTTTTCCACCTCACAAAGTCTGATGTTTCAGGATTCTCTTGATTTCCTTTTTAGTTCTACTTCCATACTGGGAAAATTATTGAACTCATCTTTCTCCAATTACTTGCCAAATGCACTTATCAATATAGAACACACACTACTTACATTGTTTATCAAACTCTTCCCTTATAGTCACAAGTTCAGCAGGCGCATAATCTGCCATCTAAGTAACTGCAAGTGATGACGTTACCAAAGGCTTTGTTATCACTTAAGATGGATTCAGTTTTCATTAGAATTATTCTTCAAAATAATATAATACAAAAACCAAATAAAACATGGCTACACCATAAATTTTGGTAAATGATTAGCAAATATAAAAATTAAAAATTAAAAATTGTTGGAATGTTTCTCTTAATGAGACAGATGGACTTCTGTCCCAGCTTTGCCATGAATCTGTGAATGAACAGTTACCTGCCAGAATGTGACAGAGTTCAACATCAGTCATACACCTATTTTTTCACTTGTTCAGTTGGAAGCCTTGAGAAACCTTGCTTACATAAATAAGTAGATAGGAATGGAAAGAGTCTTTACACAATTATTTGAACTCCTTCAAAGTTATAGACCAAAAAGCACAGTTATATATAATAAAAATTATAGTAAATAACCCATCTGCTGACAACTGGATTCGTTCCACCTTCAACTTGTTTAAAAGAATTGAAAGTTACATGACTTGTAGTGGGATTTGATACCCAGGAATTAAAGACAGTCTCACCCGAAATACCTACTTCAGTATTTTAAATTATCCCCTTGTTCATCCCTGGAGATATGGATCTACGGTCTATAGTAAGATGCAAGGTTGTTGAAAAGGAACCTTTTGTGATGTGGGAGAAGGGCTATTCTAAACAGGGACTCTTTGATCTCATGCTAGTTCTTAGGAAGGTCATGTTTTGGAAACAGCCCATGTAGAAGTTAAAGATCTGAAAACTAATTTATTTAAAACCATCCATGGGAAAGTTCTGAGTTAGGAATTCCAAAGGCCTGCCTTCCACCAAAACAGTGAAACCACTGGCAAAAAATGGTCAAAATCACTCTTTATAGAGCTCTGGAAACTAATAAAAAGTTTGCAGCAACCAGTAGAGCACATATCCAAGAAAAACTGATGACACCAATAAGAAAAGCTTGCTCTGGGGTCTTTAGCTTATCCTGGTTCCATCTCCTGCTTCCCTTGAAAACTCACAGCTGCTGTTCCCAGTGCGGTACTGCAGAGATCAGAAATGAAGATATTCTCAGAGAGTTGGAACTGCTCATTTTGATCTGTCAGATTGCTTCCCAGAAGGCTGGCTCCAAAGGATTGCCATTCTCTCATCCACCTTGGAACTCACCCCAAACTGAAGCACCCACCTCAGGGCAATTGTTGACAACATGTACAGCAAATGTTCCAGGCTCAACTGCCAAACAGAATGGACGATTGCTGGGGCAAACAATAGGTTAACCAAAACCTACTGGGAGAAAAATCTGGGAATAAGATGTTTTAGGCAACAAGGGCTTTGGAAAATTGTTACAAATTCCTGGGAATCTTGAAGGCCGCACACATGCCCAGGGCTCTGTGCACCCTCAGAGAAGAGCTCAGACAGCTCTAAGCTCACCCTTGGCTGATCATGAGGTTCAACACAGGCAGGAAGTGATGGTTAAGGCCAGGTTGGAAACCACCTGGCTGAGCATTGAAGGAATGACCTCAAAATGCAAAGACTCCCTCTGCAAAGATTAGATTTTTATTTTATTTTATTTTATTTATTTATTTTTTTAGAAGAGTCTCGCTCTGTCACCGAGGCTGGAGTACAGTAACATGATTATAGCTCACTGCAGCCTCAAACTCTTGGGCTCAAGTGATTCTCCCACCTCAGCAGCTGGGAATACAGTTGTGTGCCACCATACTCAGCTAATTTTTGAATTTTTTGTAGAGACAGGGTTTCACCATGTTGCCCAGCTGGTCATGAACTCCTGACCTCAAGTGATCCACCCGCCTCAGCCTCCCAAAGTGCTGGCATTACAGACAAAAGCCACTGCGCCTGGCCAAGATTAGATTTTTTTGAATCCCAGTATTTAAGGAAATATCTGTCTAGCTGTTAGCTGACCACTAAACTAATGGAACAGAGACTTCAAAGAATATAAACTTTAAAATTAGTTCAGAAAATATACTAAACAAACAACTACAATAAGCACAACAACAAACCCCCGGGAGAGCAGAGAATTTTGAGTTTCCATGTTATAATATGCAAAATGTCCACTGTTCAACAAAAATGTAGGAGGAATGCCAAAGAAAAGAGAGAATGGCCCTCACACAGGAGAAAGAAGCGATCAATAGAAACTGCCTCTGAGAAAGCCAGACATTTGGAATCACTAAGCAAAGGTTTAAAATCAGCTTATTTTTTGAGACAGTCTCACTCTGTCACTCAGGCTGGAGTGCTGTGGCACACTCTCGGCTCACTGCAACCTCTACCTCCCAAGTTCAAGCAATTCTCATGCCTCAGCCTCCCAAGTGGCCGGAACTACAGGTGCCCACCACCATGCCCAGCTAATTTTTTTGTATTTTAGTAAAGACGGGGTTTCACCATGTTGCCCAG